>NC_000011.10:134458245-134767433 GCF_000001405.40 Homo sapiens
AATAGTACACACTTTGGCTGGGTGCAATGGCTCACGCCTGTAAACCCAGCACTTTGGGAGGCTGAGTCGAGTGGATCACGAAATCAGGGGTTTGAGACCAGCCTGGCCAATATGGTGAAAGCTCATCTCTATTAAAAATGCAAAAATTAGCTGGGAGTGGTGGCACGTGCCTGTAGTCCCAGCTGCTCGGGAGGCTGAGGCAGGACAATCACTTGAACCTGGGAGGTGGAGGTTGTAGTGAGCCGAGATCACACCACTGTACTCCAGCCTGGGAGACAGAGTGAGACTCCGTCTCCAAATTAAAAAAGAAAAAATAGTACACTCTTGGATAATTATTTTCAGATTGCAAAACACTATTATTCATTATATAATAAGTGTTCCTCACATCAACCCATTCATTGTAATTCTCTTTTTACAGACCTGGATTTGGTAAGTTATGTTGATTTATTCATTTAGGTATGTGTTCATTCATCTATCCAAAATACATTCCCTGAGTCTATAATATGTGCATATTATTGAGCTGACGTATATCAAGGATGCCCTCTAAGAGCATGTAAACTTGTGGTATTAATATTAATAATGTAATAATTAGTAATATTATATGAATAATATTTCATATTAACATAATAATATGAAAATGTAAAACTAAAAATAGTATAGCATAAGAAGTGTTGAGGTGGAATTTGCTGTGGGATTGCACAAAAAGGGGAATGAAATCAGGTGGGAACTGTGAGAAATGTTTATAGGGTGTAGGACTGTAGGACTGGGTTTGGGACCTAGGGTTGTTCAAGGGTGGGCTGATGAGGCTAAAATGTTCTGTGGGAACTGTGAGGGAGCAGGTTTTGAGGTGCCAGGCTCGGCATGTGTCATACTGGCTTGGAGGATGCTTGAGGGGAAGCCAGGGCCTGACCCCTTGGGGCAGCATGGGAGAAGTAGGAAGTGAGGATGGCCTGGTGAGCTGGCAGCCCCTAGTCAGCTGGTGCTGGGTGAACATGGAAGCACAGAGTGTGTGCTTCTTTCCTCTGACCACAGCTACCTTGTTCTTGGAAAGGTCCTGTTTTATAAGCAGGGACATGGAGGCATGGGGAAGTCGCGCAGCTCCCACCATTGCCCTGGGCTTGGCAGCAGTGAGACATGGCCAGCAGCCACCCTGCACTCTGGCCTGAATGCCCAGCTTGTGCAGATGTGCAGCGGTAGTGCAGGGTCAGTGCCCTCTCATGGCCCCCTCGCAGGAGGCTGCTTGCTGAGTGGTGCCAGCTCAGCCAAGTGTTCTCTGCATCTTTGCTCAGGCTCTTCTTTCTCAGAGGGCTGGAGGAGGTGGATGATGCAGAGAGCTTCCCTGTGGCTCCCGGCCCTCCTCAGGGCCTGCCCGGGCAGGGAGGTGACAGCAGTCCCTGACAGATCCCACCCTTCTCCCACACAAAGCGGGCCAGGGGTGAGGAAAGGGGTCCCTCCAGCCCTTACCTCTGAGTACTTGCCCTGCAGAGCTGCTGCTGTTATCTGTCAAGGCTGATTTCTCTGAGGTGACAGCTTTGACTTCAGATCTCCTTCTTTAATTGAGTCTTTGTCACTCCATTGATGGTAATTTACACATCCAATAACTATTGCTAATGTGGGATGGAGGTGTAGGGATGTTGGCTGGGGCGAGGGAGCTGCTGAGGCTGAGACCTGATGGGAGGAGCCTTGGAGGCTGGGCTGCTGCAGGCTGTGCTGCCCCAGGCTCAGGCTAGGGTGCTGCACGGTTCTGTCTCTCATTTGCCAAACATTTTCTGAGCTCAAACTCAGTGTAAGGAGGGCGAGGATATAAGAATGAATGATAGAAGGTCCTTGTTTTCGAGGACTTTCCAGTCTCATGAGAGAAAGAGACATACACAAATAGCTAGATTGGAGACTGCATAGGTGGTCAGTCACAGGCGCGTCTGCACGCTGGGTTCTGGGAGCCGAACAGCCACCTGCAATTCAACTATATTCAATTTAATTGAACCATCTGTTTTGGGCACCTATTTCTGGGTGAGCCCAGTGGAGTGATGGGCTGGGGGTGGGGAGGAACAAAGGCACAAAGACTGATGCTGCTTTCCTCCCTGCTCTCTCTTGCTCTCTGTCTCCCCACCCCCGGCTCATTCTCATCACTCTCTCTCCGTCTTCCCTCCTGCTCTCTATCTGTGGCATGCACTCTACTCTCAGCTCTGTGCTTGTCTCTGGGGCCAGAATGGTGAGCTGAGACATTGTCTGTCCTTGTGGAACTTACTGAAGTGTGTGGGAGACACAACCATTCATCAAATAAGCACCCGTAAATGTAATGGGGAGCTGTGCTCAGGAGGGACTCAGGGAGCTCTGAGCATGACCCACGGGACCCAGGCTCATCTGTGGGCCTCAGGGAGCTGGGCATGCACCACAGAACTGTGGAGCAACTGAAGACCTATTATTTCTTATTGCAGATATAAATATTATATTTATACATTGGTATATATATACTTTATATATATTTGTATAAATTAAGTTGTAACCTACAGAATAGGCCTTCTGGCAATGAGAATGTATCTGCTCAAAAAGCTGAACAGCCATGGAAAATGGAAATTCACTCTCTGAGATTTTACATATTCAAAGGAGTCCGGAAAAATACTGAACAAAAACATGAATGAATATTTGTATAATCTTTGGTGGCTAAGGCCTTCCAGAAGCACGAAGGAAGATAGATCATTCTGATCACATAAAATTGTAAAGCTTTAGAAAACCACAAACAAAGATGGAAGACCACTGAGAACCTGGAAGCCTTCTGCCTCACACATGGCATGCTGGTGGTGATGCCAGGCTGGTGAGGGCTGCACAGTTTGTCTTCGAGTTAGAACATGACAGCCCACCCACACCAGCTGGCAGACAGCTGCCTGTCTGAGTCTCCCAAGGCTGTGGACCCTGCCACTGACTTCCCTGGGACCAGCTCTACCTTTTCCCACATTCAGGAATTTATAGATTAATGTCTGCTGTGGTTTGAGTGTGTCCCCCAAGGTTCATGTGTCGGAAACTTAATCCTCAATGCACACTTTTGAGGGATGGGATCTTTAAGAGGTAATTAGGTCATGAGGGCTCAGTCTTCATGAATGGATTAATGCCATCATCTTGGGAGTGGGTTAGTTATCCTGGGAGTCAGTTACTATCTCAGGAGTGGGTTAGTTATCCTGGGAGTGAGTTACTTGTCTCAGGAGTGAGTTAACTATTCTGGAAGTGAGTGAGTTATCCTGGGAGTGAGTTACTATCTCAGGAGTGGGTTAGTTATCTTGGGAGTGAGTTACTTACTTCAGGAGTGGGTTAGTTATCCTGGGAGTGAGTTACTTGTCTCAGGAGTGAGTTAGTTATCCTGGGAGTGAGTTACTCACCTCTGGAGTGGGTTAGTTATCCTGGGAGTGAGTTTACTTATCTCAGGAGTAGGTTAGTTATCCTGGGAGTGAGTTACTCATGTTGAGAGTGGGTTACTTATTGTGGGAGTCAGTTACTCACCTTGGAATTGGGTTAGTTATGATGGGAGTCAGTTACTTATCTTGGGAGTGGGTTAGTTATTGTGGGAGTGAGTTACTCATCTTGGGAATGGGTTAGTTATCACGGGAGTCAGTTACTTATCTTGGGAGTGAGTTAGTTACTGTGGGAGTTAGTTACTCACCTTGGGAGTGAGTGAGTTATTGTGGGAGTCAGTTACTTATCTTGAGAGTGAGTTAGTTATTGTGGGAGTCAGTTACTCATCTTGGGAGTGGGTTAGTTATCATGGGATTGGGCTCCTGAGGAAAGGATGAGTTCAGTCCCCCTTCTCTGTCTCTTGCTCTCTTGCACTCTCTTGTCCTTCCACCTTCCACCATGGGATGACACAGCAAGAGGGTGCTTGCCAGATGAGGTCCTCTCGACCTTGGACTTCCCATCCCCCAGCACTGTAAGAAATGAATCTCTGTTCTTTATCAATGACCTAGACTGTGGTATTCCATTGCAGCAGCACAATACAGACTCAGACAGTGACTTCAGGATGCTGCTCCAGTGCTGCAGCTGATTTCCATCCTAATGGGTTGATGTCCATGCCACATAATTGTCAAAACACCTTGACTTTCACCCTATCCTTAACATAGTATTATTGAATACTTACTATGTGCCAGGCACAGGCTTATGGATGTTGGACTCGCTAACACATATAATGCTCACAACTCTAAGAAGGAGATATCATTACCATAATTACTATCCAAGATTACAAATGAACAAACAGAGACATGGAGAGCTCAACTCTTGCCTGGGCTTATGCAGATTTAAAAACATGACAGGAGGTTGAACCTGGACAGTCTGACTTTGAGCTCATGCTCAACCACTGAACATCACTTCTTCTTCCAAATCAGTAAGAAAAGAACAAGAACAACCCAAAAGAGAAAAATGGGTGAAGGGTTTGAACAGGTAATTTGCACACACAAACATACAAAAGAGATACAAATGTATAATTAGGCTATGCAAAGATACTCATCCTCACTAGAAATTAAAAAAATGCAAATACCAACAATAATAAGATATTTTCTCTTATTGTATTGAAAAAAATTTTAAATGGACAAAACCCAGTGTTAGAGGTGTTGTGAGGATTTGGACAATCTTAAGTGCTATTAGGGAGAGTTGTCATATCATTTTGGGGGCAGTTTGGTACTATGTATTAAATATAAAAGTGTTTACTCTCTGAATCAATGAGTCCACTTCCAGGTTTATCATAAGTAGAAAATTACAGCGGTATAAAGAGATGCATACTCAAGGATGTTCATTAAAGTATCATTTATAATTGTAAAACAATGGGAACATTGAAAATGCCTATCAATAGTGAATTGGTAGAGCAAATTATTGGAGATCCTTACAATAAAACACTAACCCTTAAAGATAGTGATGAAAATGAAGAGACTTGAATGCCATTTTTCATGAAACAGAATAATAGAACGGCATGTATAGTATCCTATAGCCTGGACAGTATCCTACAATGCCCATTGTATAGTAGGGTATATCAATGTCTATATGTGAAAGGGAGTATTCTGAAAGGGAGGTCACTAAAAAGTAAGTGGTAAGTGTCTTCAGGTCTGAGAGAGTTTTTTTTTTCTCTTTTTTGGGGGGATTTCACATGTTTGAATTTTTACATGGAAAATATGTCATTTTTATAAAAAGAGTAAATATATTTAGTTAAAAATAAACTACCTGTACGATATCAGCTGTGGCATCTCACTGAGTCTCCTGGAAGGCTTTGCGTTTCTTTAGAGCAGCTTTTTCACACTGCAGGTTAAAACCCATGACTGCTTGTGAAATCAGTTTGGTAGGTTATAGACAGCATTAAGAAACAAAAAAAAATGTATAAAATTGAGCATTACCTTGTGAAATAATAATAATTTGATAAATACGTCTGTAAGTCCCATTTGTGAGGTAAAATGCTATCCTTTTCTAGGGCCAGGAGCCCTGCTTTGGAGTTTGCTAAAGATGTCCTTCTGAGCAGCCAGGTTCCCAGGGTACACTGAGGAGCCCCTCCACCCCTTGAAGTAAGGAACACAGGGGCCCGCAGGGATGCTGGCTTTCTCCTCATGGCTTACGGCGTCCACACTGGCACTCACATCTCGCTCTTTCTCCTTTCTTTTATCCAGGGCATTGGATGAGCTGTGCTTGTTGAAACTGTAGGATAGAAACACAGCTTTCCATGCCCACCAGCTTGCTGAGGGCCGTGCTGCTGGCACCACAGAGCCACACCCTTGTGAATGTTTGAGGAGAATGTGCAGGGCCCCCTTGTGAGGTTCTGTGGAGGATTCTTTAGTGCTTCCTCTGGACTGAATTTAACATTATGTTGATAATGATTCAAAAGAAGGGTATAGACAGGGAGACCATGTATAGCAATAAGACTAATGACACTACTCATAAAACACTTTATAACTCAAATGCAATATGACCACTGGAAAACGTTTTATTAATTATGTTTTTATTTTCTGTATTTTATGATGCCCTTGAGGACCCAGAGAGAGACTGCCTCTCCCAGGGTTTGCTCATTCCTGGAGATCACCAGCAACTTGCCTGCCAGCAGGTCTTTGATATGCAAACCCACCAGGCTGGAGCGCCCGTGATCAGGATCCTGCAGTCTGGGACACTATCTCCCTGCCCTAATCATCTCAGGGCCAGGTGCCGGGCAGCTAGAGACTGCCCGTGTAACCAGAGCCTTCTGGAATCCCAAACTACCCAGGCCTGAGCCTGCCCAGCCCTCCCCCTGCCTCCCCATTCCTTTTCACCACTCCCAAGGATTTTGCCCAAGTTCTCCTCTCGTCCCCACCCCTGACTGACCTGGTGCTTCTCCACATGGCCCTGAGCGGGGTGGTATGGACTGCCCCTCCTCTTGGGAACTGTAACAAACTATCTTTTCAAAGACAAGCGTCTCCTGATCTGTTGGCCTTGTCGTGTCCAATTAAAATAAATCCTGGGTACATTTTAAAATCAGGGTCAGTCACCTCCAAGCTTTCAAAATTCCCAGATTATTCAGAAATATGAACAGCAGGCTCAAGTCACTGAGGATTTACATCCTCATTTTGCTAACAGATTTAAGACCACAGAGAACTTATTCTGTGAGCAGAGGGGCCACCTGGAGGGTGAATGGCATTTAAAACACACCATAATAAAGTCCTGGGATGGGATAGTCATGGCCTTAATGTTTCCTATGAGAGTTAAGAGGTCTGGATGAAGATGCTCTTCTGTGCTGCCTATTTGCAAGAGCGCTCATTTGTGGCCCCGAATGCAAGGTGAGAATCACCTCTGCCTGGGATGAGTTGGGAATGGAAGCGACACCCTCTAGATAATCATTTCTCACAGGCCTCTTGCTGAAGGTGCTCGGCCTCCCGATGCCCTTTCCTATCACAATGAGCACATACCTGGAGCTATGTCATGCATGGGCTGTGTGTACTCTTTCACGGAAAAGCTTCTCATCTTCCTTGCCAAAGGATGGTGTAAAAACTTTCAGGCCAGTTCACACCAGGGAGAGTCTATGCTGGACGCATTCATGCTGCTAGAACAATTCGACAACAGGAAATTGTCAGCTGATTTCTTAAGCTCCCGGGAGCTTACGAGGGGAGTCCAGGATCCCTCCTTCTGGATTCAAGCACTATACCAATTCACTTACAAAAGAGAAATGCTCTAGGAGAACAGGAGTTATGTACTGAAACATCACAGCAAACAAGGTAGTCAGCGCTTTCCCATGTCTGTGGGCTGGTCCTAGTGGCCCTTAGGAGGAGATGCTTGGTGGATTCCGTAAGTGCCCTGTGAAGCTCTCCTGTTTCCAGGCATGGCATGCTGGATCTGCTGGGGCAGGAGGGGTGGGTGGAGTGGAGACCATATGACACTGTATATGCCTATGCCTAACAATAGAACTTCTCTAGACCCTGATTTCCTGAATTTTGGGAGAAGCCATATTTCAATTACGTCTCAATGATAGGTGAAGTAGGGTGGTTGTAGGGAAAAACACATGTTGAGAATTGTCCCAGCAAAAAACAACCCCTGACCTGCCCTCCCAGTGTCAGGCCTGCATTCTCTCTGCTCCGTAACTGCCCACATGTATGGGGGGCTTACCAAGTGCTTAGTTCCACCCATGTGTCGCCTCTTCAGTCCTTACAGTGACTGTGTCAGGGTTATTATTACAGCTTATTAGCATGGAGCCTTACCCAGAGGTTGAAGAACTTATCTGAAGTAAGCGCAGTGAGAGTAGGGTATGGATTTGAGCCTGGTATGTGCCACACTGAAGCTCACACTCATAACCCAAACCACATTGCCCCAGTGGCCCCATATCCAGCCAAAATTCACCACGGGTTCCTTCTACACAGTGAGCGGGAGGGTCAAATTAAAAGATTTGTTACAGTTTGTTACAGTTCCCTTCTGGAAGCAATTCAGTTTCAAGCATGTTTTCCTCTCCGCAGAGGCAGCCATGACTGGCCACTTCATGTGCTCCTGGAGAAGGGCTTGCACCAGCCGTTTTCAGGAAAGTCAAGCAGCTGTTGACTCCTGAGTCTGGGTGAATTTGTGTGAAGAGCATAAGGCGCTGTTTCTTAACCAAAACGCTTCCTCTTGCAGTGCAGATGGGATGTGCTTCTCCACAGGAGGCCCCACGGCTTCCCCACCCCTCAGAGGAGCGCCGTGCGTGCGTCTGTGTGGAGGATTGGCAGCTCCTGCAGTCGGCCCTTGGTCCTATTTGGCGACGCCTCTGCCTTCCCCTTAATTATACAGTCATGAGCCGCCCTGGAATCACGGCAGCTCCGGATGGATCCTGGATGCCAGAATGCAGCCTCAGCACGGGGCTGCAGGACAGGAGTGAGCGAGGGGCTGCAGAGCCGGCGGCCGCGGTGGGCACCATGGAGGGGGCTGCCCTGGGCAGCACGGGCATGAGTCTCAAGGCCCAGGTTTGAGTAACAGGTGTTGAGAGCTTACTTACTTTTCCTGAGACACAGTTTCCTCATCTCGAGAGCACGGAAAATCATTCTAACTTCAGAGGATTGTTGTGAAAGTTAAATGAGATTAAAGAGGTAAAGCCCATGACGTGCTTAGCTCGTGCTTGGCTCTTGGTCAATGCCAGTTAGCGCTGCATTTTCTCCCCTCTCCCTCCCTCCTTCTCTCTTTCTTTTCTTCTATTCTCCATTCCTGTTTTCTCCCCCACCCCACTCCCCAAAGCTCTGCGTTGAGAACCAGATGCTGTCTGGTGGGTTAGGGCCAGAGGAGGAAAAGCTGCCCGCCGTGGGCTGCACCCATACCCTCTTCATTCCAATGACATGAGGGGAGGGGAAAGGACAGAGGTAGACTGTCCTCCCCTACCTCCTCCTAATACAAATGGAATTCCTGGAACTGGAAAACAAAGAATACCCCCATAAAAATAAGACAGTACTTCTGGTGCGGTGTAATAAAGGGGAAAGTAACCCTCAATGTCAGGAAACTCCGCACCTCCCAGCTCATATTTGTGTGGAGGAAAAGTTAAATATTAATTTGGACTCAACTGAATGTGGACACAAACAATGGTCACCAAGTCCCGGAACAGGTTGTGTGAGCCTCTTCAGGGGTTCATCCAGCGCTGTTTTGGAGAAATCTCTATTTCAATTTATTCCTATACGTTAGTTACTGAAAAACAACAGACAATCGCAAAAGCAAGTTGCCCGTTTTGTGTTCCTTGAGCCCAATCATGAAGTGCCGTCGTGACTGGGCCTCATGACAAACAACTTGTAACAAGTAACAACAGAGCTCAGGTCCCAGACCGCACTGAAGCTCTGTGAGACCTCTCCTCATCTGTGCATGAACGAGTGTCTGACTCTGGAGCCCAGCCTGCTGCTTCCCAGTCTGGTGGTGAATCCTCCGTAGTCTGGTGAGTGTAAATATATATATGTCTTTTCCCTTCTCCCCTTCCCATTGCAATTTGCTTATATCATTTGCGTATTATATCTGCATTACCATTTATGTGAGATAAAGCTTGTTCACCCTTAAGGGTATTGTGTGTGTGTCTTTTCTTCTCTCCTAGTGCATTTTCCTCACAGAACAATTTGAAACCAGAGGTCCTTACTGCTGCTGGCTTACTCTTTCCAAATATTAATTTCCTTTTTTCTTTTTTCTTGAGATGGAGGTTTGCTCTTGTTGCCCAGGCTGGAGTGCAATGGCACAATCTCGGCTCACTGCAGCCCCTGCCTCCCAGGCTCAAGCAATTCTTACGCCTCAGCCTCCTGAGTAGATGGAACTACAGGTGAGCACCACCATGCCTGGCTAATATTTCGTATGTTTATTTTTTAGAGACGGAGCCTCACTATGTTGGTCAGGCTGGTCTCAAACTCCTGACCTCAAGCCATTTGCCTGCTTTGGCCTCCCAAAGTGCTGAGATTACAGGCATGAGCCACTGTGCCCTGCCTTCAAGCAATAATTTTCTATTATGAATAAAATTGATGAGCTTCGCCAGTTTCTGGTGCCCATAAAGTTGTTGCTTTTCATTACCAAGGTTAACAGCCTGCTGGTGATGCGGCCTCTGGCAGAGAGCCTACAGGGAGTGGGACTGGGCAGATGCTGCTCGCTGGGGCAGAGGGGAGGTGAGGAGGAGGTGCTCACAGCTGACCTGCATGCCTCTGCCTGGCCCTGGGACCCCAAACTCCTGCTCCTTTCTCCTCGCATTCTGCCAAGCTCCCCCTGTGTTTGACCTCCGGCTTGAAACTTCCTTCTCTGATGACTCCTGAGCAGGCAGTGTGAGCCCCAGCAGTATCCTCCTAGCACCTGAGCACAGAGTCTGTGCCTGAGCAGAGTGTGACAAAGGAGGCGACCGGGTGATGCAGCACAGTGCAGCGGGCTTGGGGCCGGGAAGGTTTTCTGAAAGGTGTGATAGTTAAGCGTCTAGGCTGGGAACTGCAGGATGAGTAGGAGTTAGTCCAGTGAGATGGAGTGGGGGTGAGGAGGAAACCTTCATGCAGGGGGTGTGCAGCTGCACACGCCTTGTTCTGAGCCCAGGAAGAGCACGGTGTTGAGGTGCTGAGCACTGGGGGACAAGCTGGAGGGGGCACAGGGGCATCTGTGACCTTCTCCGGGCCTTGGGACAGATTGCTGCAGAACTAGGGCCTCCTCCATGTCTCTTTTGCGTCTTTTCTCACAGGACATCCCTCTAGGCAGGGGATTGGCAAACCAGGCCCTGCTGGCCAAAGCCAGCCTGTTGCCTTTTTGGTAAATAAAGTTTTGTTGGAATACAGCCATGTTCTTTCATTTACACATTGCCCATGGCTGCTTTTATGCTGTGATGGCAACATTGAACACCTGCAACAGAACCCGTATGGCCTGCAAAGCAAGAATGTTTACTATAAGGCTCTTTACAGAAAAAGCAGGTTGATCCTGCTCTAACCTCTGCCTGCTGCTTGCAGCAAACCTTCCTCATCTGGGCCTCAAATATTTCTGTCCTTTATTCTGGTGCTTTGAGTCTATCTGTAGCTCAGGGTAAGGTGTTGAGAATTAGTAAGATTACAAACTGCAAAAGCAAAGGTTTGGCTGTTAGAATACTTATGTTTCGATCTTGGCTTGACCTAGTCATTAGTGATTATATAATAATAATAATGCTACTAGTAATAGTAGTAAATGCAGGAATAGTTTCTATTTATCCAGCAATTATTATGTGACAAGTTTGGAGCTGGACTTTTAAAATATATTATGTCATTTAAATTCTCACAAAGAAGTCTTGGATATAGTTTTTTTTTTATCCCCATTTTGCAGATGCTAAAATTGACACCAAAAGCGTAGGTGATGAGCTTGAATCAGGTAAGAATTATATTCTACTTCCAGCTAAAGAAGAGGATATAGAAGATCAATAGCTTAAACAAAACAGAAGGTTTGTTTCTCACCCTTCCTGTAATAGAAATCTGGCAATGAGCAAACATGGTAGTATTTATATTCTGAGTTCTTGTCACATTATTTTCATTTTCAGGTCTTCTCATGGACTAAAACAGTGACAGTGAGTGCAACTCTACCTATCATGTTCATATTCTAGGTAGAAACTGGGGAAAAGAGAAAAGGCGGGAAAAAGGCGTTTCTCTACAAAGATCACACATAATCTTCTGTCTGCATCTCATTGGTCGGCATTTAGTCACATGGCCATAACTACCAGCAAGGGAAGCTGGGAAATGTAGTTTTTCAATGGCACATTGCTACCCTTAATAAAATAAGGATATGCTACCAACAAAGAATGAATATGGGAAAGGCCCCTAGCAATGTCTGCTGCATCTGCCACTGTGGTTTTCTCTGATTTCCACAGACATTGCTCTTCCACATAGAGCGCATTCTGATTCCCAAGCCACCACTCCCAAATCACACCCAGTTTCTGCATCTAGCTTGTGTGTGGGCAGTCTGCTCCATCAGTCCCAGATGTGGCTTCTCATGGCTGGTGACCTATGAACTAAAAGACAGGCCATTTTTTTCCCAACCTACCCTACCTTTTCTCCTTGAGAGGAAAGATAAAATAACCACAATTTAAAAATGTCAATCTTCCATTCAGAAAAGGGAGGAAAGAGAAACACAGAGATCACTGGTTTACAGTGATGGACCCACCCTGCTAGGCAGGAGTGAAAAGGCCTCTCCGTCCGGCAGTGGACTGGGTTCCTTGGCTGGCCCATGTGGTCCCCACCCACTGTCTCCAGGAGCATCGCCTTGAACTGTGTCTTCATGGCTTTTGGCTCCGCCTTCAGAAGGGTCCTCCCTGTCAATCATCCTCCATTGCCACCTCTGATGTGGGCACTAGGGAGCTGGTCCTTCCCAGAGGATGCATGATTTTGACACCGTGCAGTGTGGGATGTTGGACCAGGGAATCCAGCATATTTTCGGGCTTTTGTAGTCTCAGACTGGGCCTGAGATTTCTTTAGAAATATATTAACGGTTCCTTCAACACTCCAATGGGCATATAGCCTATTTACTTCTGATCATTGTAATGTGCAAATAACCACAGCCCCATTTCTTTGTGTCCAGATGCAGTTTTTAGGCTTGAATATTCATCTGTTTTACTCACTGGCCTCTGTCACTGAGTCTGTCCCCTTAGCTATTAAATTAATGGTGACTATGATAACACTTTTCACCCGATCCTTGCTAGTGCATTGACTTGCGTTGTCTGCATCGAGTTCTTAAAAGATGCTTGGTAAAGTCTTGGGTCACAGTTTTAACTTCTGCTGGGGTTCCTGCTCCACAGCCCTCATTTAGAACTGTTTCACTTTGGCTATTGTTTAGCTTTGGGCCATATTTGGCTGTTTTTTAGCTTTGTAAAAATGCTCATTTAACGGACACAAGGCCTGGGTTAGAAAATGTAGTATTTCCTTCCCCCTCTGTTTGCGTAGGAGCTAGCGCTAGTGGAAGCCCATCTCTCCCTTGCAGGATTTTGTGGAAAGTGACGAAAATAACTCAAACCACATCAGTGTTCTGCTTGATTTCCACCATTCTTGGATGCTATAACTTCAGAAAGCACATGATCTAACTTCCCAAGGGACAGCAGGGCCTCGACCAAATGCCGTTGTGCTGAGGGCTGCCGGCCGCCCCGCTAGGCTGCTGCACCCTCCCCGCGCTGCCCCACACCTTGCACAGAGCTCAGGCAGCATTCTAGCACCATCAGACAAATTCTTCATGAGTCAGAAATCGCACCTGTCTCTTAATAGCGATCTGGCCTCAGGTGGCTGAAACACACAGGGTTGAAATGCTGCGGTGCCTGCGCTCATTGTGCGGTGAAGCCATAGAGTCCGCGCTGAAACCCGGGGCGCCCGCCTCCTGTCCGCGCAGGCGCTGCACGCTGTCGCCGGGGCAGCTTCACTCAGCTTCAGCCTCTCCATCTGCAGAGGAGGAGTAATCCCGTGCTGCCTCATGGGGCCGTTTCAAGAAGGAAATGAGATGTGGTATAAAGTGTTAGAGGAGTATTTAGTGTTATTATTAATGTGTTTTCTCATCTGGGAACATGATTTGCATTTTAAGCAGAACTTCAACATTTGGACTCAAAGGAGTGATGTGGATGGGGAGAATTTCAGGCATCGTGCAGGCTGGCATTAGAAATGCTCACCGGAAATGGAGCACAGGCAGCAACTTCAGCCCCTAGAATTCTTCCTCCTATGTCACTTCCGTCCCTCAAACCCTTTCTGCAGCCCCTGTCCTCTCTCCTGCAATGGCAGTGAGCAGGTGGTCTCCTGGTGTCTCTGGAAAATTCCCATATGGAGTCCTGGTTGAGATGAGCCAGAAGGCTAGGAAGGAGCCTACAGTCCCGGTCTCAGCGCCCAGGAGGTTTTTCTAATGGAGTTGGCATGCAGAAGCTGGGGCATACCCTGGGAGCAGCCCTGTGGCTGGATGAGGGATGGACAGCAGCACTGGGCGGGTGGAGCCGGGTGCGAGGTCCCCACAGCCTGCCTCCCAGTCCCACTGGCCAGCCCGGGGAGGGTGCTGAAGACAGGCTTCCTCTCTGGTCAAGCTCTGGCTAGCTTGGCAAGTGCAGGCAGGACCCTGGACCTGCCATATGGTGCACATTTTGAGGACATCATTAGCAGGTTTGGAAGGTTGTGATTCTGGTTGTGGGAGAGAAGGAACCTGGGAGTTGAGCAGGTGGTGGGTGGAGCTATGCATGCAACTGAGTGTGAGGAGTGCTTTGGCCATGCTAGGGTCTCCTCTGGGCTGGAAGCCTTGTCTTCAAGAGGGTTGGGGTAGGAGGCTTTTTATTATAGTGGGAAGCCTCAAGCCTGGACCTGGGAAAACACTTTCTGGGTATGAGGAATTAAAATAAACCTTGAAGCACTATTTAGGAAGAACATAGTATCACTTCATAGATATTTTCCCCCCTAAATGGTTACAAAGTAAAATGGCAGAGGTACAAAGAGGAAAATGAAAACCACCCAATCCCTTCCCTGAGCGATGGCCCTGTTATCCTTGGGCTCTGTGGCCATCTGACCTCTCTCTGGGGACAGAAGTACATGAGGAGAGGGGCCACTTCATAAGACGGAGATGCTCTCTTCCTGTTCCCTGCCTCTGCATCGTGCTGGGGATGTCTGTCCTCATCAACTAAGAGACCCATGTAGACCGCAGCTCTGAGATCTTCTATTTTTGTAAACAGAACAGTTTGTAGGGAGATGTGAGATGTTAGGTGGTGCTGGAGAGCCTGGGCTTTGTCTGTTTGGACAAGGCTCCATCAAGGCATCCTTTGTCCGACGGTGAGGCATCTTGAGGGCTCTGGACCCAGAGCTGGTCCTGCAAGAGTCCTGTCTGAGAGCCCAGGCCCCACTCCACTAGGAGGGACAGGAGGGAACAGAGCAGAGCTGAGTCCCTTCACCTACCCAAACCCATACATGTTTCTAGAGCAGAGTAACTGCTTGTGAAACAGACCATCAGAGCACAGGGCAGCACCGAGCTGCGTTCTGCAGGGCTCGGTCTAGGTGATCTGGAGGGCTTGGGGAGCTGGCTTCTCCCCTCATCCAGCATGTAGCTACCCACAGCCACCTGCATTTCACAGGGCCAGTGCCTAGGGACATTGGGCCAGAAGCCAGAATTTCTTTTTTCTTTTTTTTTTTCCCCTCTAGCATTCACTACTAGCGCAAGCTAGTGCATCCCAAAGTTTTGGCCCTGCGTGGATAATCAATCCACAATTTATCTTCCGTCTGTTGCCAAAGTAATTTAGCTAAAATGCAGATCTCAACTGGTCACTTCCCTGCGTAAAAGCTTCAATAGCTTTCTATCGCCTACAGGCAAAAGTCCCTCTTCTGAAAAGCGGCTTGCAAAGCCCTAGTAGCTGGCTCCATGCCCCCCAGCAATACGTGGCCTCCTCAGACGCATCTTCTAGCAAAGGAGAGCTGCTCAGTGACATCCACAAACCGAGCTGCTTCTCACCTACCTGTTTTCCTTCTCTTTGGGATGCCCCCCGCCCTCACCTTCTGCTTCTGGCTAACTCCTAGGCATCCTTGAAGGCTTGGCTCAGTATCCTCTCCTCCAGGAAGCTGTCCCTCACCTTCTCTCCTTTCCCTCCATCCCAGTCACCATGCACCACACCCATATCCCCATTGCATCCTGCAGCTACCTTGTGCCTGCACACGTTGGGCTGGGCATGCATCTCCTTCTCTCTCAAGACCTGGATCCCTTCACTTTGTGTCTCTGGACCCCCCAGTGTGCTGATAATGGGGTTGGAACCCATCATATTTCTCTTGAACGAGTTAATGATGGGACTGCTATTTCTCTAACTGTTGCCTTGGAGGCCCTGTCACGTGCTCATGGAAGAGAGCCAGGGGGGTGGAGGTGATTCTTGTTACCCAGAGGACGTGGGGTCTGGATACACGTTTCTGCCATCTGCCATCTGCCAGCTTCTTTCTGGTTGGTAGCTTTGGAGCCTGGTGCAGCTGGGGCCAGTCCCGAGCCTGGACTCTGCTGGGCAGTGGCAAGAGCACTGTCTGGAGCTCTCCTGAGGAGCCCACAGATCCAACTCCCTAGGCCAAGGCTGCAGCCTGGGGCAGAGATGCAGAGGCCTGGAGGAGCCTAGGGCACGCGGCCTGCGGGCTGGCTGGGGTTCAGAGTTCGTATGTGTGTGGAGTGACTGGGCAGGTGTTCAGAAATGAAGGCTGGCACTGCCAGGTAAGGCCCTTCCCTCCCTGATGTGAGAGCCCTGGAGCCACCGCAGAGGCCCAGTCAGATCTCTGTTCTAATTCTGGCCTGGTGTGGAGGATGAGGAGAGACGGCCCAGAAAGGAAGGCAGACTGTGCAGACCCCATGTCTTCTGGCCCGCGAGGCCCTCCTCCTGTGCCTGCTTATCTTAAAGAATCCGGGATAAGAGGTGACTTGGGCCTTGGCCGGGAGGCCCCTCCTCAGCTTCAGACAAGGAGGGAGCTCTGGGCATGAGGACATTGAGCAAGAGGCGATGGCAGTGCCCACAACTTACCCTCAGCTCGGCTCTGTTGGGTCCGAGAAGTTGCATGGAAAGGGCTCCTTGGGGGCCAGTTGTCAGTAAGCTGCAGAAGCCTGGAGCCGGCCAGGAAATAACCACGTGTAGGAGCCTTCTCAGCTGAGAGGAAGGAGGACTCACGCGCGGCGAGCACATGCTTGGAGCCAGGCACAGGTTTGAACTAAGCTATTTCATCTCGATTCTTATGACAAGCTCCACGTAGTTTGCTCCTATTTTACAGATGTGGAAGCTGAGGCTCAGAGAGGTTAAGCGACTTGTCCCAAATCGCATTGTCAATCAGTGAAGGGGCTGGGATTTGAGCTAGTCACCTGCCTCTAGGTTCAGTGTGCTTTCTACTCTGCTCCCCTCCATGCCTGCCCGACCCTTTGCTGATGACACATTCCTGAGACCTCAAAGGAGTCCTACTTTGAATCATGAATGGCCTCGCGTTTCCCCAGAGGGCATGACGCAAGCTTCGCCACCTCACTCCCACCCTCACCACTGGCTGGTTGCTCTTAGGAAGATGCTGTTTACAGGATCACGCAGTGGTTCAGGCCACCACGATGCCACTTCCCCTGCTCTTAACCCCCCACCAAACTGCAGGTGGCTTCCCTGGGAGACTCGGGGCAACACCCTCTCGTCCTGTATGAAGCTTGTACCTTTCTCCACCCAAGTGAGTGACAGCTGGCGGGAGTTTTGCACTGTGGAACAGGGTACACAAAGACACTGGAGTGAGAAGGCAGGGGCATGGCCAGTCTATGTCTAGGAGGTGGTGGCTCCACCTTCCTTGTGGACTCAGCTTTGGAGTCATGCAGGCTGCTCTCTGGGCACTCCTGTGAGCCATTTCTTCTGCTGATAGGGAGGAACGTCCCACTGCCCCAAGATGGGTTCTGTGCAGAGTCTCCCCAGGGTCAAGACAGGAGCTAGAATGTATGTCATAGAAGGATGATCTAAATGGTGACTTCTGGCTGGTGAGGAGAGGCTATGGCACCTCCACGGCTGGTGGCCTCTTGCTGAAGTAAGCATGGTCAGCATCCCCCCTGCACCCTGTGGAGGTGGCTTAATGCATTCCCTTGACTGCAAAGGACTCCTTGCCAAAGAGACCTTCTTCCCCATGAGGCTGAGGCCTCCTAGGACCCTCAGTGCTCAGGAAATTATAACCAGCCACCCCCATCTCCATTCATTGGAGAAGGAGTGACGGCCGCCTCAGTGCCATTAACTCTGTGCTGTGATTAAATGGATCCCAAGGAGACTCCTGCTCAGGGACACCCCCTGTAGGACTGATGCCAGGGCTAGGCTTGCCGCACAGTGCTCTATTCCTTTGGTTATGCACCTTCCTTGGCAGAATCCACGCTTACCAAGAGGAGTCACTCTGAGCTGCTTGCTGCCAGTCACATGCTTAGCAGTAGAAGATATCTTGTGCTTGTCAGGTGACTGTGAGTGAGAGGGAAGGGGGCCCAGCGTGAAGCCAGGTGGGACGGCTTCTGCGGGGCAAGACACCCCACTGGAGGAGGCAGGGGCGCGCTGTGCAGGCCTCAGCACCAGCTCTGGCTGCTGTGGTGGGATCTCAGATCAGTCACTTTGCCTTTTTGGCCTCAGTTTTCTCATCTGTACATCATGGATTTGGGATTAAAGGATTTCTGAAGATTTTACTCATTCTGAGATTATGGTCCCTGGAAACCTTTAGGGAAAAGGGAGCTTCTTCTCTTCATTATTTTAACATACTTGATCTTTTATGTTCTTTGGTAGGGAGAGATGATAGGTAGTTAGAGAAGAAGCAGCTCAGTGAAAAAGCTGAAAGCCTTGTGGAAAAATAAGTTAAATTGACCCACTGTGACTCCAGGGACCTGGGGAGACTTTGATGTCCGTGTTTTTGATTACACATCTCTTCTCTCAGAGTGAAGATGCGCAGTTCTAAGGAATTATGCCCAATGGCAGAATTGGCAAGGGACAGGGAACTGTCCAGCAGAGAAGCTGCTGAAACCCTTCAGGGAACATTCCATTCCGCCAGGGCCCGGCTCTCACGCTCTGCTCTGCAGCGCATCCGGTGCCAAGGAGGGGAGTAGCGAACGTTGACCTTGTCCCTAAGGAGCTTACACGCAGGGAGGTCAGCACAGACACTGGAATATCTAGGACTCTGCTATCGAAAAACACAATTGCTGGCACATGGGTTCAGAAGACAGAGAAGGAAAAGAGCTGTAAAGAGTTGGGTGGGCTGAGGTTTGAAATGGGCTTTAATTATGACTGGACACAATTTGGTGACAAATGGGTGAAATTTCAAGCAGAAGAGGTAGCATGAGCAAAAAGGGGTGTGCAGTCTTTGTGAAGAGAAGGGGGAGGGAGTGGCAAGGGAATAGGACAGAGAGGAGGAGGAGGGAGAGGAAGCCAGAGATAAGGAGCCAGGGGGGGAAGAAAAGGGCAGAAACGAATGTGAAGGAGATTCTGAAGACAAGCCACTGTGGTGGTCCAGGTGGTTCCATGGTGCCGCGCCAAGCCAGGGGCTTGGAATTTAGTCTGGGAGGATGGTGCTGAGTATGGATGAGGAAGGAGAGGAATGGAGAGGGGAGAAACGGGAAGGTACTTCACACTGATTAAGCAAGCTCCTCACAGGGCTATGACTTCTCCCTTCTCAGAAGGAGGTGCCCTGTGGCATGCCTCTAGGCCCAGAGTTAAAGAGCTGGAGCCATTAGGAGCAGCAAGGGGCTGCCTCCCCACTTGTCTGGTTACTTCTGGTTACTTCTCCCTCAGGGTAAGTCCTCATGAGGGATCATCTCTGCCCATGGAGCTGCTTCCGCTGCCCTTAGGCTGGTGTAAGAGGAAGGCTGTGTACCAGAGGTAGATCTTGCTCCTAGTCCACCAGCAAAACACATCCAGTTATTTCTATGCCTCAGTCTCCCTTCCCCACACTGATCTCTTTATTCCCCTACTACCTAGAAATGGAAGGGAGACAATGAGGTGGGAAATAGAGTTTTTCGAAAGGTGTTTTTTGGATAAGACAAAGGCCTCTCAGAGCAGAGCTGGCCATTGGAATGGTTTCCTTTTGTTATTTAATACCGGGGCTTTCACACAGGAGTTTAGCCCAGCTTTTAAGTCTTCAGTATCAAATAGTAGTTGGTGTCACATCCCTGCTGAAATACAGCCATGAAAATGTTTCTTAGTGATAGATTTAGGTTGTACTCCTTAAGAAAAGCCCAAATGTCAAGAATTGCTTCCCACTGGTACACTTTATTGGGGAGAAGGGCATCTCAAATAGAAGGATGGTTGGTCTGTCTAGAAATGGTAAGAATACTACAGGTTAAAGGCAGTGGTGGTCTGGACTAAATGACCCCTGAAACTCGGATTTTATGGTGTTTTCAATCTCTGGCTGAGTACAGGTTCCTCCCTCTCCCTTTGTGCCTCCTTGGGGACCTGGGCTATTTTCTCCTCCGTGAAAGAGAATGGATACATCCATTATGAAAACCAATTGATATAATTTGAGCCTGCATGCAGGTAAAAACTATATTAAGAAGGTTTATAAAATCTAACCTTCTGGCTTAACAAGCTGATTCTCAAAGTGGCCTCTCAGACCCTGGCTGAGGGATGGTGGTCAGGGGTTGCAGAGGGACCCGCACAGCTGCTGAGGAGGCTGTGGGACAGGAGGCGCTATCACTGTCTACCTCTTCCATCCATGCACCTGTGTGCAGGTGTGAGAAGGGCACCGTGCTGCAAAGAAGGGTCCTTTCCACCCTCTGCGGGTTGCTGCCGGCTCCCCGATGCCTGCCTCTGAGGCCTGAGCCTGGGGCTGGGGAGTGTGCTGGCCTCACCTCTGGAGGATACTGCCTCAGTGTTACAGCCTGACCCCCCACCTTGTCATCACTGCCTACTACAGACCAGAGGGGACGGCCACAGAGACTCTGCAACCATGGGCTCTGCCCTTCTTCCTTCTGCCTGTGTATCTGTGAAAAACTTTTTTTTTTTTAAATGGAGAAAGCTACCTTGACTTCTCAGAGAGTTGAATGGGGTCAGGGGATAGAATCTATATTTTTTAGTTATGGGCACTTACCCATATTCAAAAAGATTTGAGGAGGCTGGCAGAATGGAGCTGGGAGAAGAAAACCCTCCCCTGGGAGGAAGCTGTCCTGTGCATGTTGGCCAGGCTGCCTCTTTGATTAGGGACAATGGAAACCGGCCTGAGGGCACGGGTGAAAGCAGTTGAGTGTAGAGGAGGCTCTGCAGCAGAAGCCAGAGGACACAGGAGCCAGTGAAGACACACAATAAGTCAGAAAGGAGGGATCTTTGCAGCCCCAAAAGTAGAAATTCTTACCATCTACTGCAAAGAGCAAAAGTTGAAAATTGGTCTGATTTCTATCTAAATGTGCTTACATATTCGTGTTCTGTTAAATACTTCTGTAACCTGTGTGTCTCACATAAATGCAGCTTTCTTTAGTTTTGGAAATAAATCACATGAATCCTGAATAGTAGTCTTTAATAATTTGCTTAGTTGTAGGGCAGTGTTGTGTTTTCAGAAGGCAAGTGTATTTGCTAGAAGAGTGAGCTGGGAGGTGTGAACCACATCGTCACATCTGCTGTAAGCCTAGCCGTTCATAATACGGAGTTACAGTTAGGACACGTCGCCCTGAAGAGCTACCATCGAATGTGTGCTCATCAAATGCCTGGCAGCGTCCTCGGTGCTTCACCTGCCATAGCCGACAGTGGCTGACCTCCCATGCCTGTTGCCTTTTCTTTCTGTTGGATCAGGGATACACTGCCATGTGTGTTAAGAAAAGCTGGCCTTACCTACAGGGCTGGCCAGTCCCGGTCACGTTTCTAGTAAGCCATTGCCTTACATAAGGGTAACGGCATGGGACGCTATCTTAGCCAATGTGATAAAAGTGGACATGAGGTGAGAGGCTTCAGAGAGAGGTTTTAAAAAAGAGACAAAAGCAGGACGTTGCCTCTCTTCCTCCTCTCCACGTGTCCTACCCGGATGTGAAGCCAAAACAGATGCAGGCTTAGTGCAACCATGGGGAACCCAGCATAAGCACAGATTCAACAGCAGAAGAGTGGCAGAGGGAGAAGGTGAAAGGAACCTAGGTTTTCCTGTCCTTGTTGAGTCATTCAGTTAAAAATCCCTGGAATTTTCCTCTCTCCGGCAGTGTGTTTTGTGGGATAATGAGTTGCCTTATTGGGGTTGGCTTGCTAGTCGGGATGTTTCGCTCCCATCAACATCCATACGCTTGCTCTGTGAACCAATGACCTGATGAGGTAGTATTAGCACCACCATCATTATGCTGAGGATGAGATTTATGGCACAGTGGTTCAGTAGCTTGCCCAAGGCCATGCGGCTGGTAGGTTCTGGAGGAGGGCTCAGGGCACCCCCTGAGCTACCCCTGCTGGCCATTGCACCACCCCATAAAGCTGCTGGCAGTCACTTCTCTGAGGGGTTAGCATGTAAGAAATGTCCTCCTGAATGCTGGCCAGACAAATGGAAATCTGCCAGGGTTGGGTACCCCCATGACAGCAGCCAGCCTGCCCTCTTAGTCCCTGACAGCTGCAGTGACAGCATCTGTGATTGCAAAGCGTGACAATTTATATCTCTCATTTCATCACACCATCTATCAGCAGACAGTCAGGCTTTAAAAATCAATCCCACACTGACTCAGTCCCCAGCAGAGATGGCCTCTGACAACAGTATCCACACTGCAGGCTGGACAAGGGCCCTATTAATTTTGAGACTCAGCCAAATTTCCTTCTGACCCTAAGCTGGTGAATCCCTGCTCCTTTGCTTTGGTTGGGGTTGGTGTGAGCTAAGGCTGTGATCCCATTTGCTCCTATGGCCTCCAGGTGGCCTGGGCCTCCATGAATGGGCCACATGGTCATACTGAATGCTTGATTACACTCAGACCTAGCAGTCGTCTGGGCGCAGCTGGTTTATGGATCACTTTGTCACAATGTTCCATCCTTCCAGGTCCCCATCCCCGCGGTGGGAAAACATTGCTTTAGGCAGTGCTAGAGGACTTCAGCAGGCATTGGCAGCTTCTGGATTCAGGATTAGAACAAAGAAGGAGGAGTCACAGCAAAGATAGGAACAGAAGGCAGAGAGAACAGACAGATGGGGGTGTTTGAGAAGGAGGGCCTTTGAGACCTCAGGGAGTGGGAGACACTGGCTCGAGAATAATAATAATGGCAATTTCTCTCATCTGTGTTTTCAGGGCATGGACTGGAACTCCCAATACCCCTGACATGGGCTGAGTCAACGTGGTCATGAACATGTGACAGGTAGCAATGACAATGGCTATCTCTTCTTGAGTCCTTATTTTGTGCCATCACTTCATTAATTACATAGATGATCTCATTTGATCCTCATAACAACCCTGTGAAGTACATACTATTACTGCTTCCATTTTATGGATGAGTAACTGAGACCCAGTGGAATTAAGTTAGTTTTGCAAGGTCATATAACTGGTAGACATCAGAGCCTGGGATGGAACACAGATCTTCCCTTTCCAAGTTTAATGGGCTCCCAGCTAGCCTAGAGAGATGGTCCTGTTCCTGAGCCCTTAGGATAAATTTGCCTCTCACATCCAGAAGTTGGAAGAAATGCCAGAGAGTTGCACCTTTCATTAGGAGGCAGAGAGAAGAGTCCGTGACCGGGATTTGCTTGTGCAGTTGTTTATTAACTACCTGGGCATTTTGCTGATGGTGCAATTTGCAGAGCTGTTAATGGTAATGAAACTCCTGTGACTGTCAGGAGACACAGGGGAAGCCAAGGAGAAGTGAGAGGTGGCTGCCAGGTCCCTGAGCTGCCCTTTGCAGGGATTAATGAGGTCTGTGTCTTCTCCTGCTTTAGACAACTCCCGAAAATGTCAGGTGCCCCCTAGACTGTCCTGTGAGCCTGTCAGCCTCCCTTCCTGCCACACCAGTCATTGGAGGAGAAACTGCCATGATGTTATGCCTTTGCCGTTCCCTCCACACTTGAATTTGGGGCTCTGAGGGCTGTTCAGGCACACGTTGTATAGTTCCAGAGCCAACTTTGAGTCCAATCGCTGGACCTCCAAAATCATGCTTATTTAATGGCCTGTGTTGCTTTGTACAATAAGGGTTGAGAATCAATCAAATCCATAATGAGGGGAAGCTAGATTCTAGGCATTCAATGTCCATTCAGGTCCTTACAAGCTATGTATGGCTGTGGAGAAGAGGGAAATAGGAGAGTGCATGCACCAGCGGAGAGCCTGAGCTGAGCTCCCATCAAGCAGCCTCAAGCCTGGGCTCCTAGGGTGTGGGTTCTGAACGGTGGTTAAGCTCAGAGCCCTGGGGCCCTGCCTCTTCAGGGTTAAAGGAGCTGGAAGAGGCCACAGCAAAAGCTCGCAAAGTTGTCCTCCACTCTCAGCCCAAGGGTGTAGGTCTGCATCATTCCTTCCACTGTCACTGAGCACTTTTCGTGGGTCAGCCACTCCTCCAGTCTGGGGAAAAAGCACTGTTTAAGATGCAGGGCTGGAGTCCAGGAACTCCGTCTGGTGGCAGAGGTAGACAGGCAGCCAAGTTCATTTAAGGAGGAACAGTGGTGGCCACTGCTGGGAGGGAGTACCCAGGGAGGAGAAAGAAGTACCCAGGGAGGAGAGAGAAGTCCCCAGGGAGGAGAGAGATGAGAGGCAATGATTCCACCTGCGGGGGTCTGCAGAGCCCTCAGAGGGTTGCCACTGGGTGGGTGGGGGGCACTGAGGATTCCCCCAAGCAGAGAGATGGGGAAGAGGTGGTGGAGGGTGAGGGAAAGAAGGTGGGTTTCACAGCCTCAGAGTGGGCACAAACCTTGATTCTGAAAGATACTTGCTGTGAGACCTGGGCATGCTCATGAATGGGCCCCAACTTCAATTTCATCAGCAAAAGAAGGGTGAGGCCCATTTTTTGTGATTGCAGTCAGCATGTAATGTGGATGAGGCATCGATCCATGTGAGCACATTTCTCTGAATGCTGGTTTCTTCTCTACATTCCAGGAGGCAGCAGAAGTTGCAGAGAAGAGTGAGGCACGTTTGAAAAAGGCTGAAAAATGTTTCTGTCCAGGCAAGGGTGTGTGCTGAATGACTCAAGGATTTTTTGGGTATGTCATTTCCCATTTCTCACCCTCAAATAGGACTCCGCTTCCCATCTAAGCATTTGTATAAATATTGATTATTGGTTAGTGTGTATCAGAGAGCTATTGAGTAAAAATTATATCAGAAAAATTAAGAATCTCTAGAGATGGCAAGGTGTGAAACAAAAAACGCCAGGAAGGTAAATGCTCAAAGTTCACCACACACCACAGTGAGAAGTGTTGGGGGCCCAGGTCTCTGAGGCTGCCCAGAGGGGCTCAAGGTTTGTAGTGAATACAGGAATCAGCTGGAAGCTGTAGGCCATGTGACCCTTGGACCCCCATTCCAGGAGTAGTTGAACACGTCTGGGCAGGACCCCAGAATCTGCATTCCCAAGGGAGTGCCTGGTGATTCTAATACAGCAGGGCCTGATCCACCCTGAATCCATTGCCCATCTCCATCAAAGCTTCCTTTCACCAGTCAAGCCCCTGGCTGGGGAAAGGTCTGGAAACAGAAGTGGAGAATAAAGTTCTGGGAAGAGTTCTATCCCCATGGCCATCCTGCCAATAGGAAGCCTGCCAATGTCGTGGTCTCAGGGGTGTTGGGTGTGGCCCAGCTGGAGAAGCATCCCTGGGGGTGGTCAGGAGGCTTCTGGCTTCTGGGCCCTTCTGCAGCCAATGCCTAAGGCAGCGAGGCCAGCCATTCCTAGAGAGCCAACTCTCAGGCGGGGATCAGCTCCCACACACAGTGGGACTCGAGGGGCACTGGAGAGCTCCTCTTTCCAGAGTATCTCCCCCTCCGGCCGGAAGTTCTGTCTAACCGATACGGGTTATCCAGAGTATCTCCCCCTCCGGCCTGAAGTTCTGTCTAACCGATACGGGTTATCCAGAGTATCTCCCCTTCCGGCCGGAAGTTCTGTCTAACCGATACGGGTTAAAATCCTGAAGGCCCCCTGCCAGTGTGCAGGCATGATGTCCCAAAGGGGCAACATCTTAGACCAGCTGCACTCAGAGAGCTGCTCTAAGTAGAAGTGAGCCGGGCTCCGGAGCTGTGGACCAGGACACAGAGGGAATGACATATTCAGATTCAGTCTGAATCAAGAAGAAAAGTGTCCAGATGGGCATGAGTTATTTTAACCTGATGCATTTAACCCACTATTTATTTGGCTCTGAAATTGGTTCTGTGGAAAGACAGTTTCTGCTCCTACCCGGAGCACCCAATTAGTCACAATACTGGGAGACTCAAATCCATGTCAATAGGAACGTTGTATAGAGGGTGGTTGAAGATGAGGGCCTGGCATCTGGGTGAAGTATTGATGGATGTGCAGAATTCTAATGGCAGAAGTGAGGTATGTGTGCATGGGCGGGTGCGTGTGTGTGAGTAAGGTGAGGGTGTGTCTCCAGAGGAGGCAGTGGCCTAATAAAGTTCAGTTGAACTGAATGAAGGATCCTTACAGGAGGCAGTTAGGCTTGGGGCTTGAGGAACTCCTGAATGCCAGATTCAGAAGTCTGTACTTCTAGGGGAGCAGCTGGGGTTTCTGACCCAGAGACTGACATGTGCTTTGAAAAGCTGATCTGGTGGCGTAAGATTGGAGAGGGCCTGATGATGGCAGCACAGAGAACAGTCATGAGGCTCTTACAGCTGTCTAGCGTGGTGAAAGCTTGCCCCGGCAAGTGGCCTTTGGAGAAGAAATACTCTCAGGTAGTACTCACTAAGTGCCTGCCATATGCAGAGAGTTCACACTGGTAACTCTAATCGTAGCAATCAGCCAGTCGGGTGAAGGCGATTCCCACCGTTCATTCTTCCAACTCAATATGCATTGAGCGCTTCTTTGATCCACTTGTGGGATAGACACGGCCTTCACTCTCAGAGAGCCGACCTTCTCATATCTTTTGCATGGCTCTTTTCAGAGAGGAGAAAACTGAGAGAGAAAACCAGCAACTTACTCAAGGCTCACCAGCTAGTAACTGATGGGGTGTGGATTCAAACGTGTGCCTTGCTGGCTGCAAATGGCCTAAAAACACTCCCTGATATTTCCTGATCATTTCCTGGACAAGGTGATATGTGGATTATTATTTATGTGCTATCATTTGATCATCCTAACAACTTTAATGACGGAGGTATTAATTATAACCCATTTTTAGATGATGAAAGTGAGATGCAGAAAGGTGAAGCTGTCCAAGTCACAGTGAGTGGAAGAGCCAAAATTAGATATTTGTGTCCAGGCACGGAGGCTCATGCCTGTAATCCCAGCACTTTGAGAGGCCAAGGTGGGTGGATCACCTGAGGTCAGGAGTTTGAGACCAGCCTGGCCAACATGGTGAAATCCCATCTCTACTAAAACAAACAAACAAACAAACAAAAATTAGCCTGGCATGGCAGTGCACACCTGTAATCCCAGCTACTTGGGAGGCTGAGGCTGAGAATCACTTGAACTAGGGAGGCGGTGGTTGCAGTAAGCAGAGATTGAGCCACTGCCCTCCAGCCTGGGTGACAGACTGAGACTCCATCTCAAAGAAAAAAAATAGTTAGATCTTTGTTTCCAGGCCATCTGATATCAGAGCCTTACTCTTAAGCATTGCACTATCCAAAGATCCTCTCTCCCTCCCTCCCTTCCTTCTTCCCCAAAGAATTCAATATGGTTTTGGCAACCGTGTGCAGTGTGTGTGTGTAGGTGGTGGTGGGGAGGATAAAAAGAGAAGAGTCGAAGGTGGTGCTGGGTTCTCAACCCCGTGCCCCTGGCAGATAGGGAACCGGGAAGCAGAGCAGGCCTGGGTGGAGGTTTGGGGAAGGGGAGCCAGGAGGGAACCCTAGTGTGTGGCCTTGGGGATCCAGGGGCAGCAGAAGGATGTGGGTCCTCTGGAGGAAGAGAGACCGAATGGAGAGGAACCCTGAGTGGAAGACTGTTTTCATCTGTGGCCTGTATTCAGACAGCTGCAGACTGAGGTCCTGATAGGAGAAGGCATTGTCCAAGAACACACTGCTGGACAAGCTGGGGGTGTTGCTCTGACAATGAGAAGAATTCTGGATCGGGAAACAGGACTAGCTCAGGTGTGGGAGAGGGGCAGCTGCACGTCCCCACATGCGGGCTCCCTGTGCACAGGCAATGTGGCATATCTGAAGGTGCAGCCCCTGCCTTCAAGCCTCCATCATCTTCTCCCCAGGACAGGGATGACTGTAACTTTCTAGGCACCACCATCCAACTCATGTGCTGTGACCGTCTGTATGACATCTCTCTGTATGTATGTCTGTCTTCCCAGAGAGAATTGGAGTGTCTCACCAGAGGAGACCACGTCTGAAGGGCTTTGCATCCCTCCTTGGACATGTCTAATACCTAACACTCAGAAAGCATCCAGTAAATATTCGTGGAAAGAAAGGAGTGGAGAAGGGGAGAAAGGGGAAAGGGAGTAGGCGAGAGAGAAGAAAGACTCTGCTTCTTGCCCAGGGCCTGGCATGGGGCGGAGGCAAAGCAGTGGGGTCCTCAGCTATGTCCCACTGTGAGTGCACAGCGAGTCCTGACCTTCAGAGGGTGCAGCCCGAGGGGCCCTGGCCTGTCTGAAGGGTGCGCCAGCCGAGTGGCCTGCTCTGACCACCAGGCTCACCCATGACTACCTGGGTGGCTACAGCCAGTTCCTGACAATGAGTACAGCACTCAGTTATCGGGGCCCTTCCACCCACACGCTGTCCACTTCCTGGGGTACTGCTGTGGGCATGTGAGTGCTTGCTCCCCGGGGCACTGCTGTGGGCATGCGAGTGCTTGCTCCCCGGGGCACTGCTGTCCACTTCCTGGGGTACTGCTGTGGGCATGCGAGTGCTTGCTCCCCGGGGCACTGCTGTGGACATGTGATAGCTTGCTCCCCAGCTCCACTAGTGACACTGGCGGCCCCTCGCTGGGGCCTTCCCCGCCTGCTCCGCTCCATTACCGCTGCCGGGCTCCTCACGTCTCTCCTTGCTGCTTCCTGCACTGGGGTGAGGAGAGTGGGGCTGGTCCCCTTGAGACCGGAGAAGCTCCAGGCTTTTAAGGAAAACTGCCAGGGACGAAGAGAAGATATCACTTCCCCACGTGGTTGGCTTCCAGATTCAGAAGGAATGTCTGTCCTTGTGGATTCCGTACCAGATGACCCCAGATGCTGCCTCAGTACTAGGTCCCTGTGGCTCTGGAGCCTTTGCTGGGTCTGGGCAGTGTCTCTTCCTCTCCAGTTCATCCTTGGGTCTCTTCACCCTTGCCAGGGGCAGGCTTCCTGGTGAGAGGTCGACCTCCTGCATGAAGGCTCTCAAGAGGCCAGTTCAAAGCCAAGCTCCGGGTCTGTGCCTGTGGGGCTGCTCCTCGATCAGGAGATGGTCACTCCCCTCCTGGTCTGTATCTGTGGGATTCTCCTCCATCAGGAGATGGTCTCTCCCCTCCTGGTCTATACCCGTGGGATTCTCCTCCATCAGGAGATGGTCACTCCCCATCCTGGTCTATACCCGTGGGATTCTCCTCCATTAGATGGTCACTCCCCTCCTGGTCTATTCCCGTGGGGCTGCTCCTCCATCAGGAGGTGGTCACTCCCCCTCCTGGTCTATACCCGTGGGGCTGCTCCTCCATCAGGAGATAGTCACTCCCCCTCCTGGTCTATACCCGTGGGATTCTCCTCCATCTGGAGATGGTCACTCCCCTCCTGGTCTATACCCATGGGATTCTCCTCCATCTGGAGATGGTCACTCCCCTCCTGGTCTATACCCATGGGATTCTCCTCCATCTGGAGATAGTCACTCCCCTCCTGGTCTATACCCGTGGGGTTCTCCTCAATCAGGAGGTGGTCACTCCCCTCCTGGTCTATACCCGTGGGATTCTCCTCCATCAGGAGATGGTCACTCTCCCTCCTGGTCTATACCCGTGGGGCTGCTCCTCCATCAGGAGATGGTCACTCCCCTCCTGGTCTATACCTGTGGGATTCTCCTCCCTCAGAAGATGGTCACTCCCCCTCCTGGTCTATACCCATGGGATTCTCCTCCCTCAGAAGATGGTCACTCCCCCTCCTGGTCTATACCCGTGGGGCTGCTCCTCCATCAGGAGATGGTCACTCTCCCTCTCGGTTGCTCAGTCCAAAAACAACCTCTCTGGAAAACTGCGTGGAATTTTTTTTTAAAGAATTGAAACTAGAACTAGCATTTGATCCAGCCATCTGCCTACTGGGAATACACCCAAAGAAAAATAAATCATTATATCAGAAAGATAGAATATGCATGTGGATGTTCATTGCAGCACCATTTACTATAGCAAAGATGGGCAGTTGAGCTAAGTGTCCAACAGTGGTAGACTGGATAAAGAGAATGTGTTACACACACAGCATGGAATATTACTCAGGCATAGCAAAGAATGAAATCATGCCTTTTGCAGCAACATGGTTGGAGGTGGAGGTCAGGAGTTAGAGACCAGCCTGGCCAACATGGTGAAATCGTGTCTCTACTAAAAATACAAAAATTAGCCGGGCATGGGGGTGCACACCTGTAGTCCCAGCTACTCTGGAGGCTGAGGCAGGAGAATCGCTTGAACCCAGGAGGTGGAGATGGCAGTGAGCTGAGATCACACCACTGCACTCCAGCCTGGGCAACAGAGTGAAATCCTGTCTCAAAAACAAAAATAAAAACAAAAAAAGCATACAAACCACAGGAGCTCCTCTTGGTCCCCCTTTGTCTTTCATTCCACCTCCAGAAATCCCAGCAGAATCACCTTCAAAAACTCCTAGAATCCAATTTTTCCCCTCCATTGCTACTGCCCTGATCTGAGCCTCCATAACCCTTACCCAAATGCTTCCTAAACGTATCCTGGCTGGTGCTGCTGAATTCCATGTCTTTCCAGCTGCCCTTTAAAATACGGTAGGAGGCAAGTCTTTTCTCAAAACCCTCCAGTGGCTTCTCTCTCAGAGTTAAGATCCTGCAGTGGCCTTCCTGGCCTCAGGTAGTGTCTGCTGTCCTGTACCCTCGGCCACTATACTCCAGCCACATGGCTTTGTGTTTCCCTTGGACATATCCAGCATGTTTCTGCCCCACGGTTTTGGCACTTGCTGTCCTTTCTGCCTGGAGCTCCTTCTCCTCCCTCTGCACTGAAGACCCTCCCTTCCTTTCAGGATGGCAGAGACATTATGCTGTCATAACCACACCCCATATTCACCCTTACACGATGTGTCCCTCTCTGGCCAGCTAGGGGCTCAGCTCCATGAGCCCCTTGTCCTGGCAACAAAGCTGGCTGGGGCGGCCACCTGAAGTATGTCTCATGGAGCTGACTCAATGAGAGACACAGTTCATTCCATGCACAGTCCACGCCACAGTAAGTCACGTGGCCAGCGCTGACTTCCCCTGCACAGGAAGAACCTGCACCCACCACCCGCGGAGAAGGATCTAGAGCTGGGATGACTGAGCAGGATGCTAACAACCTCAAAGTTCTTCTTAGACCTCATGTCTTGAACAGCCCTAGGCAACATAGCAACACACGCCATGACAACCCCACAAGAAGGCAACCCGTCCTCTGACAGCTTCTGGTGACAAAGCCACCCCGCTTGTGACAACCTCAGGTCACACAGCAGCTCCTCCCCTGACAACCTAAGGTCACACAACAACTTCTCCTTTTAAAGTCTCAGGTGACACAGCAGACTCTCCCCTGACAAACTCAGGTCACACAGTAACCCTTCAGCTGACCTCAGGTGACACAGCCACCCCTCCCCTGACAACCTCAGGTCACACAGCCACCCCTCCCCTGACAACCTCAGGTCACACAGCCACCCCTCCCCTGACAACCTCAGGTCACACAGCTACCCTTCAACTGACAACCTCAGGTCACACAGCCACCCCTCCCCTGACAACCTCAGGTCACACAGCCACCCCTCCCCTGACAACCTCAGGTCACACAGCCACCCCTCTCCTGACAACTTCAGGTCACACAGCCACCCCTCCCCTGACAACCTCAGGTCACACAGCCACCCCTCTCCTGACAACTTCAGGTCACACAGCCACCCCTCCCCTGACAACCTCAGGCCACACAGCCACCCCTCACCTGACAATCTCAGGTGACACAGCCACCCCTCCCCTCACAACCTCAGGTCACACAGCCACCCCTCCTCAGACAACTTCTGACATAGCAACTCCTTGCCTGACAACCCTAGGTAACATAGCAACCCTCCCTTGACAACCCATGTGACATGGCAATGCTTCTCCTGACAGCCACATGTCAGCAACCTCTGCCTGACAACCCAGGTGACATAACAGCACCCCCCGACAACCGCATGTTACCTTGCCACCCTCCCATACCGACTGTATGTGGGTATCCCCTCCTACCCCGCCTTGGGAGCCCCATGTGAGGTAGCCAGCCTTTCCCTGGCCCTGGGCCCTCCATTTCTGCTTGCTGTCTCCTCTGTTCCTCCCAAGAACTCACTGCTCTACCGTGTAATCTCTTGTTTCTCTGCTGTCTTAGTCCGCTTGGGCTGCCGGAGGAGCACACCTTGGGCAGGGAGGCTTAGATGCACCTGTGCATGGTTCTGGAGGCCCAGGGCTGCGGAGGATCCACCTGTGCATGGTTCTGGAGGCCCAGGGCTGCGGAGGATCCACCTGTGCATGGTTCTGGAGGCCCAGGGCTGCGGAGGATCCACCTGTGCATGGTTCTGGAGGCCCAGGGCTGCGGAGGATCCACCTGTGCATGGTTCTGGAGGCCCAGGGCTGCGGAGCCTCTGTGTGCTGGGACCTTCCTGCTTTGCAGGCGGCTGCCTCCTCACTTGCCCTCACGCGGCTGCAGGCAGATGGAGAGATGCGGTGCTTCCTCCTCTTTCTCATCATGGGGGCTCCTCCCTGATGACCTGATTACCTCCCAAACACCCCATTTCCAAACACCATGGCACTGGGCATTGGATTTTGCTGTATGCATTCTGGGGGATACACTTCTGCTCACAGGCATTGGATTTTGGTGTGTGCATTCTGGGGGATACACTTCTGCTTACAGGCAGTGGATTTTGGTATGTGCATTCTGGGGGATACACTTCTGCTCACACGCATTAGATTTTGGTGTGTGCATTCTGGGGGATACACTTCTGCTCACACGCATTAGATTTTGGTGTGTGCATTCTGGGGGATACACTTCTGCTCACACGCATTAGATTTTGGTGTGTGCATTCTGGGGGATACACTTCTGCTCACACGCATTAGATTTTGCTGTGTGCATTCTGGGGGATACACTTCTGCTCACACACATTAGATTTTGCTGTGTGCATTCTGGGGGATACACTTCTGCTTACACCCATTAGATTTTGATGTGTGCATTCTGGGGGATACACTTCTGCTCACACGCATTAGATTTTGGTGTGTGCATTCTGGGGGATACACTTCTGCTCACACGCATTAGATTTTGGTGTATGCATTCTGGGGGATACACTTCTGCTTACACCCATTAGATTTTGGTGTGTGCATTCTGGGGGATACACTTCTGCTCACACGCATTGGATTTTGGTGTATGCATTCTGGGGGATACACTTCTGCTTACACGCATTAGATTTTGGTGTGTGCATTCTGGGGGATACACTTCTGCTTACAGGCAGTGGATTTTGGTGTGTGCATTCTGGGGGATACACTTCTGCTTACACCCATTAGATTTTGGTGTATGCATTCTGGGGGATACACTTCTGCTCACACGCATTAGATTTTGCTGTGTGCATTCTGGGGGATACACTTTTGCTCACACGCATTAGATTTTGCTGTGGGCATTCTGGGGGATACACTTTTGCTTACAGAAATTGGATTTTGGTGTGTGCATTCTGGGGGATACATTTCTGCTCACAGGCATTGGATTTTGGTGTGTGCATTCTGGGGGATACACTTCTGCTCACAGTCAGTGGATTTTGGTGTGTGCATTCTGGGGGATACACTTCTGCTCACACGCATTAGATTTTGCTGTGTGCATTCTGGGGGATACACTTTTGCTTACAGACATTGGATTTTGGTGTGTGCATTCTGGGGGATACATTTCTGCTCACAGGCATTGGATTTTGGTGTGTGCATTCTGGGGGATACACTTTTGCTTACAAGCATTGGATTTTGGTGTGTGCATTCTGGGGGATACACTTCTGTCCACAACACCTGTGTTGTGTACTGTCTCTCCTTGATCAGAGTGCAGTCTCTAAGGGGGTCTTTTTCGATTCTGTTCACTATGATGTTGTAGCATCTAGAACAGTGACCAGCATGTAGTGGGTTCAGAATCAATATTCTCTGCCTAACTGTTACGGCCTGAACTGTGGCTCCTTCTGATTTACATGTGAAAGCCCTAACCCCCCATGTAAGTGTATTTGGACATAGAGTCTTTGAGGAGCTCATAGGGTGGGGCTCTCATCAGATAAGACTGGTGTCCTTTTAGGAAGAGGAAGAGACACCAGGGCTGAGAGTGCCACATAGGGAAGGAAAGACCATGTGAGGACACAGTGAGAAGATGGCCATGTGCAGGCTAGGAAGGGAGGCCTCACCAGGCACCATCCTTGACCTTGAAGTCCCAGCCTCCAGAACTGTGAGCAATGAATGCCTGTTTTTTTTCTGTTTTTTTTGTTTTTATTTATTATCATTATTATTTTTATTATTATACTTTAAGTTCTAGGGTACATGTACACAACGTGCAGGTTTGTTACGTATGTATACATGTGCCATGTTGGTGTGCTACACCAATTAACTCATCATTTACATTAGGTACATCTCCTAATGCTATCACTCCCTGCTCCCCTACCCCACAACAGGCCCCAGTGTGTGATGTTCCCCTTCCTGTGTCCATGTGTTCTCATTGTTCAATTCCCACCTATGAGTGAGAACATGCGGTGTTTGGTTTTCTGTCCTTGCGATAGTTTGCTCAGAATGATGGTTTCCAGCTGTATCCATGTCCCTAAAAGGACATGAACTCATCCTTTTTTATGGCTGCATAGTATTCCATGGTGTATATGTGCCACATTTTCTTAATCCAGTCTATCATTGATGGACATTTATGTTGGTTCCAAGTCTTTGCTATTGTGAATAGTGTCACCATAAACATACATGCATGTGTGTCTTTATAGGAGCATGATTTATAATCCTTTGGATATATACCCAGTAATGGGATGGCTGGGTCAAATGGTATTTCTAGTTCTAGATCCTTGAGGAATCACCACACTGTCTTACACAATTGTTGAACTAGTTTACAATCCCACCAACAGTGTAAAAGTGTTCCTATTTCTCCATATCCTCTCCAGCACCTGTTGTTCCCTGACTTTTTAATGATCACCATTCTAACTGGTGTGAGATGGTATCTCATTGTGGTTTTGATTTGCATTTCTCTGATTGCCACTGATAATGAGCATTTCTTCATGTGTTTGTTGGCTGCATAAATGTCTTCTTTTGAGAAGTGTCTCTTTATATGCTTTGCCCACTTTTTGATGGGGTTGTTTGATTTTTTCTTGTAAATTTGTTTAAGTTCTTTGTAGATTCTGGATATTAGCCCTTTGTCAGGTGGGTAGATTGTAAAAATTTTCTCCCATTCTGTTGGTTGCCTCTTTACTCTGATGGTAGTTTCTTTGGTGTGCAGAAGCTCTTTAGTTTAATTAGATCCCATTGGTCAATTTTGGCTTTTGTTGCCATTGCTTTTGGTGTTTTAGACATGAAGTCCTTGCCCATGCCTATGTCCTGAATGGTATTGCCTAGGTGTTCTTCTAGGGTTTTTATGGTTTTAGGTCTAACATTTAAGTCTTTAATCCATCTTGAATTAATTTTTGTATAAAGTGTAAGGAAGGGATCTAGTTTCAGCTTTCTACATATGGCTAGCCAGTTTTCCCAGCACCATTTATTAAATAGGGAGTCGTTTCCCCATTTCTTGTTTTTGTCAGGTTTCTCAAAGATCAGATGGTTGTGGATGTGTGGTATGGCTCTGTTCTGTTCCATTGGTCTATATCTCTGTTTTGGTACCAGTACCATGCTGTTTTGGTTACTGTAGCCTTGTAGTATAGTTTGAAGTCAGGTAGCATGATGCCTTCAGCTTTGTTCTTTTGGCTTAGGATTGACTTGGCGATGCGGGCTCTTTTTTGGTTCCATATGAACTTTAAAGTAGTTTTTTCCAATTCTGTGAAGAAAGTCATTGGTAGCTTGATGGGGATGGCATTGAATCTATACATTACTTTGGGCAGTATGGCCATTTTCACGATATTGATTCTTCCTATCCATGAGCATGGAATGTTCTTCCATTTGTTTGTGTCCTCTTTTATTTCATTGAGCAGTGGTTTGTAGTTCTCCTTGAAGAGCTTCTTCACATCCCTTGTAAGTTGGATTCCTAGGTATTTTATTCTCTTTGAATTAATTGTGAATGGGAGTTCACTGATGATTTGGCTCTCTGTTTGTCTGTTATTGGTGTATAGGAATGCTTGTGATTTTTGCACATTGATTTTGTATCCTGAGACTTTGCTGAAGTTGCTTATCAGCTTAAGGAGATTTTGGGCTGAGACGATGGGGTTTTCTAAATATACAGTCATGTCATCTCCAAACAGGGACAATTTGACTTCCTGTTTTCCTAATTGAATACCCTTTATTTCTTTCTCCTGCCTGACTGCCCTGGCCAGAACTTCCAACACTATGTTGAATAGGAGTGGTGAGAGATGGCATCCCTGTCTTGTGCCAGTTTTCACAGGGAATGCTTCCAGTTTTTGCCCATGCAGTATGACATTGGCTGTGTGTTTGTCATAAATAGTTCTTATTATTTTGAGATACATCCCATCAATACCTAATTTTTTGAAAGTTTTTAGCATGAAGGGCTGTTGAATTTTGTCAAAGGCCTTTTCTGTGTCTATTGAGATAATCATGTGGTTTTTGCCTTTGATTCTGTTTATATGCTGGATTACGTTTATGGATTTGCATATGTTGAACCAGCCTTGCATTCCAGGGATGAAGCCCACTTGATCATGGTGGATAAGCTTTTTGATGTGCTGCTGGATTCAGCTTTCCAATATTTTATCGAGGATTTTTGGATCAATGTTTATCAGGGATATTGGTCTAAAATTCTCTTTTTTTGTTGTGTCTCTGCCAGGCTTTGGTATCAGGATATGCTGGCCTCATAAAATGAGTTAGGGAGGATTTCCTCTTTTTCTATTGATTGGAATAGTTTCAGAAGGAATGGTACCAGTTCCTCCTTGTACTTCTGGTAGAATTCAGCTGTGAATCCATCTGGTCTTGGACTTTTTTTGGTTGGTAGGCTCTTAATTATTGCCTCAATTTTAGAGACTGTTATTGGTCTATTCAGGGATTCAATTTCTTCCTGCTTTAGTCTTGGGAGGGTGTATGTATCCAGGAATTTATCCATTTCTTTTAGATTTTCTAGTTTATTTGCATAGAGGTGTCTCTGATGGTAGTTTGTATCTCTGTGGGATAGGAGGTGATATCCCCTGTATTATTTTTTATTGCATCTATTTGATTCTTCTCTCTTTTCTTCTCTATTAGTCTTGCTAGTGGTCTATCAATTTTGTTAATCTTTTCAAAAAAAACAGCTCCTGGATTCATTGATTTTTTGAAGGGTTTTTTGTGTCTCTATCTCCTTCAGTTCTACTCTGATCTTAGTTATTTCTTGCCTTCTGCTAGCTTTTGAATGTGTTTGCTCTTGCTTCTCTAGTTCTTTTAATTGTGATGTTAGGATGTCAATTTTAGATCTTTCCTGCATTCTCTTGTGGGCATTTAGTGCTATAAATTTCCTTCTACACATTGCTTTAAATGTGTCCTAGAGATTCTGGTATGTTATGTTGTGTCTTTGTTCTCATTGGTTTCAAAGAACTTCTTTATTTCTTCCTTCATTTTGTTATGTACCCAGTAGTCATTCAGGAGCAGGTTTTTCAGTTTCCATGTAGTTGAGCGGTTTTGAGTGAGTTTCTTAATCCTGAGTTCCAGTTTGATTGCATTGTGGTCTGAGAGACAGTTTGTTATAATTTCTGTTCTTTTATATTTGCTGAGGAGTGCTTTACTTCCAACTATGTGGTCAATTTTGGAATAAGTGCAATGTGGTGCTGAGAAGAATGTATATTCTGTTGATTTGGGGTGGAAAGTTCTGTAGATGTCTATTAGGTCCACTTGGTGCAGAGCTGAGTTCAATTCCTGGATATCCTTGTTAACTTTCTGTCTCATTGATCTGTCTAATGTTGACAGTGGGGTGTTAAAGTCTCCCATTATTATTGTGTGGGAGTCTAAGTCTCTTTGTAGGTCTCTAAGAACTTGCTTTATGAATCTGGGTGCTCCTGTATCGGGTGCATATATATTTAGGATAGTTAGCTCTTCTTGTTGAATTGATCCTTTTACCATTATGTAATGGCCTTCTTTGTCTCTTTTGATCTTTGTTGGTTTAAAGTCTGCTTTATCAGAGACTAGGATTGCAACCCCTGCCTTTTTTTTGTTTTCCATTTGCTTGGAAGATCTTCCTCCATCCCTTTTATTTTGAGCCTATGTGTGTCTCCGCACATGATATGGGTCTCCTGAATACAACACACTGATGGGTCTTGACTCTTTATCCAATTTGCCAGTCTGTGTCTTTTAATTGGAGCATTTAACCCATTTACATTTAAGGTTAATATTGTTATGTGTGAATTTGATCCTGTCATTATGATGTTAGATGGTTATTTTGCTCGTTAGTTTATGCAGTTTCTTCCTAGCATCAATGGTCTTTACAATTTGGCATGTTTATGCAGTGGCTGGTACTGATTTTTCCTTTCCATGTTTAGTGCTTCCTTCAGGAGCTCTTGTAGGCAGGCCTGATGGTGACAAAATCTCTCAGCATTTGCTTGTCTGTAAAGGATTTTATTTCTCCTTCACTTATGAAGCTTAGTTTGGCTGGATATGAAATTCTGGGTTGAAAATTCTTTCTTTAAGGATGTTGAATATTGACCCCCACTCTCTTCTGGCTTGTAGAGTTTCTGCCGAGAGATCAGCTGTTAGTTTGATGGGCTTCCCTTTGTGGGTACACCCGACCTTTCTCTCTGGCTGCCCTTAACATTTTTTCCTTTATTTCAACTTTGGTGTATCTGACAATTGTGTGTCTTGGAGTTGCTCTTCTTGAGGAGTATCTTTGTGATGTTCTCTGTATTTCCTGAATTTGAATGTTGGCCTGCCTTGGTAGGTTGGGGAAGTTCTCCTGGATAATATCCTGCAGAGTGTTTTCCAACTTGGTTTCCTTCTCTCTGTCACTTTCAGGTACACCAATCAGACGTAGATTTAGTCTTTTCACATAGTCCTATATTTCTTGGAGGCTTTGTTCATTTCTTTTTCTGTTTTTTCTCTAAACTTCTCTTCTCGCTTCATTTCATTCATTTGATCTTCAATCACTGATACCCTTCCTTCTGGTTGATCGAATCGGCTACTGAAGCTTGTGCATTCATCACGTAGTTCTCGTGCCATGGTTTTCAGCTCCATCAGGTCATTTAAGGTCTTCTCTACTCTGGTTATTCTAGTTAGCCATTCGTCTAATGTTTTTTCAAGGTTTTTAACTTCTTTGCCATGGGTTCAAACTTCCTCCTTTAGCTTGGAGAAGTTTGGTCATCTGAAGCCTTCTTCTCTCAACTCGTCAAAGTCATTCTCTGTCTATCTTTGTTCTGTTGCTGGTGAGGAGCTGCATTTCTTTGGAGGGGGAGAGGAGCTCTGATTTTTAGAATTTTCAGCTTTTCTGCTTTGGTTTCTCCCCATCTTTGTGGTTTTATCAACCTTTGGTCTTTGATGATGGTGACATACCGATGGGGTTTTGGTATGGATGTCCTTTCTGTTTGTTAGTTTTCCTTCTAGCAGTCAGGACCCTCAGCTGCAGGTCTGTTGGAGTTTGCTGGAGGTCCACTCCAGACCCTGTTTGCCTGGGTATCACCAGTGGAGTCTGCAGAACAGCAAATATTTCAGAACAGCAAATGTTGCTGCCTGATTGTTCTTCTGGAAGCTTCGTCTCAGAGGGGCACCCTGCCGTGTGATTGAAGTCCCCCATTGTTTTGTTTTGGCAGCTGATTTAGTAAACAAACAAGAATGAAGAAGGAAACCATAGCTGAGTGGCAGAGCGTGCCTGGCTGTTTACACAGGACTCCAGGGCAGGGCTCCTGGAGAGGGACGTGCCAGAGGGATGGGCCGAGGCCCAGGAGGAAGTGAACCTGCTCAGGGGCAGAAAGGAGACAAGAGAGAGGTGAGAGAGGAGGGCAAGAGCCAGGCCTTGGAGGCTGGGCCACCAGGAAATGAGTTTGCACCTTATTGGGAAGCCACTGGGAGGCTTGAAGGAGGGTAACAAACTATGATTTTAGAGACCAAAAAAAGGGTTCCTTGGTGCCTGGGTGGAGGACGGGCTTCAGAGGAAGAAACTGTGAGCTCCTGGAGTGCAGGCATGAAGGCAGGAGTGTCCTCGCTCCAGCCCTGGGCACGGGCCTAGCTCCTTGGTGCTCAGTGTGTAGTGGGGGCATGTATTAACTGGAATGGTGCTTTGCTTTTGTTCTCTGTACTTTGGGTGGTGGACAGCTTTCCTCTGTGGTGCTCTTTCTCCTTCCCTTCATTTTCCCAGGGGTCCATCCTCTGCATTTACCTGGGAGGGAGCTCTGTTACCTGGGGAGGGGCTCACAGTCCTAGGCAGAATGGGGGCTCCCAGTGCCAGCTCCTAGGGCAGGAGCGACAGCCTCAGAAGCCTCAGCACTCAGATCTGTATCACGGTCCCAACCAGAGCCTTGTTGTGTGCAGAGCCCTCCCTCTGCAGTGAAGAGCCTGAGGAAGCCATGTTCTCGCTGAAGCCGGAGTGGGCTGGCTGGGTGCCTGGCTCTGGCACTGAAGCTGCCTCTCGGCTCACCTCCCAAGCAGCAGGGCATCTTGGGGGAAGGCAGTGTCAGCCCATGGTGCTTTGCTCTGTCTCTGGCTCCTGGACTGGGCTCTGAGCCCAGACAGTTTAATGCCACTGTGGACTTCATTCCAGGGGGTGTGGGGACCTCTGGAGAGTTCCACAACCCCATGGGGTAGGGCTCCTGGTGCTGGTTGAGGCCAGGCCTTCAGTTGGACACAATTTTGTCGTTGCCGCCACTGACTGCCATCTGGGTCGCTGCTGTTAGTTCCCAGTGGGGCTCAGCTCCCCTACAGATGATCTCTGTAGCTCACCCCAGCCTGCAGATGGAGAAAAACAGTAGGCCCTGCCGGAACACGCTTTGGGAGCAGCCCATGGTGGCCTGGGGGCTCTACAGGAGCTTCCCCTCCCCCTCCCACCAGTGAAGAGGAAGGTGCCACCGGTACCCGAGAGTGTTGTGTGTGCCTCCATGCCTCCCATGTGCAGCGTGGCTGTGCACGTGTGAGAGTGGGTGAACATGCCCACGTGTGCATGCAGGTGCGTGTCCCACAAGACACCCGTGCTCACATGCACACTCCTGTGTGTCTGCTCATGTGTCTGTGTATGTACTCGACTCAACCCAGGTTTATCGAAGACCTGTTATTGAAGGTCTGCTATGGGCCAGGCCCTGTAGGGTACTCCGGGACTGCAAACTCGATCTTTTTTTGCTCTTATGGACTGTTTAGTCCAACAGGGGAGGCGGATATGAATTGAGCAATTAAAGGTTACATGTAAACTGTCAAATGTGAGACACGCTCCTGTGAGTTTTCATGTATTAGTGAATGGACGCTTCTGAGGGGCATCTGTGTCCCTGGGAGGAAACTTGTGTCTGCTGGTGCTCCCGTGTGTGCCTGTGCACACCCATGCTGGTTCTTGCACACACCTCGTCTCTATAAGAGGGCTGCAGAAAAGAAGACTGGATGTGCACGACATACTGAATCTGAGGATCTGGAAAGAGAGAGCAGGGAGCAATGTCTGAGGATGTCCTGGAGACTCTGTTGATGGGCCCCAGGAGACCGAGCCATGCACGGGACTCTCAGGTCCCTGAAAGAGCCGTTGAGTGGCCTGGTGGGACCACTCAGAGTCTGGCCATCACCCTCACTCTGCCCCGATCAGTGATATGATCTCAGGCTGTCGCCTTGGTTTTCTCATTCGTAAAATCATGATCGTAGACTAAACAGTCCTGAAAGCACTATTGAACCTTGACATTCCATGAGTCTGGACATGACCCCTGCCCTTAGGGATTGTATCTTACAAATAGGGCTCGAAGAGATACCTAAGTACATAACCGCAAACACTCACACACAAACAATCACACACGTACACTCTCACACACATGCACACACACGCACACACACGTACACATGTGCACGGGCATGGAAATGTATAAGGTTGAGTGAAGGAGCTCCCAAATAAGTAGTCAGAGGAGGCCTCTTGGAGGCATTAAAGACATGATTGGAAAGCTTGATCTTGGCAGGGAGGGGAGAGGAGGTCTCCAGAGCTGCTGGGGACATGGTGGGCTGCCTGTGAGTGTCGGCGGCTTGGAACCTTTGGAGGGCAGCGGGGGCTTAGTTTGCACTTCCAGTGTGGAAACCAGAGGTGTGTGAGTTGGCTCAGGCTGTCCTATGATGAACCTCCCAGGGGTTGGGCGGCTCAGCTCTCAGAATTGTGTAAGGAACTCCCAAGGCTGGAAGTCTGAGATCAAGCTGTCAGCAGAGTTTGTTCCTTCTGAGGCTTCCTCTCCTCTCGGCTTGCATGTGACTACGTGGCTATCTTCTCCCTGTGTCCTCACATGGCCGTCCTTCTGTGTGTCTGTGTCCCAGGCTACTCTTCTTAGGAGGACGCCAATCATCCTGGATGGGGGCTGCTCCAGTGACCTCCTGTTGCCTTCATGGCCTCTTTAAGGTCCTGTCTTCAAATACAGTCAAGTTTTGAGGCATTAGAGGTCAAGACTTCAACATATGAATTTCTGTGGGACACAATTCACACATAACAGAAGGGGTGGCATAAACTTCCTCCTGTGAGTTGAGACACAGGAAGAGCAGCCAGACATGGGCAAGTGTGGAGGAGAGTGGCCTCTTTCCACCTGTGGATGTGGAGTGTTGCCCAGAGAGGCAGGTGAGTGGGGCTTGCCCAGGACCTGGCCAAGCACCAGCCACTGAATCCTTGGTCTCTATAAAACGAGGCTGAGCCTGCCAGCTTGGCCAACTACACATGGTGGTGGGGTGCAAAGGAGCGAGTAAAGTTTAGAGTGTTACGCAAAGAGACAGTCGTCAGAATAACGTGAGTAATTCCTTGGTGCTGAATGCACGCCGGACTGTGCTAAGAGATGTGCCTGCGTGGCAGGGTGGATTTGCAAGTTCTTATTCTCACAGGTGGCCTGACCTGATGGAATGGGGAGTGCAGCTCAAGGCCCAGACAGAGACCCACACTCTTTTTCCATAATTATATAAATGTCAGAAGTAAGGCTCAGATGCTTGAAGTCATTCGGAGTCACCAAGCCGGTATCCAATGCTGATGGCTTGTACATTCTTCTGGATTTTGTGTGGGCTGCAATTGCACTGCATTTATTTTAGAGATGTTTGAGAGATGCATTTATTTTGTAGTTGTTAGATCTTCTGCTTTCCTAAGCAGATGGAAGAGGGCACAGAAGTGCACACACAGAGTGCCGTGCCGTGGGCAAGGCTGAGGAGTGGAACGTACAGTCTCGCTGTGGGGGTTCCTTTTGCTGTTGATGCTTCATGATGAAATTCTAGACATTTGGGGCAGTTTTATTGGGGGAGAAATTTGGGGCAGGTTGAGAGGAGAGCTTTTTGGCATCCTGGAAATGTGCTGTCCAGAGGTTTCCCTTTCCACAAATGATGCGTAACACACGTGCGCTTGAGCGAGGCCCGTGAAAGGCCTTGCATTGCTTTTCTGCTCTGGAGCGCCGCTGCACACCCCAGCCCTGGACAGTCTTGAGCTCTGCCTGACACTGCACATCCCAGCCCTGGACAGTCTCGAGCTCTGCCTGACCTGGGGGAGCACTGCTCTTCTCTGCCCTTATTCTTCCCCAGGCCAGGCAGCTTCCAGCTAACCTTGTCCAGCAGGCAGGGTGGCTGCTCTCCTGCCCGTGAATGTGAAGAGCTGATTTTTCCAGCAAGTAAGGCTTTGGTGTAGGGCTGCCCTACGCTTCCCTCTCAGCATGTTCTAGCAGCTTGTTGCATGAAATCACTCACTTGAGTGGCTTTTGCTGCAGCCTGAAGCCGTGCCATCCAAACCAATCCCTTTCCGTCTTGACCACCTCACCCCAAATCCAGAGGCCTCAGTGTGCCTCCTGGCCCTGCATGCCAGCCAGTCTCATCACCTGGCTGAGTGTGGAGGAGCATGGCCAGGCGTCTGAAGGGTGGGCCAGGTCCAGGGGCAGGGGCTGGGCAGGGGCTGGGCTGGGCAGGGATGGGGAAGACAGCCTCCTGCTGTGGTAGGGAACTGAGGGAGCTGCACAGGGTGGGGCCAGAGGCAGGAGGTGGGGCTCCGGGGTCTCCAGAGCCTAGGAGGGACTTAGGAGATTCCTGCCTGGGGAGAGCCGGATCCTGGAAACAGGACTCTTCCTATCCGGGCAGGTTTTGGCAGGTCATCTTCCCAGCACTGCCTGGTGGTTAAAGGAAAGATTTTAAACCCATGCGGACCTGAGCTCCACATTAAATGTAGAACCCTAGGTGGCTTCACCGCCTGGGCCTTGTTCCATCCCACAGCTGTTAAATGCCAGTGATGCCAGTGCTGAGAGGCTGTGTGAGGCTTCAGCGAGGTGTGCATGGACGGGGTGGGGTGTTGGGCAGGGCATAGATCTGGCTCTGGGGGTGCTTATTTGGGGGTGCATCAGAACTTCCAAGCACAGTGGGGACCCTCAGGGTGCTGAGGTGGGAGAGGGAGGGTCTCACTGCATGGGCCTCCTTCCCTCTCTCTCCCCCATGTGTCACCCCCTTCTCGTCTCTCCATTTCTGATGATTGGACCTTGGGGCCTCTTCCCCTTTGAAGACCCTGCCCGGGCTTCTGCTGGTGCCGGGTGTGCTTGAGCCTCCCTCGTGGGCCCTGATCCCACATCCTCCCCAATGTCCTCCTGAAACCCAAAAATTATTTCCCAATGTGCTTTCCAGACTCAAATGACCCCACCCCACCTGCCCCACCAGGACTCTCCTCAAAGGAAACAACTTTAGGGAAAAAAGTGAAGCTGTTTTAAATATAAATGGCCAGGGCACAGTAGGCTCTTATTAAAATACAGAGAGATTAACAAGGTCTCATTCCCCTCAATTATTAACAATGTACTTGTTCTTCAGGAAAGTACCATGAAAATTTAAAACAGATGAAAATGGTTGTTCACGTAAAACTGCTCAGTTAATCTGTGGGGAATGTTTTATTCAGTGCATTGAATGAACAGCGGGACATTGGACACCTGCTGATCCATCACCCCGGGCCCGGGCAGGCCCGTGGATGAAGAGAGATGGAGAAGACCAGGCATGAGACTGTGGAGAAGCCACACCACCAGAAACCCCTGCCCCATGCGCCGTCCAGCCCACACCTGTGGATGCACGGGGGATTGCAGGCAGGGCTCCCACCGTGGACTCAGGAACAGGCAGGGAAGCTGCTGCCTCACCAGGCGAAGGGGCCAGGAGGGGGAGGCGGAGAGGCCCGTCTAGCCCCTGCGGCTGTCACCGTGGTGCCTCCTCACTGGCCAGTGCGGTCGCGCCTCAGCTTCGTTAATAGGGGAGGGGGCCTAAGAGTTTTCACGTCCAGGCTCGGGCAGTGGGGAGGCAGGCAGGAGTGGCCGCTGGTTTTTCAGACCTCCCAGGGAGGCCGAGGAAATGGCCCGTCCTGGAGTGGGCGTGGTTCTGTCTTCAGATGGATGCTGGAGGGTTGGGCTGCGTGGGACCCTGGGCCCTGCTGCTTCCCGGAGGATGCGCTGTCCGGGGCTGCACAGGTTGGCTGTGTTTTTTGGATGCTTGATATTTTGTTTTTTCTTCTCTTCACTCTGTCATGAAACTGGCAATAGTAGTTTGTAAATAAATATGTGTTATAGATGAATATTTGCTATGAGTAAATTAATAAAGGAGTGAATAAATGAGCGATTGATGTAGGGCCTGTCCTGTCTCAGGGAGCCCCACGAAGGCCTGCGCGCCGGCCAGAGCCTGCCTGCCTGCCAGGGTACTGGGACGTCACTCTCAAAGCGGCGGGACCCAGCCGCTGATCTTGCTGAGGAGGCCCGGTCTCAGAAAACTGAGCGGCTGCTTCTGCAGACCCTGCATCCTCCCCTCCCTGGAGAAAGAAGCTCTGGCTGAGTCCTGGGACCGAACCCTTGGGTGCCACAGAAACGGGCTTTGCTGCCTGTCAGTCAAGCGGCGGGAGAAACAGACCTGGGGAGGAGGAGGCTGGGAGGGCTGTGTTTTCTGCACAGCGAGTAGCTCCTTAGCCTGGTGCCATTTCTCTCCAAACACCCTGAAGGTTGAGTCCAGGGTGAAGATGTAGAGGCAAGTTTTGGGGGGATGGAGTGGGCTTGGAGGGATGCTGGCGCCTTAGCAGGCTGTGCTCCTGAGGTGCCCAGTGTCTGCGGGCACAGGAACATGTTGCCGAGGGCATTTGGGTGTGGGTGGGGTGGGGAAAGGGAGACAGGGCTGTCTCTTTTAATGGGTATCTGCGAGCATGTGATTGTAAGAGAGGAAGAAGTAGGGGAGGAAGAAGGCCTCCTTGGGAGGTGCGTCATCCTGAGGAAGGCTGAACAATGAGGGTCTTGGAGAGTCAATTCAGAAGCACAACCTTGCAGAGCAGGCAAAAACAATAGGGCTTCTTGAGGCTGCCCGGGCACTCATGCAATCACCATTTCCTGCTGTGAATGAGCCTACATTTTGTTGGGGAAGAGACGCAACGACGCCAAACGATGGACTCTGAGTCAACGATAAGATGAAACAAAATTAAAACAAAGTAGGAAATCAAGAGTGGCTGCTGTGATGGCGTTGCGGAGATGATGTTTGCTTTGAGAACTGGACAAGTGAGCCCCTGAGCTGCATCTGCACCCAGAGGCTGAGCCGGTGCACAGGACTTGCAGAGGGATGGGCCTGGGCTTGTAGAGCAGCACAACGGCCCCAGGCCTGGAGGAGCAAGGGTGGGAAGGGGGGCAGGCCAGCTCCTGCCAGGCTGGAGAAGGACTCGGACCTCAGGCCACCTGTGCCTGGGTGATTGTGAACTTGTAACAAATGTGATCTTATTTATGTTTTGAAAAAGGCAACACAAACCAACACGAGCCGTGTGAGGATCAGGTGACAGCTGCCCAAAAGCTGACACAAGGAACAAGCCTGGAGGAGTGAGGATGGGTGCTGTGAAGGAGGTTGTGCAGCTGGGCCCGCAGTCGGACCTGGTGAGATCAGAGGAGGGGGTGCCACCAGTCTGTGGACGAAGATGAGAAGCTGGAATAGAGCAGAAAACAGGAGGCTGCCACTCTCCATCTTTCCCAAAGTCACTCCAGGAGCAAGGGTGTCATTTACTGAAATGACAGACTCTCCATTTCACATTTTTCCCCCAAGTGCAGAGTGCAGGGAAGCAGATGGGCTAAATTTTTAGAGTCAGGGTTATTAATGTATACTTTACATAGTAAACTTTCCCCTTTTAAGTGTGCAGGCCTGAGGTTTGCCAAATATGTGTAGGCATTTAATCACCACCACGATCAAGATGTAGAATATTCCCACTATCAAAAAGTTTGCTGTGTCCCTTGATGGTCATGCCCCATTCCACAGCCCCAGCCCCAGCCCCTGGAGATTGCTGTCTGCTTTATGTTCCAGTGGTTTTATCTTTTCCAGACTGTATGGATGTGAATGGAATCAGATGTGATTCCAAGGTGTTTTATCTTTTCCAGATGTGAATGGAATCAGATGTACGAAATCCTATGGTAGGGGGTCTTCTGAGTCTAGCTCCTTTTGTTTAGCGTGATGCATTTGAAATTAATCCATGTCTCAGGCATCAGGAGTTCATTTCTTTTTCTGCTGAGTAGTATTTCATTGTATGGATGTACTGCAATTTGCCTATCCATTCACCTGTTGATGTACATTTGAGATTTTTGGCAATTATGAATAAAGCTGCTATAAACAGACATGGATTTTATGTAGACACGTCTTCATTTCTGTTGAGTAAATAACAAGGCATGAGATTTCTGGGCCATAGGGTAAATGTGTGTTTCACTTTATAAGAAACTGACAAGCTGTTTCCAAAGCGGTTGCTCCATTTTGCATTGTGTGAGCGTTTTAGCTGTTCTGCGTCCTTTCCAGCACCTGGTGTGCCCATTTAAAAGACTTCAGCCACTCTCAATAGGTGTGTAGGACTGGACTTAAATTTAAATTTGAGAGGCATCAGTATGTGTGTGTGTGCCTTTCACACCTCCACAGTCACCGGCCACATGCACTCGTAAGGAGTGAACACACACAGCAGCTGGGAAAGGTCTGAGCAAAGGGCCATGGGCAGGGCACCCAGCTAGACAGAAGGAAATCAAGGACCGTGCTCTATGGTCCAACCAAGAAAGGATTTTAAAAAGAGAGAGTGAGCTAGTGGCCAATTGTTGCTGAATGCCTGCATATGATAAAGAGTGAAAATTGAGCACTGGATTTAGAAAGATGGTGGTTTTTGTTGACCTTGACAAGAGCAGTTCCAGGGTTGCAGCAGTGATGAGACCTGCATGAGAGGGAGTTCAGGAGGGCAGGGACTTGGGCGATGGGACTGGCTCCTCATCCAAGATAGGGCAGTGGAGTCTGCAGGCTGTGTCTCCAATTTTCTCCTTTCTCCTTAGTAATAGAAATCTAAATTTATTTAGGATGGCAATGTGCCCAGATGAAAAGACTACATTTTCCAGCTCTCTGGAAAGGCTACAACTAGACAAGCTGATGACACTTGTTGAATGGACTTCCATGAAAACTCAGTAAGAGTGGGGAGGTGATAGTTGGCCATGATCCACTTGCCTTTCCCTGCCCTCCTTCCTGGAATCGGGGGGACATACTGACTGCAGCCAGTGGTGATTACAGGACCTTCAACTTGGATGACCTTGAGGATGCAAGCCAGCTTGAGGATGGCAGAGAAGAAAGACAGGAGTTACTGAGCTCCCTGGTGGTTCTACTGAGCTGCCAAGCCAGCCTCCAGCCTGGGCCTCCTTAAACCCATATGTGGCTAAACCAATGCACTTGAGTCTATTGGCTGTTGAACAAACCTCCTAACCGAAACAGACTGTAAGCCTCAATATTAATGTGTCAATTCTCCTCATTAATCTATAAATTTAATTTGATCTTCAAATATATACAGAAATAGCATGTTTTGGATTGAGTCAAGCTGTTGCTAAAATTCACATAGAAAAACGAGCAAGTAAGAATTGTTCAAGAAGTTCCAAAACAGAGATGTAGTAGTGGGTGATGAGGGATATAGCTATATGTTTTAAGCTATAATAAATAAAACTGTGTGGTGCTGGTGCATGGATAGGGAATCCGGTCAAGGGAACAGAATATAGAGTCCAAAAACAGAACCAGTTACAGGAGGAAACTGAAAGTTGTATGATGATTCTTCCTCAGATATTCTTAAATAGTGGGGAAAAGATGGGTTATTCGATGAACAGTGTTGGGACCACAAAGCAGCCATCTGAGAAAATTACTGGCCCATAACTAGGCTAGTAATGGAGATCTCCAACTGAGATATATTCCAAATGAATCAAAGATTTAAAGGTCAAAAAAAAAAAAAAACCAAACACATACTACTCGAAAAATTAAAACATAGGAGAGTTATTTATAGTCTCAGAGTAGTAAAGTCCTATGACAGTAAACAAAGAAACAAAGAAACCCCAGAAATCATAAAATAAAGTCTTGATAAGTTTGACTACCTAAAAGAATTCTGCATGACAATATCCACCCATAAGCAAAACCGAATAATAAACAACAAACTGGGAAACAAGTTTGGAACTCTGATCACAGACTGAGGTCAATTTCTTTAATACATAAAGAGCTCCCACAAAATAAGACCAAAAATTCAAAATAAAAGTAGGCAAAGGATTCACAGAGACAATTCACAGTAAAGGAAATACAAATAGCTCATAAATGTGAAGAGATGTTCATCTTTACTGAGATGAAGAGAAACACAAATTAAAACTCCCTGGAGATGCCCCTTTCTCACCCAACAGGTCCTCAAGGATTGGAAGCTGGGTGACACTGCGGTGGCCATAGTCTGCACATGCAGGCCTTGTGATACTTGTAGCCTGACAGAACCCAGGAACTGTACCAAAAACTCCCTGCTGTTACAGCATCACTCCCCAGCATGCTAACCGCCTTCCTCCCCAGCATGCTAACCGCCTTCCTCCCCAGCATGCTAACCGCCTTCCTCCCCGGCATGCTAACCGCCTTCCTCCCCGGCATGCTAACCGCCTTCCTCCCCGGCATGCTAACCGCCTTCCTCCCTGGCATGCTAACTGCCTTTGCAAGCTTTCCTGAGAGACAGGGGCTCCATCTTTACTTCCCAGATGAGGATGGTGAGGCTCAGAGAGGCTGGGGACAGTTAACTGGGGCTAAATCAGGAATGAACTCAAGCCATGGTATCCAAAAACAAGTGGAAGGACAAGTGGAAGAATGAAGGGTACCCTCAGCCTGTCTTCCTCCTTTCTTCTTCTCTCTCTTTGTTCTGTCTTCTCTCCTCTGCAAATGAATACAGGGTACTCGACTGACCTGTGCACAAAGAAGTATCATTAAGTCCTGCCCTCAGGCTTCCAGCTGGTTTCCTACAGATCTGAAAAGCCATGGCCTAGGCCGGTGTAGGCCGTGGGCCCCCTAAGCAAGACTATGAAAGAATCTGGGCTGTGTGGACTGCTCTTTCCTTGAGTGTTGCTGAGAACCAGGCTGCCCCCGCACCGTTCTGAGAAGGAGACTCTTCTCTGGATGCCATTGGAGGCCCTGGAGCCCAAGATGCCATCCACGAGCCAGTCCAGCCGAAGCTCAAGCTGGAGACCAGGGTCCTATTTTGACTTTGCTGCCACTGAGATGCGATGTGGTATTCTATGGGGGGAAGGTTCTCTCTCAAAGAAGAGTGAGGCCAAATCAGCTGTTTCGGAAGGAGAGTAGAGCTTGACCACCAGGGAGTCAAGAGGCTCATCAGCAGTGGGTCCCAGAGGGTGAAGGGACGGGGAATGGGGCATAGGGGATGCAACCTGCCAGGTTCCTCGCAGGGACCAGATATGCTGCCTCTGCCCCTCCAGGCGTGAGGAGGCTAGCCAGGGAAGGCCTGTGGGTGAGGTCGGGAGAACACGCTGGGAGGTGCATGTGCCGCACGGGTGCGGGAAGTGTGTGAAAAGTGGTTGTGTGGGGGCAGGGTGAAGGCCTAAGAGGCAGCTGCCATTCACCAATCTCCTTGTTGGTGTTCAGTCTTGTATGGCAGCTTCCTTTAGCTTCCCTCTTCTCAGAAATATTCATGGTTCTGAGCCCACGCTTTCCGTAATGTGGATTCACCCGCTCAGCCAGCCACTGGCCAGCTTTTAAGGGCTTAGGCTCATACTCCTCAGCTCTGAAAAATGTTCCTAGGAAAATGTATCACTTTATTTGCTTATGCAGCAGTCGATCAACAAATTGTGTGTGTGTGTGTGTGTGGGTGTGCAGGTGTGAATGAGTGTGGCCAGGGTGGGTGTGAAGGAGTGGGTAGAAGATGGATTTTGCTCTTGAGGAACTCGCAGTCTAATTCAAGAGGTCAGACACTTGCGCAGATAATTGTAGTCCACGGCAGAAAACAGTAAGCCCCAGAGGCCAGTGAAGTGGCCCTGAGCTGGACAGGTGGAGGAGGCCATGAGCATCATTGCTTTCCTTCCCACCAGGGAGGCCACGGAGCTTTAGCTCTCTCAGGTCCAAGAACTGCACTTGGCCAGGGGTGGTCCCTGAATCCCGATCATGAAAGCCACCGCTGGGCGGGCAGATGTCTTACCTGGGGGCTCCCCAAGCCGTAGCTGGGTTCAGATGTTCATGCCGGTGACCTCAGCCAGCCACGTCCTGGGCCTGCCTTTCTTGCCTTTCTCGCTGATGCCCCTCCAGCTCCCAGGGCAGACCCCGTGCTCTTAGCTGATTCTGGAGACACCTCCCACCCTCCTCCCCTTGCCCTCAGCCCCAGCACCGCCACCTCTTTGTGGGGTGGTTTGCACCTTGCAGGGTGCCAGGTGGCTCATAGCCCCTGCCGCCACCACCTCCTAGCTGTCTCCTGTGAGCTGCCACCTCTCCCAGCCGCATTGTGCCTTCTTTGAGGCCAGGGCTCCAGCTACGCCTCTCCGTGGCCTTGGCAGTTCTCTAGGTAGATGCTTCCCAACTCACTGATGGGCCAGGAGTGAGGTGTGGGGCTGCCTCGCTTAGCCCAGGCCCTGTGGAGACTGCAGTCTGAGAAGCTGGGCCTCTGTGCAGAGGGGCCTCCTGGTCGTCAGAGCAGCCTGCCCCTGTGGCAGGCGTCCCTCCACATCCTCAGCTCCCAGGCTGGCAGCCCCCTGACTCTGCCTGAACACTTGAGTGGCAGATTTCTCACCATTTCCTGGGGAAGCGATTCCAATTTCAATGTGAGAACGTGACTCCTTTTAATGAGTCAATATCTGTCTTCCTGAATCTTTCACCAGTTGGCTCTTGTTCTGTCTTCTGGAATCTCACAGGAAAAAAAATCCCACCTCCGCACCCCCGACAGCGTCCAGTGGAGACACTCACGGAGTGAGAGCTCTCCATCCGCAGGGCAGGGCGGGCGACTCCATCCGCAGGGCAGGGCGGGCGACTCACACCTGGGGGTTCTGACCCCACCTTGGTGGGGGCCTTCTCTCACCACAAACAAACACGGTGGAACCAGCACCCTGCCCTGCCCAGCCAGCAACTGGGGGAGACTGGGAGCACCGGGGTTAGCCTCTGCAGGAGGCTTCTGGCCCCACTGGCCCTCTGACAGGCAAATGCATAGGAATCTCACCATGTTCAGCCTTGGACAAACACACATTCTCAAGACAGCAGCTGGTGGAGAAGGAAGTGAGCCTAGAAGTCCATGTCAAGCCCACGGTGCCTCCTCCACCCAGCCTGGCATCCTGCCTGGGGGCTGAAGGGAGACTGGTGCCCAGGGCCTGCCGGGGCAGCTCAGCCACCTCTGTCTCAAAAGGACCCGGGTGCCCCACAGGAGAGGCTGAGGCTGAGGCCTGGAAGTCCTGGTCCCCTCCCACACGCAGCCCTCCCTGCTCCTCCAGCTGCCCCTGCCTGCCCCTGCTCACCCAGCCTTCACCCCCGACTCTCTCATAGACCAGAAACCACGTGGCGAGGCTGGGTGCATATTCACATGAGAGAGAACGCCACAGCAACCCTGAGACAACAAGAACACTTTCCTGACAGATGCTGGAGACGCCCCTTCCTATGGGGGTGTGTGTGAGCCCTGGAGCCACCGAGCCACAGGGGCAGGATGCCCTCTCCTTGGTAAAGCTGAGGGCATTGGCCCGCATGGATTTTGAGGAGGCTGGTTGTGTATGTGTGGTGAATTGGGAGTCTCTGCTGCAAGCTGGCTTCTGAGTTGCCTTGTGCCTTGGAAAGCATGACAAGTTGCTGAGTTCAAAGGCAGGTGGGAGGGGAAGCTGCACACTGGGAGGCAGTGTGCTCAGTGTGGCCGGCAAGGATGCTGTGGGCATCAGGAGGCATCAGCTGTAGCAGTGGCTTTGGGGTTCAGGGTGCACAATCTTGCTTGGTATTTTCTAGAGACTAGACATCTGGCTTAGGAGCCCAGAGGTCTGGGGCTCTGACCTGACATCACACAGCATGTGTGGATTAAGATCATGGGTTCTAAAGTCACACTGCCTTGGGTTTGTGCCTGTGCTGTGACTTCCCATATGGCCTGGAGGACCCCTTCTGGGCCCACGGTACACTGTGGGATAATAGCACCTGTCTCAGGAGGCTGGCTAGGACACAGGCTCAGGAACCCTGTGACTTTGGGCAGCCACTCCACCTCTCTGTGCCCAGCTTCCTTTTCTTAATAAGGGAGGCAGAATGGAACCTGCCTCATTGAGGAGCCGTGAAGATTAAATGAGATGAATCAGGCAGAGGGCTTTGAATAGTGCCAGGTCCACTGTATGTATCTGATACATGTGAGTTATGTTGAGGAACTCAAAGGGTTGGGTGGGGGTGAGACAGATCTCAATGCATGTGCTGTAGCACATAATACACAATAATACACACTCACAACTGATGATGATGACTATGATTGGCAGTAATAGCAGTGCTATGACCCATCTCCTCTTTGTTTCTCAAGAATAAGGCACACGTATATCTATCCAAAATTTGTACATGCTTTTGGGGAACATAAACCCAGAAATACATTACCACATATAAAAAATCTGCTCTGCACAAAATCAGAAGCAAGTCCCTCAAGCTTGTTTAAATAAGACAGAATCCTCACTCTGCTTCCATGAGAAGAATGGAAGACAAGAAGGGAGAGTGAGATGGTTCTCTCCTTGCCGAGAGGGCTTCACCATCTGGAAGGAAGAAAAGGGCTCTGAATTAAGAGCAAGGAAGGGAAGGCGAAAGGGAACCTAGGGCCCAAGTGGGGAAGCCTACGGGACTCCTGTGCATTGGGAGTCGGGGCACTGAGCCCCCAGTCCCTCCCACTGGCTGGCAGCGGTGCTCCTGCAGAGAAGGGCCTGTCAGTAGTCCAGGAACCCCAGAAGGTTCCACAGCAACTTCACTGAACAGCCACCTGACCCTCCTGGAGTCTCCAGCACCCAGGATAGAGTCTATAGTGGTCCAAGTGTGATCCCTGGATCGACGGTGCCAGCACCACCTGGGGTCTTTCTGAAGTGCACATTCCTGGGCCCCATTCCAGACATACTGGGGAAGAGCCTCCGGAGTGGGCCAGCAATCCTTGTTTCAACAAGCCCTCCTGGGGGTTGCTGATGCGGGTCAGTAGGAAGACAGAATTGTGGACATCTTCTGAATTGTAAGATGGGGCGACACCACTGTCTGCTTTCCTGCGTCTCAGTGTGCAGAGAGCTTGAGTTTGGGTGGTGGGCAAATCTGCATTCAAATCCCATTTTAGTCTCTTGTTGTTTGTGTGATTTGGGGAAGCTGGGCTCCTCTGTTGTGATATCTCTAAAATGGGGTAATAATGCCTAGTCTGAGGGTCCTCGTAGGGATTGGAAGTAACATATGGGAAATTCTTGGCACAAGTTCTTGTCAAACGAGAAGACAGATGAAGAAGCCCTCCTCCATCTGTACCTCTTCTCCCTATTTTCCCCAGAACTTGGAATGGTGCTTTGCTCTTAATTGGCAATTAATATATAAACAAAATTAATTGAAAGCATTTTAAGCACTTGTCATCCGGAGCTCATTCCACTGGATGGTTCCCTGTCTTCCCGACTCACCCCAGCAGACACTGAACACAGGAGGAAGCCGAGGTAGCTGTGCGGGACACATTTCAACAAACAGAAATCCAGCGCAACTTCTAAGGCATCGCCGCCTTCCTGTCCCATTTTATTTCCAAATCCTAATGCAGTTTTGCCAAGAAGCACCCAACATTCCTCCAAAATCTTCTTCCAACCCAACCAGCCAATCCCCACTTCAGCCAAAAACCAAACCAAACGAAACCAACTAGCAAACCAACCACAAGTGCACACACCCACACACACCTGCACACACACCCGCACACACATGCATGTGCACGTGTGAAAACAAATGCCTGTCCTCTCTCTGGTCCGGTTCAGGGTGGGTGGCTTTCCCCAGCTCTGCAGGTGATGTTCTTGCCTGTATCAGCGAGAGCCGTGTGGGGCTGCAGAGGAGCTGCCCTTCTTTCCTGGAGAGACGAAGCCCCGGAGGTGATGCACTGCTCCAGGGCAGGACGGTGAGGGCTGGATGGGGAGCGCGTAGCTCCAGCACCCTGTCCTGAACTGGAGCCAAGGGACTGTCGGCAAGAAGAGCCAAGGGCATTTTTGTTCCTGTTTTCAGTGCCACATTGGGTGCAAAACACCAAGTGGACAAAAAGGCTATCAATACTTGCCAAGCCGTGAGGGAAAGTGCAGCTCACTTAGCTGCCTTGACATCGATTTTCACCTGCTTTTGTTGATGAAGCTGCATTCGTAAGAGTGATAAATCCATTAGACAAACATGGCGCTCCGTTATTGACAGTGTCTGCCACGCAGGTGTGCGGGGACAGGGCTCTGCCGGGGCTGGCCAGCCTGGCCAAGGGGTCAGAGCCTGCACTCCGTTATTGACAGTGTCTGCCGCGCGGGTGTGCGGGGACGGGGCTCTGCTGGGGCTGGCCAGCCTGGCCAAGGGGTCAGAGCCTGCAGAGACTGGCTGGGCAGTGCAGAGGAGGGGTCCGGGGTGCTGGTGGCCCCAGTGCTCTTCCCCAGGTATGGCTAGGTGGGCCTTGTGAAACTTACCTGCACCTTTCTGAGCTCCAGCTCTCACCTGTCCCTCAAGGCTCAGAGAGGATGGCTGGAGAGAAAACCAAGCACAGAACGGATTTTCATCCGCCTCTCCCTACCTCTCCTCGCAATCACTCTATGGAGCAGGTGGGAGGAAGCCCTCCCGCTTATAGACAGGAAACTAATATTCAGAGCTAGGAAGTGATTCACTCCGGGCCTCACGAATACTGCAAACCAGGGCCTAGAACCCAGGGACAGAATTTCTGATGCCAGCTCCAGCTGGATCCACAAGCAGCTGCCTCTCGGCTCTGTGTGTTGAGAGAGAAATGCTGTTTTCTCCTCATCAGTTGGTACAGGGACCCAGCTGAGAAGCTTGTGGTCCCTGGAAGCAGCCTCAGGGCAGGGACCGGAGTTCCTCACTAGAGGGGGTGCCCATGCCAGGGTTGTTGGCACAGTGACCAGTGCAGGCTGACTCTCCAGGGAGGCGGTGCTGGGTCTCCACTGGGAAGATGCAGCCTGGTGGTGGATATGTGCTGCTGGAGGCAGTGCCAGTGAGGCGGGGCTGGCCTGCATGGGCCTGGTGGAGCAGAAGTGGAGAAGCTCCCACCACACCAGAGCTCAGGTGCTGGGCACGGCAGGTGCCTTCACAGTCCTGGCAATGCCCACCAGTCTACACAAGGCCCCTGAGTGTGTTAGGGGTTCGCTGGGCCCCCACATCCCCCTGTGGCAGAGCTGGAACTTAACTTGACACTCTCCCACTCCCGCCTCCTGACCCTATCCGCTGTGCCCAACTACACAGAGGGCTGGGGGCCCAGAGTGAGGGTGTTATGTCCGACCTGGGCAGGTGAGGCCACTCTCTGTCCCAGGCACCTGGGAAAGCATCCAGAGGGCTGGGAAGGCTGAAGAAGCAAGAGGGCAGCTCGGTGGAGGGAGGGGCACTGCTGGGCGTGGCAGTGAGGCTGAGGAGGGCTGGAGGCTGAAAAGGTCAGGCTTGCTCTGCAGGCACTCGCCCCCAGGAAGCCTTCCTTGATTTATTTCACACCCAGATCGCTCAATCCTGCAGCCTGGTGGGCAGACATCGTGAACACTGATTTGAAGGGCTGCTCTTGTCCTTCCTCCTCGGCAGGAGGGTGAGCCTTTGAGGGCACAGAGGGGACGCTCTGGGCTCCATCTCCCCTCCCGCCTCTGCCCCGCACGGCTTCCCCACCTCAGCACCACTTTGACACTGTGGCAGGGCACCTGAATCTAACAGGGACTGCAAACAGGAATTGACTCAAAGAAGGTGGCGGTAGCAGGTGGACGGTGAGGTGGCGGATAACGGTAGGTGGTCTTTGGCACTCCCCTCCAGGGTCCCCCAGGCCTTTTAGCCTGTCTTGAGAGCACAGAGTATGTGCCAGGCAGGACCTCTCAGCCCACCCAGAGCTCTGGGTCCACCAAGGGCCCTGAGGGAGAAGGCGCCCTGGACGCTGACGTTCCTTCACACTGCACCCTGCACACCCAGCACCGAGCACCGCTTTGGGGCTGGGGAGGGCACGCTGGTGTCCCTGCCTCTCGCTACCTGGTAACTAGGCCGAGGGTTACCTGCCAGGGCCTGGTTCTTGCACAGTAATTATGCCCTCAGAAGCCGGCCTGCTAATTGCTTTTGCTATTTCTGGACTCTGCCCCTTCTGATCCGTCCTCCTGCTAGAGACAGAAATAACCAGACACTTGGTGGGTAATTACTGCGTAGCAGCCCCAGCATCAGCAGTGCTGAGCAGCAGATGCAGACCCCTGACTCAGCGTGTGGGTTTGGGGCTGGGAATCACCGGGAGGTACCTGACCCTGGCATGGGGAGCACACCCGGAGCCTCCTCCCCCTGGAGACGCGCTCCCGCCTTTCTCCCGTGCTGAGCTGGTCTTACAGCAGCCCTCTCTCAGTCCTCTCCCCTCACCTGCACCACCTCCTTCTCTTCCATGTCTCCAGCTTATGGGATAGAACAGCAGGAACTGATTCCCAATTGTGTCTTTTCCCCCCATTGGTCCCCACTACCTTTGGAGAGGAAATAGGAAGTCAAAATATTATGGTTCCTATTTGCAAATACTCTTACTTTTAAGAATGAATGAATGATGGCAATAGTGGACAGACAGTAAGGAGGAGGGGTTCAGAGGAAGGTGAGAGCCTCTGGGGTGCAGCCCTGGCAGGCTTCGTGAAGGAGGTAAGGCCTGAGCTGGCTTTGAAGGGCAGGCAGCCCCTAGATAGACAGGACCATTGCTCCAGCCGTACAGAGAGACTGGGTGGTAGGAAAAGTTTGGGACACCAGGTTTGCAGGTCTCTCAGGGGCAGTGTCATAGGCAGGCACAGAGCCTCCCCCTTCTCTAAGCAGGGCGAGCCCTTTCCCTTCACACCTTGGAGCCTTAACTCTGCAAGTGAACACTGATAACAGGAGGAGGCTTCCATGGTTGCCCAGGCTGGGGTGTGTGTTAAAGGAAGCAGAACTGTTTCTTGGCATCTGAGGCTGAGCCCCTCCCTAACCCCACTGCTGGGTCCTCCTCCTAATTCCCAGAGCAGAGGATACGTATATGCATAGTTGAATAAGGAAGGACCCCGAGTAAATCACTGTCCTCATCCTTGAGGGCACTGGTCACTCAGCTTGTGGTTTGATAGCCCCTCATGGCTGCACTGATCGCCGCGCATGCCGTGGTGTCACCACCTGAGCTGCTCTTTGGGCATGTGGCATCTGCCGCCTGGGCTTTGCACCATCTCTTTCTGCCTAAACACCAACTCCCCAAACAGATGAGAGTACTTCAAAAGCAGCAGCTCCTTGCATACCCCTGGGGGCCCCCTTGCCTGACACAGTGCCCAGGCTCCGCCCCCAGCCATCTGTTCTGCAAGAGGCACGCCTCCATCCATTCACAGTCATCTCTTGAGCACCTGCAGCATGCCAAGCGCTGTGCCATGAGTGAGAATAAGGTTGGAGAGACACAGTTCCTGCCGGCAGGGAGCTTGGAGTGGAGAGGGGGACAGCAGTTTCAATGAGGGACCAGAGGAGGAAGCCCAGGGAACCCAGAGAAGGAGCCTTTCATTCTGCTCGTGCCGGGCTGGGGGCAATGTCACGGGGATGGAGGACACCGTAGGGTTTAAACAGGTTCAGAGGGAGAGATGCTCAAGGGAGCTCAGGGAGGCTACAGCTTTGCTCCCGGTGCCCACTGGGTACACCTGGTCATTGACAGAACTAGAGACAGTCCCCAACTTATGACGGTTTGACTTACAGTGTTTTGGCTTTTCAATGGTGCCAAAGCAATACACATTCAATAGAAACTGTACTACCGACACAACCATTCTGCCTTTTGCTTTCACAGTATTCAAAAAATTCCCTGAGATATGTAACACTTTATTACGTAATAGGCTTCGCGTTGGATGGTTTTGCACAATGGTAGGTTAATGTCAGCGCTCTGAGCATATTAATGTAGGCTCAGCTAAGCTAAGCTATGATGCTCAGTAGTTTAGGTGCATTAATTGCATTTTTTACTTAAGATATTTTCAACTTATTGTGGGTTTATAGGGACATAATCCTGTCATTAAGCTGAGGGACATCTGTAGGTCTACAACCTTGGGTTTGTGACTCTGAGACCGGGGGTCCCCTTCACCCACCTATGCTGTAGGTTGTGTTGGGGCGGACGCTACAAACCCAAGAAAGACAACTCGCGTGGCTTTGGGCTTCTGCCGACACAGGGGCCTGGTGGAATCCTGGACACCTCAGATGAAGAGTTTGCGAAGGACTTTGGTGGTGCAAACAAAATGTGCTCCACTGCGGAGTGTGCCGGTGGAGGAAATTTAGCGCTTCTCATGCTCTGTTCTCTACAATGTTGACACAGGCTGAGCTCAGATGCAAACAACAGAAGCAAAGCTGATGTTTGGGCCTGTCTAGGGACTATCCCTGTCTCCAGGAAATCCGGCAGGGGACCCAATGTTTATTTTCCTTCTTTCCTCAAGTCTGCTCTCATGCATGGTGAGACAAAAGTCTGAGGCCAGGTGAGAACAGAGAGCGTTCAGGTTTACCTCCCAGACTTGTCCTCATCAATAAATGCTATGCTTCGTATTTGTGCTCCCACCCCAAGCTCCCAGAGGCTCCATCTCAATTACAGACCCCACTGGAAGGATGCCAGCACATGCCCAGTTCCCGTCACTGACTGGAACAGACCGGAAAAGCCGGCCTGTCGTTTAAGACCCAGGACCTCCTTATCTTGTGGTCATTTCACTCTTTGGGACTGGCAGGTACTGCCTCTCAGACCTACTAAAATCAGGCCCAAGACTGTGGGGACTGGAGCTGGGAGAGGATGGGCCGTTTTTTCTCCCAGGGAGACAGTAATTGCAAATGTGTCACCAGCAGTGACATGGTGGTGAGCAATTAATTCTGGGGGACTCCCTGCCTGTCACCAAGTGTGTCTTCTGCCCTGAGCAGCCTCTCTTGCTTAGAAGCCTACCCCACCTTTCAGTAGACAAGCTGATTTATTGTAGACCCTGTTCCCTCAGGGCAGCAGGGGTCTTGCAGCTGAGGGTTTGATTTTGGAGACATGGCCGTGTGAGGTAAGGAGAAGAGATACAGACAGAATGCTAGAAATGGGTAACACTTGTGTAGAGCTTACTATGTGACAAGCCTGCTTCCAAACGTATGCTTATTACAATAGCCCTATAGGGCAGCACTATTATTATTTCCATTTCAGAGATGGGGAAATCGAGGCTCAGGGGGTTATTAATCAACTAGCCCAAGGACCTACAGCCCAAAGTGGCAGAGCAGAATTCCCATCCAGCCGGTCTTGCCCTGGAATGTGTGGTCTTAACTGTAGCACTGCACGGCCGTTCCTTGCGTGTGCCCCAAGGAGCCGGTGAGCACACCAGAACCAGGCCGGCTGCTTCAAAGCCAGAGTCACCCTCACGATGTGTGCGTGCCTGGGCCAGTCACTGCTTTTTCTCTTAAGCCTCAGTTTTCTCATCTGTGAAACAGGACAGTGGAACCCACTTCAGAAGGTTGTCATGAAGGCAAAATGGCAGAACACCACGCAGTCTCCCGACCCCCTCCTGCTCCTCTCCCAGATCCCCCGCCTGCTTCTCACCCTGCTTGGCATGGAAAGCTTCACTATTACTTCCCCGGTGCTCCATTTGGTAATCACTGTGTACTACATTGTTGCCAAGAATCATGCTGATTTCTAACGCCAAAGGACAACATCTAGAACTGAACGCCGTAGCAGTCTGGACCCCTGACTTCTGATGACATGGCCAGCAGCAGTGAGGAAACTCATGCTAACAGCACCAGCCCTGACGGGGTGTGCATCCTGCGGGCTGCCTGGAGGTCTGAGGGTGCAGAAGCGCTGTTGGCCCTTTCAGGAGGAGCATTGCAGGGCAAGCTTGGAGTGGAAAGGCCGCATGGTTCTCTGCAATCTGCCAAGGTCAGCTGGTGTCAGAGACAGCAGGTTATCCAGGGAGAGGCTGGAAAACTTACGTGTTCGGTTGGAGGAAGTCTTACTTTCATTATGATTCTTATTATTTGAAGCTCATGTTGAAGTAAGCTATGAGCTCAGGCACCAGTTGCCCAGGGCTGGGTGGCAGGTTCATGAGGCAGAGAGGGCTCCCTCTGGGGCGGGGTCCCATGCGTCCAGGCCACACAGGGGTCCTGGGCAGGACCATACATCCAGCCCAGGGTGCACGACTTGAAGGGATGGCCTTCAGTAAGACACTTCACCTCACTGGGCCTCAGTTTCCCCAGTTACATACCTAAAAGTTTGAATCCTGTGTCTAAGATTTAGCTTTCCCTCTAGCTTTTATCTTCTGTAAGCGTTTTGATCTATAAGCTCAGTGGAGGTTTAAGGGCAAAGTGCACACCCTTGGGCCCAGAAAGAGGGAGCCCATTTGCATTTGAAAGATCCCAGAACCTTCTGAATTCTGCCTTGAGTGAGGCTGGATGATGGCCTGGCAGCCCCAGCACGAAAAGCAGGTTCCAGGCCTTCCCCCAACAGCTGCTGACCAGAGCACAGCAGATGCTTCCTGCTCCAAAGCTGACTTCTTTCTTTACAGAAGCCTCCTGGGGACCTCACGGAGGATGCGTTCCGTGCTCGCCTTTCCCTCCCTGTCCCTCTGGCATGGCCTGTAGTTGGAAACAGTCACAGCAAAAGCAACTAGCTCGACTAAGAGCAGGACGAGGTTCTCTCCATAGCCAGGAAGCAGGCTGGGATTGAAGGGAAGGTGAGACTGTGAGATGAGCCATTTTGGTAAAAAGAGGACACTGGCCCCTCTGCTGTTTTGCAGAACTCAGGGTTAAGGCGGCATCAGAGTCTCTGTGTTGGCACACGTGGATTGGAAGGTTTCTGTCACATTTGTGGTTTAGTTAGGAGGATTGTGACAGGAGACAGCAGGGTTGGAAGAATCAGGCCAGTGTGGTGCCATGTGCTCCTGTGGATTGGTCCTGTCTGCCTCTGCCCACCCCAGGGAGAGGGAGCACAGCCAAATGGTCAAGAACTTTGACTTTTCATTCCAGCAGCTGGGCTGAGGTCCTATCTCTTCTTCTCACAGGCTGTGGGATTTGGACAAATCGGTCAACCTTTCTGTGCCTCAATAATGGGATAATAGGAGTGTCTCCTCGCAGGCTTGTCGGGAGGTCTAAGTGACAGGGGGCTTGTCAACAGCTGGTTATAGGCCACAGCCCACAGATGTGAAGGTTGGCACCATCCATCCATCTCCCGCTGCCTGTGCCAGTTACCCATTGCCAATCATTTATTCCCACCAAATAAAAAATATTCTTTATACTAATTTTCTTGCCAATTTTCATTTTTTCATTTATTTCTTAGGTTTCTAATGATTTTATTATTTTTGGTCTATTACTCTACTAAGACACTATTCTCCAAAACCAGTTACAATACATATCTTCAATCAATCAATCATCCATCTATGTATCTATCTTGTATCATCCATCCATCTGCCTCTGTCAATCTATCCTCAACTATATTAAAAGCAGGCTCATTTGCAGAAGGACACACATCTTTCAGACAGGTCCATCACTCCTGCCCCACGCAGAGGAAAATCTCATTTTCAAGGGAGCATTGAACTGTGACGACAGTGTGCAGATGAACAAGCCAGCAACACGTGGTGGCAGGTGTTTGGAGCACCAGGCTTTTAGAGTCGGAGACACACGCCAAAGTCTCAGCTCCAGGCCCCTTAGACAGGAGGTTCATCCTGCATCCCAGCAAACAGATTCACCTCCCAAAGGCCGATGGGCTGGAGAGGGTCCCTCCTCTACAGGTAAGGTAGAGGGCCCCATTTTCAGATGTGAGCCCTTCACAGTCCCTGCGTCTCTGGAATTGCACCCATGCTGAGTGGAGCCCTGCGGAGGACCTCTCACCGCCGCACCGTGAACATACGTGACCAGCGGGCTTTTCGTTGACACGTGATATTCTCCTTATGGGTCTCTCAATGCTGCTGTGGTGACTTCAGCCACTGTATCTGTTTCACTGGAGTGTTTCCTTGTTTCACACTTACCCTTTTCTGTCTCTTTTCTGTAAAAGCTTTCCATCCACCTTCCCCACCCAGGCCTGAGTCCTGGTGCCACCTCCCAGCCTCACGTTGTCAATGGTCATTCTCTCCACACACCACGCTCCTGCCTCGGGATTTCCAGGGCTGCCTCAGTCCACCCAGAACCGTAAGCACTGCAGACCCCTCCTCTCCCTGGCCACCCCTTCCCACGGGCCAGTGGATTCCCCTTTCTCCATTGCATTGACTGTGGAGTGATTCCCGTCCATCCGCTCTGTCTGCAGTGTGGACAGAGTGCAGCGTCTTCCACACTGAGCAAGCAGTGGGGCCTGGAGTGAGGGCGGAGCAGGGAGACAGATCCTTCTCTGGAGGCTGTGGGTTACAGGCTACCTCCAGATCCTGGAGGAAGGGGCCCCACCCAGGGAGTAGGAGGGGGTGGCCCCCAGGGAGACCCGACATCTGTGCTCACTTTGCAGATGCCGAGGTTAGCACCAGGGAGGGGCGGAATGTGGTGACATGGAGCTGGGAGTCCATAGGCATGCACACCCACGGACACACACATGCACAGACCAGCACACCCACAGACACACATGCATAGATCCATTCACACACAGGCACACCCACGGACACACATGCACAGACCAGCTCACAGACAGACACGCACAGACCAGCTCACACACACACATGCACACCCACAGACACACGCAGACCAGCTCACACACACGTGCACAGACCAGCTCACACACACACACCCACAGACCAGCTCACACAGAGACATGCACAGACCTGCTCACACAGACACACATGCACAGATCCATTCACACACAGGCGCACCCACAGACACACACATGCACAGACCAGCTCACACACACACAGACACATGCACACACACAGATAACACTCACACAGACTCACGCATACAGACACATGCACGCATACATACTACACAGAGACACACACAGATACAGACACACAGATCCACTCATACATGCAGAGACACCTGCAAACACAGAAGCACACACACAGACACACACAAACACTGGGGTACTTGTGACCACTCCCTGTGTGGGCACCATCACACACACTGGATCAGAGCCATGGGCATTGTGGCTTTCTTGTGGATGTGGTGGCATTTGCTGACATAAAAAGAAAGAGCGAGAGGGAGGCGGCACCCATCTGAGGAGCACAGGCACTGATGAGGAGTGTGGCTGATGGGACAGGCAGTGAGTGAGCGGTCGGGTAAGCATGTTTATAAATCAAGAGGAGCGCAAGCTTGTCCTCGTGTGGATCTGCTGTGTGCACAGGGGTGCAGTTCGTGTACACTTGCCCTGGGATGTTGGTCATGGGTGCTAATGGCAGGCATGTGTTAGACACAAGTGCTGCCTGTGTCTCCTTGAATACGGGTGTGCCTGTCCTGTCGTATGTCCTCGGTGCTTGCTGGAACTGCTGCTCAGCCCCTCTCGCCTCTGGCCCAGCTCCAGTGCCTGCCCTGAGGGTCCTGCATCCCGCACTCACACTTGCACCTGCAGATTCCCCAGGGCAGCCGGCTCCAGTCCCCACAGGGCTCCTAATAGCCGAAGGCATGGGAAACACCTGGTCACTTCTGTCTAAGCCAGTGACCTTTGATCCAATTGATAGGAGCGCCTTGGAGGGCTGCAGGCCAGCAGAGAGTGGGGATGGAAGGAAGGTGGGTGATTCCTTCCTCCCCCTTCCCACCTCCCCAGCAGCAGGTAAAGATGGTGATGGATGAAGCTGGAGGAAAAGGCAGATTGGTTTTGGGTCCTGATGAATAAAGTCTTTCATGCTTCCTGAAATTGCTAGAAGGCCGGGGGAACACAGCCATTGCAGGAAGCTGAGGGATTTTCCTCCTGATCGGCGGCCCCAGGGGGAGGACTGACAAGTGGTTATCTTGTTTATTGTTGGAGGGAGAGAAACGAGCTGTCTGGCATTGTCCATTCTGGGATGTTCTGGCTCTGACACGGGGAGGTGCTCTGGGAATGCGGGGAGGCTGGCCCGGCCGCGGGGAGGCGCCGTGAGAACCGGGCCCGCCGCGGGGAGACGCAGTGAGAACCGGGCCGGCCGCGGGGAGGCGCAGTGAGAACCAGGCCGGCCGCGGGGAGGCGCAGTGAGAGCCCGCCCGGCCGCGGGGAGGCGCAGTGAGAACCGGGCCGGCCGCGGGGAGGCGCAGTGAGAGCCCGCCCGGCCGCGGGGAGGCGCAGTGAGAACCGGGCCGGCCGCGGGGAGGCGCCGTGAGAACCGGGCCGGCCGCGGGGAGGCGCAGTGAGAGCCCGCCCGGCCGCGGGGAGGCGCCGTGAGAACCGGGCCGGCCGCGGGGAGGCGCAGTGAGAGCCCGCCCGGCCGCGGGGAGGCGCAGTGAGAACCAGGCCGGCCGCGGGGAGGCGCCGTGAGAACCGGGCCGGCCGCGGGGAGGCGCCGTGAGAACCGGGCCGGCCGCGGGGAGACGCAGTGAGAACCGGGCCGGCCGCGGGGAGGCGCCGTGAGAACCAGGCCGGCCGCGGGGAGACGCAGTGAGAGCCGGCCCGGCCGCGGGGAGGCGCCGTGAGAACCCGCCCGGCCGCGGGGAGGCGCCGTGAGAGCCCGCCCGGCCGCGGGGAGGCGCAGTGAGAGCCCGCCCGGCCGCGGGGAGGCGCAGTGAGAACCGGGCCGGCCGCGGGGAGGCGCCGTGAGAGCCCGCCCGGCCGCGGGGAGACGCAGTGAGAACCGGGCCGGCCGCGGGGAGGCGCCGTGAGAGCCCGCCCGGCCGCGGGGAGGCGCCGTGAGAACCGGGCCGGCCGCGGGGAGGCGCCGTGAGAACCGGGCCGGCCGCGGGGAGGCGCAGTGAGAACCGGGCCGGCTCCCGCCTCAGGACCCTGCGGCGGCTCTTGCTGCTGACTGTGGCACCTCCTCTGCCTGGATCCCAAGGCCCCTAACCGAGGCCTGCTTTCCCTCCTGAACCTTGTTCCCCATCTTCTCAGAGCCACCTTGCCCCTGCACGGACTGCTCTTAATTGCCCCCAGCCCAGGAGGGGCCAACTGTGTAGCGGTTTCCACCCAGGGCTCAGATCTAAGCCCAGTGATTTGCTGGCCATGTGGCCACTGGTGAATTGCATACATCTTTACGCCTCGATTTCCTGACTACAAAATGGGTGTCGACACTGATCTCATTGGGCTACGTGAGGATTAAACGGAATAATGTGTAGAGGACTTAGCTCAATGCCCAGCACCAGTAACTGGTAGCTAAAATGTTCTATTTCACCTCTAATGGGGCTTGCCCATTATTTAACCTGCTATTTCCTTCTGAATTTTCCAGGCCTAGCTCAAGTGCCATTTCTTTCTTGAAACGTACCATGACTAATATACACTAAATTGGATTCCTTTGCTTCCTTGAGAACCCTGTTGAGTTTGAGCCTAATGATTATCCTGTATAATTAATCCTGTATTGTATAATTAATCCAACTAAGTCATCATCGTTGAGCATCAACCATGTGCCAGACATTTTTGCTAAGAATTTCCTCCACTGAATGTCAGTTCCATTAGAGGCGGGAACATGTCTTACAGGCCTGCTTGTCGGAGCATCTGGCATAGTGCTGGGCACTGAATGGTGCCTCAGAAACACGGTTCAGTTGCTGGGAGGGTGGTTAGCAGGGATCGCTGGCTCTGTCCAAGGAGTCGTGGGACTGGAACAAAGAAACAAGAGTCGCCATGCCTTAACGTTGGATGCCTAACAAAATAGATGAACTCACAGGGTGATGTCAGAGAGTGCAGCAGGCGTTCAGTGGGTCGTGTCCTGGAATCTATGATTCTGAAGGGACTGAGAAGAATTCTACCCCAAGCTCTCACCCAAAGTGAGAAGCGCCCGCTGTCCCATGCTGCCTTGAGCACTGACATCCCTTTGGCCTGTCCGAGAGCCAGAGGGCTCATTACGCACAAAGAGGCGTATATGTCTGCACGGGGCATGATTGATAGCAGTTCTTAGAACTCTAAACAGGGTGGAGCTTGTCGTTTGGAGAAATGTGAAATGAATCGAATCAGGCTTCTGCATAGCAACTCCTCGGATGTTCCGAGACCATTGGCCCCTCCTCTGAAGCCACACCCAGCTTCGTGCTCTTTTTCCCAGGCCCCATAAGAAGGGGTTTCTAGATCTCTTACTGCCCTGACCCCTCTTCTGTGCACACACCCTGTTTGTGCACAGCCATCTCTCTGCGGGTCACTGGAGCAGAGCAGAGCACCGCCGGCTCTGAGCAGGGCACCACCCTGAGTGGCTCGTCCCTCCTTTACCTGAAACCATGTTCTGCAAATCCGGCCTGAGAAAGAGACACTGTCTTTATTTATTCGTTTTGTTAAGCAATGGCATGAACATGGACAAAACCGCACATGAGTGTATGGGGGCAAGGATATATTCTGCAAATCGAGTACACAAATGAAGGCCTGCATAGATTCAGGATTGAGTAAAATGTGATATATGCTCATGCCTGTAATCCCACACTTTGGGAGGCCGAGGAGGGCAGATTACCTGAGGTCAAGAGTTTGAGACCAGCCTGGCCAACATGGGGAAATCCCCGTCTCTACTAAAAATACAAAAATAAGCTGGGAATGATGACGCATGCCTGTACTCCTAGCTACTCTGGAGGCTGAGGCAGGAGAATCATTCGAACCTGGGAGGTGGAGGTGGCAGTGAGCTGAGATCGTGCCACTGCACTCCAGCTTGGGCAACAGAGTGAGACTCTGTCTTGGAAAAAAAAAAGTGATATATATATGTGCCCAGCTCTTCAGAGGATGTAAAATATCTGCATTGATATTGTTCAAAGGGATGGAAGTAAGTGAAATACTCCTCTTCAAATTGCTTTATTGTGAGAAAATATACATAACATAAAATTTAGCATTTTACCTGTTTTAAGTCATTCAGTGGGATTAAGTTCATTCACATGATTATGCAATCATCACCAATATCCATCTCCAGAACTCTTTCATCTCGTAAAATGAAACCTTTGCACCCAAGAAATATGAACTTTCTATTTTCCCCTGCCCCCAGTCCCTGATACCCAATGTTCTGTTTTCTACCTCTATGAATCTGACGACCCTGGGTAGCTCTCATAAGTGGAACCATAGAGTATTTGTTCTTTCCTGACTGGCTTATTCACCAGCACAATGGCCTCCGGTTTCAACTGTGTGGTAGCAGGTGTCAGGATTTCTTTCCTCTATGGGGCTGCCTGATGTTCCACGATACGCATAGACCACATTTGGCTTATCCACTTAACCATCCATGGACACCTGGGTTGCTGTTTTGGCTATTGTGAATAAAGCTGCTGTGATCATGGGTGCACATATCTGTCTGAGTCCCTGCTTTCAGTTCTTGTGTGTATATACCCAGAATAAAGCTGCTGTGATCATGGGTGCACGTATCTGTCTGAGTCCCTGCTTTCAGTTCTTGTGTGTATATACCCAGAAGTGGAATTCCTTGATCATGTGATAGTTTTAAGTGTAATTTTTGGAGGAACCACTGTACTTTTTCTTACAGAGGCTGTAGAGTTTTATATGCTCATTAGCAAGGTATAAGTGTTCCAATTTCTCCATATCATCACCAACACTTACTAGTTTTCATTTTTCTGATAATATCCTAATGGGCATAAGGTGATCCCTCATGGCTTTGATTTGTATTTTCTCATGACTAGTCATGCAGAAGGTCTTTCCATGTGCTTATTGGCCATTTGTGCATCTCCTTTGGAGAAATGTCTACTCAAGTCCTTTGCCCATTTTTAAATTGGGTCGTTTGTGGCGTAAACGACTTTTTGAAATAAGTGTGAAGGTATTTTTTATAACCATGTTTAGATTACATTGTGTTTTATTTGGTGAGTATAAAATATTCAGTAGAAAATATTCTTGTCTCTTCAATACCTGTGATTTTAAAGGGGAGCATCCTTTAGCAAGAGGATCAGAATATGTCAAATAGAAGAAAATTCTCCTTTTCCCAGTGCAGTGCCACTGACAGAGAAAGAGCACGCCAGGTTCAGAGTCCCAGACGAGCAGGCCCAGGCGAGCCCAGGGCTCGGGATTGGGTGCCAGCTACAGCTCAAGCTGCCCAGTTAATCTGAATCTCAGATAAACAAGGAAGAACTTTTTAGTACAACATGTCCCCAATACTGCATGGGACACACTTGTACTAAAATGTTATTTGCTGTTTATCTGAAATTCCAGTTTAGTTCGGTGTCCTGTCGTTTCATTTGCTAAATCGTGGCCCCCTACACAGTGTGACACAGGGCAGGGTGTTCGGTGAGTCAGTGTCACTGGGAGGCACCAGACTCAAGAACAGTATCGAGAAGGCCGCATGCCCAGCTGAGTTCCACACGAGTGTGGCTCAGCCTCCTGAAGACTGCAGGTGTTCTTTCACGTGAACTGCGTGGTTTTGAAAGAAGCCCAGTGGGGGTCTCTCGGGGGTGGTCTGCCTTTGCCAGTCAGAGCCGTTTGTACTATGGAAAGGTTCTTGCAGCACGCATTTCTTGCTGGGGCTGGTCAGACCCCACCCTTTCCTTTAGAGGAAGGGTCCCTCTTTGCCAACTGCATGGTTTGGGGTGGGGGTCGCTGATCAGCATGCTCCCTTGTGATGTGGGGAGCACATGGTAGCACCACCCACCCCAGTGCCCCCGCTCCTGCCTGGCCTGACCCATCCAGGGACAAGAGTGAACCAGTCTGGGACCAATCCCAGGCCTCCCTTGGCATTTTCTAACCAGAGCTGGTGGAAGAGGCTTCTCTGCTGTCTGCTCTGGGTGTGTGAGGATGTGCTGCCAGGGTGCAGCCTCGCAGGGACAACAGCTGGCCCACAGGGAGCAAGAAGCTGTGTGTGTGTGTGTGTGTGAGAGAGAGACAGAGACAGAGAGAGGGAGACAGACAGGAAGAGACAGGGAGGAAGAGGGAGAGAGATGGGGAGAGAGATCTGAATCAAGCCTTGCATGCAGCCCCCGCTGAGGCCGCATCTACCCTTCTGGCCTTTCCCTTTCTACAACTTGATACTAAGTAAATCAATTCCCCCTTGGACTGAGCTGTGATGTGGCCGTTAGTTGCAGAAACATAGCTGTCTATTCCTTTATGTGGCCATGTTTAGTGGCCCGTCACTACTCCCCTGCACTGGACAGGCTAGGGAGAGGCCGCTCAGGATGTCTCTGCTCAAGTCTGAGGGCCACACACCACAGCAGAGGGGCCAGAGACTGCGGGCGGCTGGAGGATGGAGAAGTCCCAGCCTGGATTGGGTAGTGGCAGGGTAGAGGAGGCTGGATGCCCCCAGTTCTTAACCCCCTTGAGGATTTCTTCTGGAATGGTATAGGCACAAATATATTTTTGAAAAGAGGTGACCCGAATCGTATGTGGCAATGTCTCACAGATGCACGTGCAGTGGTGTTGGGGAGGTTCACCAGGTTGCAACGTGCTCCTTGCAATTCTGCGCTGCGCCCTGTACTACACATCGTGAATGCAAGAAAACACCTAGAGCATAGCCTGTGTCACCATCCAGTCTATCTTGTGCTGTAATATCAAAGCCATTTACTACCTACCGTTACCTGTGCTTTCGGAACTTACGGCCACACTGTAGCTTGCTTCTGTCCCTTGAAACACAAGTTTCCAGATCTCAAGCGCTGAGCCCAGGTGAGAACTGAACTCTGTGGATGACACAAAGGCTTTGATGAGAGCAACAAGGCCTCTGGGACAGCTCTGGTGCCTCTGAGACTCCAGGCCTTGGGGATCCCAGGGCAGTTCATCTTTTATCTAGAAAAATAGCGCTGATTACTTATCATTGTCCCGATACTCTGTGGGCATAGATTGCCTTAAATGTTTCAACTAGGATGCAGAAACCAAGTAAGACAAAGCCCACACGGCCCAGAGTCTGTAGCTCCTGCCTTGCAGGCAGTCCTGGGCCAAGTTAGCCGCTGCTGATGCAGTGGCTCTCGGGCTGGAAAGGCCCTCAGCTCACAGCAGCTGCTGCCTGGATTCTTCCGAGGCTGGCCTGCCCTCCGCTCACCACCCCACTGTGCAGAGCCCTGTCCTACCAGCGGCTTCCTCTGGTCCTGCGGATGTGAGCACCCGGCCCTCCTTACTCTGAGTCCTTAGCAGGAATTCTCAGAAAAGAGGTGAACACGCACACGGAGCTCTCCCGCAGAGCCAGAGTAGCTACAGAGCTCAGGGACAGATCCTGGAGGTGGACTTGGGAGAGGCTTTCGAAAAGAAGGAGAGGTCTGCAGAGGGGCAGCCAGCCTAGGGCTGAGGGCAGGTGAGAGGGGAGACCCCTGGGGCAGGGCCGTGCACGCCCGTGGAGAGGCGGGGTGGGGAATGGGAGATGTCTTGTGGATGTGGGTGGGGACCAGAGCCCAAGACCTCCATGCTGGCTGGGAGCACCGTCTCACAGATGGTGGAGGGCTGTGGGGGTCTGGGCAGCAGCACCACGTGAATGAGGAGTCTCGTCTGCTCGGCTTGTTGGGCGGGCCTGGAGCCTCTGCCTCCCAGAGAGCTGACCGGCTCAGGGGGTGGTTCTGCAGGATCCCGCAGGAGGAGGATGAATAGGAGTTTCAGAGTCAGAGAAACCTGGATTCCAGCCCCAGCGTTGGCTGATCTGAGGCTCTGGGCAAGTCCCGCAAGGTCTCAGTGTCTTCATCTGTAAAGTGGGACTAGAGGCACCTTCTTCACAGGGCTTAGGTGAGGGCCAAATGGGATAAACACACTTGGCTTTGATATCAGTGAGTGGCACACGCCAGGGACTCAGTGAGTGTGGTCTGCTTGGTCCCCACCCTCCTCCGTTCCCCACCCTCCTCCCCCACCCTCCTCCGTTCCCCACCCTCCTCCGTTCCCCACCCTCCTCCGTTCCCCACCCTCCTCCGTTCCCCACCCTCCTCCGTTCCCCACCCTCCTCCGTTCCCCACCCTCCTCCGTTCCCCACCCTCCTCCCCCACCCTCCTCTGTTCCCCACCCTCCTCCCCCACCCTCCTCCGTTCCCCACCCTCCTCCCCCACCCTCCTCCGTTCCCCACCCTCCTCCCCCACCCTCCTCCGTTCCCCACCCTCCTCCCCCACCCTCCTCCGTTCCCCACCCTCCTCCGTTCCCCACCCTCCTCCCCCACCCTCCTCCGTTCCCCACCCTCCTCCCCCACCGCCACTGTCTTCCCCTCTTCCCTCCCCGTCCGCATAGTGTCTATTCTGGCAGGTCTCTCCTCCCCAGCCTCCCAGGGAAAGGTCAGATTTCACATCGCATGTATGTATCTGTGTCTGTTTTCCTCTTTCTCATGGTGAAATCCTTCAAGGTTAGCCCCAACTACTCCCCTTGCTGGGGAACAAATCTCCATAGCAACCAGTTCCTGGCTCTGTCCTTCCTTCTTCCCCAGGCTGAGACCTCAGTCCTCTTAGGATGCAGCTACCCGAGCTGCTGCTTCTAGGGGACGGTCCAGTCCCTCTGCCCAGTGACGCCCATGACAGTGGCAGGACTGTCTAACTTAGGGTGGTCAACCAGAGAAACTCAGATCCCTTGGATTTCTGCCCGAAGGCCACTGGAAATGCATGTCCTATACTCTGTTTGTGAGCCCCGAGGCTGAAGGAGGGCTGAATGGCTGGGCGCATCTGGCAGCCGGGCAGGGGATGTGATGTGGTGTGCGTGGTGGTGCACAAGCTGTGCAGCAGAGGTGCAGGCCTGACTCTTCACTGGAAGCTCAGCATCTCTCCTGAGGATGCCGCCTTGGAAAGGGGGAGGCCGTCAACGAGAGATGAAGCTCTCTGTTCTGGGCCAAATTTAAGCCAGTTTTAAATAATGCAATTGGCTTCGGAGGCCCCAGAGTCTCCAGGAGGAATTAATAATGGATGAGCTTTCCTCCTGCATCCCTCCTCCCTTCCAGGGTGCTGCAGAGGATCCTCTCTGCCGAGAGCCTGCCTGGTCCTGCCCTGGCCTCACACGGGTCTGGCGGGGGGCTGGAGGGCGCCCAGCTTGGGGAGCAGGCCTGGGTTGGTCTGCGTGGAAGCATGCAGAGGCCTCGCTGCTGCATGGAAGAGCCTTTCCTGGGCCTCTCCTGCTGTCCATCACCAAGTGCTGGCCATGTCCCAAGGGCCGTCCTCACCTCCTCCCTCTCCCCCACATCCCCGGGCTGCCAGGTCCTGGATTCTGCTGCTCTGTGACCTCAGCTCACCCTCTGGTTTCCTTCCCTACAGCCTCTGCCTGTGTCCTGGCCCTCACTGCACCCCCAAGATTAAGGCCATGGCCTCTGCAGCCCCCCACCTCCAGTGCAGCCACCTGCGGGGGAGTGGCCTTGCTAAGTCCCATCTGACGCCTACAGCGGCCTCACTCAGCAAGACCCATCTGACGCCTACAGCGGCCTCACTCAGCAAGACCCATCTGACGCCTACAGCGGCCTCACTCAGGGCCCTTCTCTGGCCCCCATTGCTCCCGGGACCAAGTACACCCTCCTCGGCTGCTGTGAGAGTCCACACCCCTGAGCCCCTCCTCGGTGACCGGCACTGTCTGTCCCAGTCTCCCAGGTCTGCCGGACCCTCTTCCTGCCCTCCTGTGCTGACACCCCTGACCGCTGCAGGCCCAGCTCAGGTGGCCCCTCCCAGACTGGCTGGCGGCTCCTGCCCATGGGCTTCTTTTGGGGACATTTAGGACAAATCCGTGGGAATGTCTGTTTACGTGCCTGGCTCTCTCCTGAACTGCAGCTTTTCAAAGCAGGCCTGTGACCTCTCATTGTTTCCTGAGGGTCCAGGGCCTCTCCTGGCATGGAGAGGGCTTCGCAGAGTTGATGAATAAATGAACCATGGGTGAATGAACTCAGAGGCAGCGGAAGGAAGGGAGGAGGGAGTGAGGAATTAGGAAGGCAGGGGGGCCTTTCTCCTCTCCTTTGGAACAAGCGATGGACATGGGTTGTGTGTGCCAAGCCAGCAGGCTGGCATGTGCTGGAGGGCCGGGCTGAGGCTGGGTGCAGGGGAGCGGATTAGCGGATTAGCTCCAGCTAATCCAGCTAATCAGCAGATCAGCTCCAGGCTGTCTCAGGGACCACTCGGGCTAGCAGAGTGCACTCATCTCCCACTTCTCTCCTCTGCCCAGACCTCCTCTAAACAGTTGGGTGTAGGAGGAACCGAGCACTGTCCCCGTGCCTCTCAGGGTATTTTCACGGTGGGCCATGGGGCAGAAAGTCAGGGTGCAAGGCTTGCTCCTCTGCGGTCAGGGCCGAGGGGGCACCCTTCCCCCAGGCAAGGCTGGGCTGCCCCTGGGTATGGGTGCATTAGCTGAGGGGCAGGACGGGAGATGGTGACCTTCCAAGCTGGCCCTTTCGCAGGGCCTGTGCAGTCCTCCTGCCGCCTGGGAGGAGGGTGGCTTGGGCCCAGTGCTCTCGGGGCTTGTTTGGCCGCCTGGGACCCTGCACCGGCTCTGCCTGGGAAGCACGTTCCATTCTGCTGCACTGCAGAGCCGTGAGGGGCTGCTGCTGTGGGCACAGGGGCTGGCCCGGAGGCCCCGAGCGCTGCGGGCACATCCTCCCCAGGCTTGGGGCTGGCAGATAGCAGCCGTGCAGGGCACCGGGCCAGCCCACAGGTCGGGGAGGGTCAGCAGGAGACCCTGTCTGAAGGCCAGGGTGTAACCGGGCAGAGTCGGCTCAGGTTCCGGCCCGGGAGGGCATGCACACTCTGTTTCCCAGGCAGGGGCCGAAGTGCGCCGCCATGCTGCTTTTGTTTGGCTGTGTGTCGTGGACTGGCTGCCAACCACCCTGGATGCCAGGGCCTGATGCTGGGATCAGGGGTTCAGGCTGCAGGGAGAGTGGGGGGTGCCCAAGGGCCAATGTTCTAAGTGACAGTTGTGCCAAGCTGGCCCTGTGTACCCTGTCTCCATTCTCTTCCTACACAGTGGGAGATCTGGGCTCGTGTCCCCTCAATGACCATCAGATGGCAACAAAGAGGCCTGGGAGACCCTGGGGAGCCAAAGCCCTGCTCTGTGGGCAGCTGAAAGGGACACAGAGCACATTGCACCCATAGAACACAGTGTGACTTCTGGTGCCAGCCCCAGGGCCCATGGGGCAAGGGCCGGGTCTTTCCCCAAACAAGCTTACAGATTTGTTGAATAGATGACCTTACACACATGCTTTACATGTACAGGTGAAGACACAAGAAAGAATTTCAAAACCCCAGATGCCAGCAGTAAAAAGTCACTAAGAGCCAGCACTGTGGGAGCAGGAGAAAATGCTCAGTGACCGTGTGTGCACACATGTGTGTCTGCGTGCCTGTGCATGAGTGTGTGTGCATACATACGTGCACATGTTTGTGTATGCGTGAGCATGTGTGAAAGCTTTGGACTCTTATCATGCAGGGATGGGACGGGAGGGCTTGAGTCTCCTCAGGGAAGGAAATGGAAAGGGAATCCCCAGGATACAGCAGGATGGCACAGCTCCGCCTGGGATTCTGGTGGGAGAAACTCTCCGGTGAGAAAGGGGTGTCCTGAGCCTCTGTTGTGAGCTGCTTTGGAGCTGGAGCTGACACTTTCCAGGTGGGGCCAGAAGTTCCAAGCAGAGAATGATCTTACGAATCAGTCTCAGGCCTGGGATACCTCAAGGTGCTGCGAATAAATCAACAAAACACTTAGGTCTTGTAGGAGTTATGTTGAGAAGAAAGTCTTGATGATTACCAGCTCACAATACAGCTTGAGCAGGACCCCATGTGTTTCTTTATGAACTCAGCTCAGCAGCCCAAGAAGCAGGAGTATCGGACTCTAAGCGCTGAGGGTAATGAGGCACAATGGAAGAGTAATAATGATGGTTATTAAGGAGCTGAGAGGAGCACAAACCCTAAAGGGGGAACAAGACATTATGATACAAGAACAGGGAGGTTTGAAAAAATGGACCTCTGAAAATAGCATGGGTAACGCTAAAATGAAACCCTGAACAGGTGAGTTCAACAGCTCGTGAAATACAGTGAAGAAAATCACAAGTGAAGAGGAGATTGGTTAGAGGACATCACCCAGGCTGTGGCATGGGGAGACGAGATGAGAAATACAACAGAAGGCTGGGTGCAGTAGCTCACACCTGTAATCTTAGCACTTTCGGAGGCTGAGGCTGGAGGATCCTTGAGGCCAGGAGTTCGAGACCAGCCTAACTCTCAGACAGAGCGAGACCCCATCTGCCCACAAAATTAAAATTTTAAAAAAATTAGCTGGGTGTGATGGCAGGCATCTGTGGTCTCAGCTACTTGGGAGGCTGAGACGGGAGGATCACGTGAGTCCAGGAATTCAGGGCTATGGTGAGCCATGATCATGCCACTGCACTCCAGCCTGGGTGACAGAGTGAAATCCCATCTCTAAAAAATAAAAATAAAAGGAATACAACAGAGAAGTTCGAAGACACAGAGGAGAGACTTAGCAAGTGGGATGATAAAGAGGGTGGGGGAGATGCTGTACTCAGTGAGAAAATGGCTGAGGAATTAGCAGGACCAATGAAAGACACGAGTGTTCAGATGGAGAAAACAGAAGCACGGAAATTGAAGAATTGTTCCCTTATTGGGCTGAGTCAATTTATTCATACAGCAAATATATTCTGAGCACCTCTGAGACACGGGCACGGGTGGGTTAGCTGAGGAGCAGGACGGGAGATGGTGACCTTCAGAGCTGGCCCTTTCGCAGGGCCTGGGCAACAGCATTTGCTCCAGATTACAACAGTCTGCGCAGGAATATTGAGCACGGGAGTAGCTCTGAGAGAGGTTAGATGATTTGCCATTGGTCCATGGTGGGGGACCAGCATGGCTGAGCTGGGGGCCAGGGCTGTCTGCTCCCTGTGGGCTCTGCTCACTCTACCTCCTGTTCCAGAGGGGCCGGAGCCAGGCAGCAGAGGGGTGAAGGCACCCTGTGCTCCTGACACCTGCTCCCAAGACATCCCTTCCTTCTCCGGTGGTCCCTCTCGGTTTCTAGCAGATGCCTTGCTCTAGGCTAGAGACTGGCCCATGTCCTGAGGCCTGGCAGTCCCAGAGCTTTGGGGCCCCCTTCCCCACACTGTGTGGGGCCCTGCCTGCTCTTGTCTATTGGGACCTCTTTGAAGGCCTCGAGGCCCTGACCCTGGACCCTGTTCCCTATGAACGACATCCCTGGCAGCACCTGCTTGTGCTCCAGGCAGAGTGGAGAAGGTCTTGTGCATGCAGGGGAGCCAGGTTAAAAGTGCATTTCAGATAACAGCACTTGAGAAATCCGAAGTGTGTCTCTCACACCGCAGGGTGCACTGTGTGTACGTACATGTGTGTGTATGTTGCATGGCTACACGGTAGAGGCAGAACACTGGGTCAGCTCCTAGCATCACAAGGTGTGGACAGGGGCCTCATGGGGATGGGATGGAGGGGTGCAGGCTGCTGGGGGGCCCTTCCGGAGCAGGGCTGGAATGCTCCCTCCTACTCCGACTGGGCTCCGTGCTCCTCCTGCTGCTCTTACAACTGCTCAGGTTCGCACCAAGCTCCCAGCGTGAAGAGGTGCGGGTGCTGCTCGGCGTTCTATGCCCGGAGCTCTGTGGCCCTGTGCCCGCCCTTCCTCTCTGAACCACTCTTCCTCATCTGTGGAAGGAAACTTTGGCACAACAGCTTCCTTCAAGCTCCCACAGTTCATGCTTCCTCACAGGGAGGCAGGCAAAGCCTAGGGGAGAGGCTCACCCTGTGGAATTTCTCTTTGGAAAGAGAAAAAGTTCCATCCATCACTCCCGGTGAAGGCTCTGTGATGGGTGGCCACGGCTCCCAGATGGGCCCACTGCCCATCTCTCAAAAAGAGGAAGAGGGAGGCTTGCCAGGGTGAGATAAGGGAGTGTTTCCCTGGATGGCCCTGGGCGTTCATTACCTGTGTGGCCAGGACAGGAGAGCATTCATCCTGGGCCAGGAGACGCACTCTCCGCAGAGCCTTCACTGTGGCTACGAATTGCTCAGTTCAGGCGCAGACAGCCATGGTGTAGGGAGCAGGGGAGGAGAAGGCAGGCCCAGAGCAGGTGCAGTGGGGCAGCGGCACCCAGGATACAGGCAGCGTGGGCAGGGTGCTGTGGGCTCCGCAGGCCACGCACAGCATGGCTTTGCATGTCCTGTGAGCACCCGTGGCACTCGTGTGCCAAAGGCGGTGCTGGGTACAGTCACACCCACCCTCTCGTTCAGTCCTCCCAGAAACTCCGTAAGGGATATGCTACTTTTTTTAGTGACGACATTATTTATTGTCTGAGCTGAGACTCTTGGAAGTGAAAGAAGTGTGATGGATGATTATGTGGGGGCACGAGAACGTTCACTGTGAGGGTCCCAGGCAAACTGAGCGACCAATTCCCCGGTGGTAAAACAGACTCAGGTGCGAGTTAGTTTTGCGTGAGGCTCAGAGGCAAATCTAGGACTTCCAATGCTAAGCTTTTAGCCCTTCTTCTGCCCTGTAACCCTGGACTGCAAGGCCGGCCAGCAGGTTTAGTGGGGCACCATCCCCAACTCCGCTGGGGAAGTGCAGAGGCCACAGGCACTTCCTGATGGCAGCCCACCATCCCCAGAGGTTTGGGGCCACTTCCTCCCTGCCTGACCCTTCATTCACTGGCAGCCGAGTGCTGCTCTCTTTCTTTCTTTCTTTTTTTTTTCAATTAAAATAAATAATGAATCAACTTTAAAGCTCTCATAGAGAATATAAGCTAAATTACAATGTGTCAGAGGCACATTACCCCAATGGCAATATTTTCTAAAATGTCTCTTCTCTTTTTTTTGAGACTGAGTTTTGCTCTTGTCACCCAGGCTGGAGTGCAATGGCGCGATCTCAGCCCACTGCAACCTCTGCCTCCAGGGTTCAAGTGATTCTCCTGCCTCAGCCTCCCAAGTAGCTGGGATTACAGGCGCCCACCACCGTGCCCAGCTACTTTTTGTATTTTTAGTAGAGATGAGGTTTCACCATATTGGCCAGGCTGGTCTCAAACTCCCGACCTCAGGTGATCCACCCTAGTGCTGCTCTCTTTCTGGGTCAAACCTGACCAGGGGCAGACGGCAGTTCCCTCCACGGACTGCCGGGGCCGGACTTGCTGGCCACCCAGGAAGCTCCTCTCCCGCCCAGGAAGCTCCTCTCCCCCTCCCCGGTTCTGCTTAGGTCAGTCCCTCCACACTCAGATACGCAGCTCTATGATCCTGGCCAGCGTCCCTTTGCTCATTCTTTGAAGAGTGATTTGTTTGTCTAATGTCTTCCTTTTCCCAGCATGTGACAAATTTTTCTCCTGGAGCGTGGCTTTCTGAGCATAGAGGTTGGGTTTCCTCTTGCTGGGCGTCCTACCCACACACCACTTGTATGTGCATGTTTAGGTACATGTGTGCATGTGTGTGTATATAAATAGATGTACATTTTCACCTGTTTGGTTGTAGACAAATTATTTTGCTCCTTCCTTCATTCAACACCTATTTTTTGAAAACCTGTATATATAGGTTCTGAGGATACAGTTTTTTTTTTAAAGATTTTATAAAGCCTATAACCCAAATCTGACATTTTATTGGAGGACACAGGCAATAACCAAACAAAAAATACATTTAAAAATATTAGATAGTTTTAGGTGTTATGACGGCAAATAAATCAGGATTAAGGGCTACAGTGACAAGGTGCAGGTGGAGGGACCACTTCACCCAGGGCACAGGGAGATCTCCGTGGTGAGGCCGTCTGAGCAGAATCTGACTGAGCTAAGGCAGTGAGCTCTGCAAACGTCTGGTGGCCAGAGGGCAGAAAGGGCCCAGGCTTGGCTTGACTTACTCCAGGATTACCAAGGGGCCAGTGTGAGAGACTGGGAGAGGCAGGCAGCGGATGGAGCTCCTGGGTCCTTGAGGGCCATGAGGCCTGACTTAGATTCTATTCTGAACGTCATGGAAGCTACTGGAGGATATTAAGCACTGAGTGAATGAGAGCTGAGTTACATTCAAAAACCGGACTTGGGTGGGTATGCTGAGAAGCTGAGAAGATGTAGCAGAGAAGCAACAGGCGAGGCAGCAGGGATGGCAGGGCAGAGGGAGGCAGGAGACTCTTTAGCTTTAGGAGGCCGTGGTAGGATCCTGGAGTGGAGGACGGTGCCTTGCCACAGTGGCAGCCAGCAGCCTTGAGGAGGTGAAGAGCGACTTCCCAGGGATATCTTAATGAGGAGGAAGTAGCGACTTCCTGATGGATCGAAAGCAGATGTGAATGGAAGAGAGGAGTCAAGGACGCACCTGGGATTTTGGGCACATTGGTGAAAACTAGTGCTGTGCATGGAGAAGCAGGTTGGGAGGTGCAAATCAAGGAGGCTGTTTGAAGCGTGGCGCCTTTGAGATGAGTGATGAGCAGGTGCCTATTCGACAGAAGACAGTTCTCATGTGACGCTGGGGAGGCCTGGAGAAACGGCTCAGATGCAGGGGGAGAGGCAGGCTGGAGGGAGGGGGCTGGGAGCAGGGCCAGGACATGCTTCGGGCACAAAGGCAGCGAGGAGCTGCAGACAATCACAGGGATGCCCAGTGGAAGAAGATCAATGGCCGGGCTGTGTGAGGAGTGGCTGACCGTGCAAACAAGCCCTGGACAAAGAAATCTGTGAAGAGTTGAAGGGAGCCTCCTGGGAGCAGGGGAGCAGCTCCTGCCTGGAACCCCGGGGCGACGGACGGGCAGTCGAGGCTCTCAGGGAAGGAGTTCCGCTGCTCTGACCCTCCGCACTGGCCAGCAGCCCTGATGAACTCATTGCAGGCGTTCTTCCTCGGCCTGCTCCCCTCTTAGTCTGCAGCCAAGGCTCCCCTCCCCATCTTTTAAGGGCATAATCTATTTGCCACCTCCACTTTTGTGTCACTTACTCTCAGCTCCTTGCAATCTGACAGTGAGAGGAGGGGTTAACTGCCCAGGGCTGGGAGATGGAGACAGCATTTTCCTCTCTCTGCCCCAGCTCCTTGAAAAGATCTTGGGTAGCAACACAGAGGTATGACTCTGGTCAGGGAGCTCAGGTGCCAGTGCCCTCTTCTAGGATGGCCCTGGGCCTCTTCTTCCAGCCCTGCCCACCCGATGGAGGCCTTACTAAAGAAAAAGCACACTGTTATGACAGCCTCTCTTTATAACACTCAGGGAAGTGGGTGTAGGACTAGCTTCCCAGGTGGCCCCAAGCATGGCTGGAGCCAGCACAGTGCGGGCACTCAGCAGGTGCTCATTAAATATTAGCTGCTATTGTCAGTTGCTATCGTGAAGCACGTGGCAAGTGCCTGATACTGTGGTGAGTGTTTTACAAAAGTCTGTCTGATTTTATATTCACAAATTATTTACAGGGCATATATTACTGTATTGTTCCATTTCTATAAATGAGAAAGCTGAGGGTCAGAGAGGGTGGTGAGTGCCACAGGTCGTGCGGTTATTACAAGGAGGACCGCGTGACAAGAGTGTGTGCTGCCTAGGAGGGTGAGAGTGGAAGGCCTCTGTCAGCCGCACGGAAGAGAGCCACGTGCCTCCCCTCCCCTTTCCAGTGGCTGGGGAAGAGCATGCATGGGGCCACATTTCACGGTGAATTATGGAATTATGCCTCACAGCAAACAGCAGTCATAGTGCAGTTGGATGTAATGAAACGAAGTTTGTATTGGAATCTATTATGGTCCCAACATAAATTAATTATAACCCTTCTGCTGGAGGGAAGCTTCTTACAGAATTAAAGTTTTGCTGGAGGAGGAGGAGGGAGTGGGGAAGGGCCGAGTAACAGGGAGCCTGAAATGATTCTCTTTGCTGGGGCTCAGGTTGGCAGGGACCCCAGCCATCATCCCCCACATTGGCTGCAGTAATGGTGCCTCCTCCTGAGCCCCTTTAATGTCAGGTATGCCGTATACGTTGCCTAGCTTGATTTTTGAAACACTCTTGTGAAGTATTGATGGCTTGAGTAGTTGTCCCCTCCAAATCTCATGCCGAAATGTGATTCCCCAATGTTGGAGGTGGGGTGTGGTGGGAGGTGTTTGGGTCATGGGGGTGGATCCCTCATGAATGACTTGGTGCCCTCCCTGTGGTTATGAGTGAGTTCTTGCTAATAGAGTTCTCTGGAGAACTGATTGTTAAAAAGATTGTTAAAAAGAGCTTGACTAACTGGGCATGGTGGCTCACGCCTGTAATCCCAGCAATTTGGGAGGCCGAGGCAGGTGGATCACCTGAGGTCAGGAGTTCGAGAGCAGCCTGATCAACATGGCAAAACCCCGTCTCTACTAAAAACACAAAAAATTAGCCGGACGTGGTGGTGCAGGCCTGTAATCCCAGCTACTCAGGAGGCTGAGGCAGGAGAATCACTTGAACCTGGGAGGCAGAGGCTGCAGTGAGTGGAGATCATGACATTGCACTCCAGCCTGGGTGACAAAAGCTAAAACTCCAAATCAAAAAAAAAAAGAAAAAAAAACTAAAGAAAAGAGCTCGACACTGTCTCCCCTCTTTTCTCTTCCCCCTTCTCTCACCATGTGAAGCCAGCTCCTCTTCACCTTCCACCACGAGTGGAATCTCCCTGAGGGCCTCATCAAAGAGGGGGTGGCCGTCATAGGTCGCACAGTTATTACGAGGGGTCTGTGTGAGCTCCTGGTCGTGCTGGCTCTGTGCTTCTTGCACAGCCTGCAGAACTGAGAACCTAATAAACCTCTTTTCTTTGTAAATTACCCAGTCTCCAGTGTTCCTTTAGAGCAAGATAAAATAGGCAAAGACAGGTATCATCAGCCTAGTTTACAGATGAAGAAACTGAGGTTGAGGGACTTACACAAGGCAGCACTGCCAGTGAGGCCTGCTAGTCTCCAAGGCTGAAGCATGACCGCCTCCCACCTCTCAGCCTCAGGCTGCAGGCCACACTTAAACTCTTCCCCGCTGTATAATTCTGATCAAGCCACTTAGTCAACTCTCCAGCCCACAGCTCCTCGGTCTGTAAAGGAGAGTTCATATCTAGTTAGTCACCAGATCTGCCTAATCATGGTGAGGCTGGAGGAATCCAAAGTGGGCATGCACTCTGCACTCATTTCTTTATTCATGTGTGCCCATCCCAACAAGCAGGGAGCCTGGCCAGGAGGGCCCCTGGGAGAAGGCACTGATGGGCTGTGTTCCATTTAGGAAGGATGGACGGTTGTGAGACGGGTAAGTCAGAACGGGCTGCCCACCTCGGCCGAGAGGGCCCCGTGGTGGGTTGGCACCATCTGGGCCTGGAGAGCTGCTCAGGAGGCTCTCTAGGGCTGGGTGACCAGGGCTGGGTGACAGTAGCCATGGGAGCAGGTGCTTACCTGGGGCTGTCCCTGAGCAGGGGCTGCATTGGGTGCTCTGTGAGCACACACTTCTCTATTCACCTGAGTCCCCTGAGTGATGAGAACACCCTTGTTTTGCAGATGAATCTGAGCATGGAGATGTTAAGTGGCTTGCCTGAGCCACACAGCAGATGGATGGTGTAGCTGGGACCTGAGGGCAGGCAGTCCCAGCCCGAGGACTTCCCAAGGTTGTGGCAAACTCTGACAGCATGACCCCAGGGAATACCCATCTCAGCTCTGGTCAGACACTGTGGAGTTGTGTTGTAACCCACACAGCTGGAGACAGCCACCCTAGCCCCACCCTTATCCTCTCCCAAAGGAACCTGCCCTTTCCCTTCATTTTCCTCTTACTGCATTGAGGGACCACACAGTGTGGCAGAAGGAACATGGATTCAGGACCCAGATGGACTTGCTTCACAGTGCAGCCCTCCTGTCCTCTTGCAGAGTGCGTCTTCCACTGTGAAGTTGGGACAGTCACACCAACTCAATACTGCTGGGCCCGTCACACGGTGGGCAGGCAACGGATGGCAGTCACTGGCTGTGGGTCTGCAGAGGTGGGATCCAGAAGGTCTGGTGGGGAGGCCTGAGTGTGGCCTGGATCAATGAGTGAAGGTTGCACCCAGGGTGAGCATGAGGAGCCAACTCAGTTCTTCCCTTGGCCCCTTAAATGTTCCCTGAAAAATCACTGACATGAGGCTGATGGATTCATAGGAGAAGAGGCACACAAATGTGTCCAATGTGTGTACACAAGAGCCTTCAGAAAGAAGACCCAAAGATACAGGAAAATTGTCCATTTTCATGCTTAGGTTCAGCAAAGTATGGACAGTCATGTAGAAAGAGGACTGGACAAAAAGGGCGTGGTCTAATGCCAACAGAGTGAGTGGGGAACCCAGCAAGGCCTGTCTGTCTAGATTCTTTCTGGTCTCTCTGAGCAGCATATCCCGCCCTTCCGGGTATAGGGCGGGGCCCTCTCTGGAATGGGGGCCTTATGACCTACAGTCAAACAAGGCAGGTCAGGTCATTTTTTTATGGCCAGTTTTAACACAGAAGTCTGATGGCTGGCATTGGCGAAAAGGGGTTCTGGTTTCTATGACTTGCCTTCGTAAAGAGGGATTCTAATTTGTATGGCTAGCCTTTGGGGAGAATGGGACAGCTTGTAAGGCTGAGGCCTGCATTTTGGGATACTGTTTTCTGAGCCCCAGCTTGTGCATGCATGCGAACATATGTGTGTGTGTGCAGGAGGCAGCCCGGCAAAGAAGCTGAGTGGGGAGTGGGCCTGTGGGTCAGAGGGTAAGGGGGTGCAAAAGGGCCACAGTGGGCTTGGAGCCCAGGGCAATGGGGCAGGGGAGCTTGAGGCTCGTTACAAAAGGCCTGGCTGCTGAAAGTCCCCTCTCTGCCTCCTTCCCAGGCCAGCAGCCTGCACACCTCCTTTGCTCTCGGCAGGAGGGAAGTTGCTTTCATCACCTGAGGTTCTGCTGCTGGAAAGTCTGTCCTCCTTTCCTCTTCTCTCCCATCTCCCCCTCTCCCAAGGGTGCTCTGGCCCCCATGCTCACACCATGCTCAGTCCTACAGGTACAGAAACAGCCAGCCAGGGTGTTGCCCCCAGTCAAATGCAGGGGCTTTGTGCCTGGGAGCTAAGCATATCCGCATAACATCTGCTTGCACTTGCTCTGGCAGACTGCAGCTTTATCAAGTTCTCAGGGGGCTGAGCAGTGAGCTCAGAAATCTGAGATCTGACCTACTTTCCTCAAAGCATCTTTGGGCCTGTTTCCATCCTCCCTGCTCCTGGGCCTTGTTTCATCTGTCCATGGGCAGGTGCCTGCGTCCTTGCTGACTGCCGGCTACCTTTGCTGTCCTGCTGCCAGACCTCCGACTTCCTCCCTCTTCCTTAGCACAAGGTCTTTAGAGTTGCAGAAACTCAGGCCTGTGGAGTGTCTGATGGCCCCTGAACAAACCATGCAGATCCTCATGACTGCCCTGATTCTGTCAGTCAATCTGCATTAGGAAGAGACACAGAGGACAAGACATGGTCTCTGACCTTGAATAGAGCAAAGTCTGATGAAAAGAATGAGCAAGGGTGGACTAGAGGGCTGAGAGCAGCACAGCTTAGCCACTTGCCACCACCCAACCCCGGGGCCTTTGCACATGCTGGGCCTCATGGGAGCCAGCTCTTGGCCTCTGTCCCCTTGGATCTCAGACGGGCTTTGCCTCCCTCAACACGATCTGAGTTAGGACCCTTTCTCCCCTCCCCTGCTCTGTGCAGTCCTCCTCACGGCTCTCTGATGGCTGTGATTGCTGGTTTAGAGGCTATCTTCCCACTAGACTGCAGGTTTCCTGAGGACAAGGCCCACCTCTGCTTCCTTCTCCACTTGATAGCCAGGGCCCGCAGGGGGTCAGGCTCTGGGTGGACATCAAGTAAGTGTTACTGAATGAGTGAATAAGTGAGTGAGAGTGTGTGGACCCCTGGTTTGCTTTTCCCTGTGAAGAAACAGGAAGGAAAGCCCTCTATGAGAATCCTGAGTTGAAAAATCCTGTGAAGCACTGACTTCCTTCGAAAAAGGGAAAAGAGGAGAAAAGTAACTGCAGTGGAGAACTTGACAAGCACTCCCTCGGCCAGGCGACCAACGCAGCATCCGCAGGGATGAGTCATGCTGACACTAAGTGCCCTTGAAGAGATGGGACGGGAATGGCATTTTACCTCCAGGGTCTTCCTCCCACAGATGCAGAGCACAGTCTAATCATAACAAAACCACCAGACAAACTCCGACGGAAGGTTGTTCTACACAATAACCTGATCGTACTCGTCAAAACTCATCAAAAACAAGAAAAGTCTGGGAAATTGTCCCAGCCAAGAGAGGTCTGAGGAAACATGATGGTAAGAGGTAATGTCATGTCCTGGATGGCAGGAGTCCCCAACCTTTTTGGTGACCTTTTTCCATGGATGGTGGTGGGGGAAGGTTTCAGGATGAAGCTGTTCCACCTCAGATCATCAGGCATTAGTTAGATTTTTGTAAGGAGTGTGCAACCTAGATCTCTCACGTGCGCACTTCACAATAGGGTTCACGCTCCTATGAGAATCTAATGTGGCCTCTGATCTGACAGGAGGGAGAACTCAGGTGGTCATGCTCCCTTGCCCGCTGCTCACTTCCTGCTGTGTGGCCAGTTCCTAACAGGCCACGAACGGGTACTGGTCCACGGCCCAGAAGTTGGGGATTCCTGCTGTATGGAATCCTGGGAAAGAAAAAGTATATTAGGGGAAAATTAAGAAAATAAGAATAAAATACAGACTTCAGCTAATATTAATGCATCCACATTGGATCATGAGTTGTAATAACTAAACTATAATAATGTAGGATGTTGACAATGGGAGCCTGAGTGTGGAGTATATGGAGACTCTCTGGGTTGTCTTCTCAAATTTCCTGGATATCTGAAACTATTTTAAAATTAAAAGTTTATTAAAGGCTGGACGTGTCCCAGCACTTTGGGAGGCCAAGGCAGATGGATCACTTGAGGCCAGGAGTTTAAGACCAGCCTGGGCAACATGGTGAAACTCCACCTCTACTAAAACTACAAAAATTAGTTGGGTATGGTGGCACATGCCTGTGGTCCCAGCTACTCGGAAGGATGAGGCATGAGAAGAACTTGAATCTAGAAGGTGGAGGCTGCAGTGAGCTGAGATCATGCCACTGCACTCCAGCCTGGGTGACACAGCGAGACTCTGCCTCAAAAAAAAAATGCTATTAAAGGACTTCAGTTTATGGTTTGACGTGTAAAGAGCTTGGAAGTCATGACTCTATCCTAACAATAAGAAAATGTTGAACAAACTGAAAATTAACAACTCTCCTTAGATCCATTAAAGAATGGAGGTCACAAGCAAATGTCTGTCCCCGAAGTTATAGAGATGAGCTCTTACTGGAGCAGAAGCCCAAGATCAGTAACTGCCACAGAACCCTGGGCCAGAGCAGGACAGCCTAAACTAGAACCGTCAAAGTGAGGGAGGCTCCATGTGGACATGTTTGCAAGTTAGAAACTGCAGGAGGGGGTCTCGGTTGCAGGGGGGCCCACACATTCTCATGAGTTTTACCTCCAGAGCCCTAGCAGGTTTTTACAGTGAAGGCAGGAGAACGATCCCCCATGCTTGCAGCAGAGGGAGGGAAAAGCAGCCATTTCAAAACATGCGGAATTTATGCTGTGTTCTTCACAAGACCTGACCCCAGGGGAATCTGTTTTACCAAAGCCTAACTGACTAGGGTTTTAGCAGGGCCTAACCAACCTAGGGAAATATTCTACTCTAGCTCTCTCTAACCACTCTGTGTCACTTAAGGAGGAAAATAAAGCATAACTTGGAAGAATGCATGATGGTCACAGCCCAGGTATACAAGCTCAGTAGAAGACTGAGACCCCATCATAGGGCCATAGGATGCTTCCAGCCCCCACACACCTTACCCCCACACACCGTACCCCCACACACCGTACCCCCACACACCTTACCCCACACACCTTACCCCACACACCTTACCCCCATGCCGATGGGGTTCCTGTAGAACCACAAGGATTACAGCTAAAATAAATGCAAGATTCAGACTCTACTTAAGGAGGAGTTTCTTGGGAAAATCTAAGACGAGAGGGGAGATGAAAACAAGGATCCAGAAGCGATCTAAACTTGGATAGCCACAGTACAGCAATCGTGAACACAGGCAAAGAAACCACCTAAGAGACAGGGCAAGCATCAGATCCAGACTCAGACTGAGAAGAGACGATGGAACCGCCAGACCAGGAGTACGATACATCCATGACTAATATGCTAGGGGTCTAATGGGAAAAGTGGACAATATATTAAAAAAATGAGAAAGTTTCTTATCAGTAGACTGCCTTGCAAGAAATGTTAAATGAAATTTTCAGAGAGATAAAAAATGATGCAGGTCAGAAATCGGATATACATAAATAAAGAAAAGCACAAGAGAAGGAATAAATGAAAGTAAAATAAAATGTTTTTATTTTCTATTCTTATAGTAACACAGAACAGTTTGTTCGAAATAATAATAGCCACACCCTATGTGATGATTATAGCTTATGTATAAGTGAAAGGAATGACAGCAATGTTATAAGTGATCGGAGGAGGGAAGGAATTGGAAATACTCTGTTACACAGTAATCGCTCTACTCGCTAGTGGTATAGTGCTATTACAGAGGGGGCTAGAATTAGTTATAAATATATATTGTAAACTCAAGAAAAGCATAAAAATATACAACCATTATAAAAAGTTAAAATGTAGTATAATTCATACGCTAAGAGAGGAGAAGAAATGGAATTATACAAAATATGCCATTAAAACCAGAGAGGGCAGAAAATGAGTGGAAGACACAATAAGAAAAGAAAAGGAAACAAAGAACAAAGGAATTAAATAGAAAAGGGTAACAAATATAATAGATATCAACAAAAAATAGATACCAATGACAATTTTAAATATCAGTGTTCTAAAGACACTAATTAAAAGACAAAGAGTGTCAGAGTGGATGAGAAAACAAGACCCAACTCTATGTTGTCTGCAAGAAGCCTGTTTTACATATAAAGACACAGCGTAAAAATAGATGGACAAATAGATACCATGCTAACACTAATCAAAGGAGAAAGCTGGAATAGATATTAATTTAAAAAAGACCAGACTTCAGAGCAAGGAAAATTATCAGGGGTAAAGAGGGAAAAAAGCGTTAATTCTCCAAGGAGACACAGCAGTCCTTAAAGTGTATGCGTCTAACAACAGTGTCAAAATACATGGAGCAAAAATGGATAGAACCACAAGGAGAAATAGTTAATCCACTATTACAGTTGTAGATTTCAACACTCTTCTATCAGTAACTGACAGACCCAGCAGGCAGAAAATCAGTAAGGATGTAGTTGAACTGAACAGCACCATCAGTCAACTGGGTCCAGTTGATATTTGTAGAATAGTTTATTCAACAGAAGCAGAAAGCACATTCTTCTCAAGACCACGTGAAATATTCACCAAAATGGAAAGAATTATGGGACATGAAACGCACCTTAGCATATTTAAAATGACAGAAATTATACCAAGACGTCTTGGATCATCTCTAAAACATTAATGAAATTAAAATTGAAATCAATAACAGAAAAGTAGCCAGAAAATCCATAATATTTGGAGATTAAACAACACACATCTAAATAAAACATGAGTCAAAGGAAGTCTCAAGAGTAATTTAAAAATATTTCAAAATAAATGAAAAATTAAAATACAACTTATCAAAATTGGTAGGATACAGTTAAGTCAATGCTTAGAGGGCTATTTTTAGCATTGGATGCAGATATTAGGAAAGAAAAAATTAATAATCAAATTTTCTACCGTGGGAAGCTACAATAAGGAGAGGAAATTAAATTCAAAGTATATAGAAGAAAAGTAATACTAAGTAGAGCACAAATCAATGAAATTGAAAGCAGGAAATCAATAGAGAATATCAACAGGACCAAAAGATGGTTCTTTGAAAAGCTCAATAGAATCGATAAGCCACTAACCAGGTTAACTAAGAAAGAGAGAACACACAAATGATTGCTATCAAAAATGAAAGAGAGCTAATCTCTGCTGACCTTATGGACATTAAAAGGATAATGAGAAAATGTTATAAGAACAACTGTACACCCACAAATTTGATAACCTAGGTGAAATGGACCAATTCTTTGAAAGACACAATTTTTCAAAACTCACAACAAAAGAAATAGATAATTTGAATAGGCCTATATCTCTTAAAGACACTGAATTAATAAATAATAACCTTCCAAAACAGAAAGCACAAGCCCACATGGTTTCACTGGTGAATTCTACAATACATTTAAGGAAGAAATTATTACAATTCTCAACAATCTCTTTCAGAAAATAGAAGTAGATCGAGTACTTCATACTCATTATATCAGACCAGCATTATGTTAATACCTAAACCGGGTAGACATTACATTAAAGGAAAGCTACAAACGTATATTTCTCATAAATATACATGTAAAAAATCTCAAATCTCAATAAAATGCCAATCCCAACAACGCAGAGAAAGAATTACATACCATGGCTAAGTAGGATTTATCCCAGGTACACAAGGGTGGCTCAAGAGTTGAAATTAAATTAATGTAATTCAAGATACCAACAGGTAAAAGGAAAAAGACATATTATTATGTCAATAGATGCAGAAAAAGCAGTTGACAAAATCTAATACCTCTTCATGATAAAAACTCTCAATAAACAAGAAATAGAGGGGGGATCTTTCTTAACTTGATAAAGAACATCTACAAAACAACTACATCTAACATGGTGAGAACATGGTGAAAAACATCTGAATGGTGAGAAATTAGATGCTTTTCTGCTAAGATCACGAAGAAGGCAAGAATGTCTCTCCTGCCACTCCTTTTTTTTTGTACCATATTTTCTTTTTTCTTTTTTTTTTAAATATACTTTAAGTTTTAGGGTGCATGTGCACAATGTGCAGGTTAGTTACATATGTATACATGTGCCATGTTGGTGTGCTGCACCCATTAACTCGTCATTTAGCAGTAGGCATATCTCCTAATGCTATCCCTCCCCACTCCCCCCACCCCACAACAGGCCCGGTGTGTGATGTTCCCCTTCCTGTGTCCATGTGTACTCATTGTTCAATTCCCACCTATGATTGAGAACATGCGGTGTTTGGTTTTTTGTCCTTGTGATAGTTTGCTGAGAATGATGGTTTCCAGCTTCATCCATGTCCCTACAAAGGACATGAACTCATCATTTTTTATGGCTGCATAGTATTCCGTGGTGTATATGTGCCACATTTTCTTAATCCAGTCTATCATTGTTAGACATTTGGCTTGGTTCCAAGTCTTTGCTATTGTGAGTAGTGCCGCAATAAACATACGTGTGCATGTGTCTTTATAGCAGCATGATTTATAATCCTTTGGGTATATACCCAGTATTGGGATGGCTGGGTCAAATTGTATTTCTAGTTCTAGATCCTTGAGGAATCACCACACTGTCTTCCACAATGGTTGAACTAGTTTACAATCCCACCAGCAGTGTAAAAGTGTTCCTATTTCTCCACATCCTCTCCAGCACCTGTTGTTCCCTGACTTTTTAATGATCACCATTCTAACTGGTGTAGATGGTATCTCATTGTGGTTTTGATTTGCATTTATCTGATGGCCAGTGATGATGAGCATTTCTTCATGTGTCTTTTGGCTGCATAAATGTCTTCTTTTGAGAAGTGTCTGTCCATATCCTTTGCCCACTTTTTGATGGGGTTGTTTGATTTTTTCTTGTAAAGTTGTTTAAGTTCTTTGTAGATTCTGGATATTAGCCCTTTGTCAGATGAGTAGATTGCAAAAATTTTCTCCCATTCTGTAGGTTGCCTGTTCACTCTGATGGTAGTTTCTTTTGCTGTGCAGAAGCTCTTTAGTTTCATTAGATCCCATTTGTCAATTTTGGCTTTTGTTGCCATTGCTTTTGGTGTTTTAGACATGAAGTCCTTGCCCATGCCTATGTCCAGAATGGTATTGCCTAGGTGTTCTTCTAGGGTTTTTATGGTTTTAGGTCTAATATTTAAGTCTTTAATCCATCTTGAATTAATTTTTGTATAAGGTGTAAGGAAGGGATCAAGTTTCAGCTTTCTACATATGGCTAGCCAGTTTTCCCAGCACCATTTATTAAATAGGGAATCCTTTCCCCATTTCTTGTTTTTGTCAGGTTTGTCAAATATCAGATAGTTGTAGATATGTGGCATTATTTCTGAGGGCTCTGTTCTGTTCCATTGGTCTATATCTCTGTTTTGGTACAAATACCATGCTGTTTTGGTTACTGTAGCCTTGTAGTATAGTTTGAAGTCAGGTAGTGTGATGCCTCCAGCTTTGTTCTTTTGGCTTAGGATTGACATGGCAATGTGAGCTCTTTTTGGTTCCATATGAACTTTAAAGTAGTTTTCTCCAATTCTGTGAAGAAAGTCTTTGGTAGCTTGCTGGGGATGGCATTGAATCCATAAATTACCTTGGGCAGCATGGCCATTTTCATGATATTGATTCTTCCTACCCATGAGCATGAAATGTTCTTCTATTTGTTTGTATACTCTTTTATTTCATTCAGCAGTAGTTTGTAGTTCTCCTTGAAGAGGTCCTTCACATCCCTTGTAAGTTGGATTCCTAGGTATTTTATTCTCTTTGAAGCAATTGTGAATGGGAGTTCACTCATGATTTGGCTCTCTGTTTGTCTGTCATTGGTGTATAAGAATGCTTGTGATTTTTGCACATTGATTTTGTATCCTGAGACTTTGCTGAAGTTGCCTATCAGCTTAAAGAGATTTTGGGCTGAGACGATGGGGTTTTCTAGATATACAATCATGTCACCTGCAAGCAGGGACAACTTGACTTCCTGTTTTCCTAATTGAATACCTTTTATTTCCTTCCCTGCCTGACTGCCCTGGCCAGAACTTCCAACACTATGTTGAATAGGAGTGGTGAGAGAGGGCATCCCTGTCTTGTGCCAGTTTTCAAAGGGAATGCTTCCAGTTTTTGCCCATTCAGTATGATATTGGCTGTGGATTTGTCACAGATAGCTGTTATTATTTTGAGATACATTCCATCAATACCTAATTTATTGAGAGTTTTTAGCATGAAGCGTTGTTGAATTTTGTCAAAGGCCTTTTCTGTGTCTATTGAGATAATCATGTGGTTTTTGTCTTTGGTTCTGTTTATATGCTGGATTATGTTTATTGATTTGCTTATGTTGAACCAGCCTTGCATCCCAGGAATGAAGCCCACTTGATCATGGTGGATAAGCTTTTTGATGTGCTGCTGGATTCGGTTTGCCCGTATTTTATTGAGGATTTTTGCATCGATGTTCATCAAGGATATTGGTCTAAAATTCTCTTTTTTTTGTTGTTCTGCCACTCCTTTTTAACATTGTACTGGAAGTTCTAGCTAATGCAACAAGAAAAATAAAGGAAAGGAAATGAAATGTATACAGATTGGGAAGGAAGAAATAAAATTGTGTTTGTTCCCAGATGACATGATTGTTTATGTAAAAAATCCCAAAGAACCACCACCACCACCACCACCACCACCACCACCACCAACAACAACAACAACAAACTCTTGGAACTAATAAGTGATTATGACAAAGTTGCAGAATACAGGTTATGCTTTCTTTTGAGAAATGAATGACTAGAATTTAAAATTAAAAGCTCAATGCTGTCTATATTACCAGCAAAAAGTACTTATGTAAACATCTAACAAAATATGTACAATATTCATATGAAGAAAACTACCAAAATCTCATGAAAGAAATCAAAGAAGATGTAAATAAAATAGATATTCCATGGACATGGACAGGAATACTCAATATTATCAAGATGTCAGTTCTTCTCTACCTGGTCTATGGATTTAATGCAATCCCAATTAAAGTCCCAGCTAGTTATCCTGTAGATATTTTAACAAAACTGATTCTAAAGATAATTGGAAAAGGCAAAAATCCAAAAAAAAAAAAAAAAGATTCACTGGAAGAGGAAAGTTGGAGGACTACCTGTACGTGACTTTAAGATTTAACATAAAGTTATAGTAAACAACACAGTGCCCTACTGGCAAAAGAACAGACAAATGGATCAATGGAACAGAATGGAGAGCCCAGATATAGATCTACACAAACATACTCAACTAACCTTTGACAAAGAAGCAAAGACCACTTAATGGAGAAAGAGGCTTTTCAACAGACAGTTTTGGAGCAATTGGACATCCACATACAAAATAATACGCAGACCTTACACCTTTCACAATGAACTCAAATGGATCGTAGACCTAAATGTAAAATGCAAAACTATAAAATTTCCAGCATATAACATAGGTGATAAGCTAGGTGAGCTTTGGTTTGGTGATGACATTTTAGTTACAATGCCAAAAGCATAATCCATGAAAGAACAAACTGACAAGTTGGACGGCATTATAATTAAAAACTTCCACTCTGTGAAACACACTGCTAGAAGAATAAAAACATGAGTCAGACTGGGAAATAACGTTTGCAAACTTATTGGATAAAGGACTGGCATCTGAAAAGAACTGTCACAACTCAACCATAAGAAAACCAACAACCTAATTTAAAAATGGGGAAAATGTCAGAACAGACACCTCACCAAACAAGATATGCAGCTGGCAAATAAGCCTATGAAGAAATAATCAACATCATGTCGTCAGAGGATTGCAAAGTAAAAGAATGAGATACCACTATACACTTATTAGAACAGTAAAATCCAAAATGCTGACAACATCAAATATTGGCAAGGATGTGGAGCAACAGGAACTCTTGTTTATTTCTGGTGGAAATGCAAACTGGTACAGCTACTGTTGAAGACAGCTTGGCAGTTTTTTAAAATAATAAAATTAAACACACTCTTACCATAAATCTAGCAATTGTTCTCCTAGGTATTTACCCAAATGAATTGAAAACTTATGTCTGCAAAAACCCCGCACGTGACTGTCTATAGCAGCTTTAATCATAATTGCCAAAACTTGGAAGCAACCAAGTTGTCTGTCAAACTGTGGTACATTCGGACAATGAAACGTTCAGTGGTTTTTTAGAAATGAGCTATCAAATCATGAAAAGACATACAGGAACCTTAAATGCATATTGCTAAGTAAAAAAACCAATCTGAAAGGGGTATATTCTGTATGATTCCAACTATAAGGCACTCTAGAAAACTATGAAGACAGGTCATTGAGTGCCGGGGGCTGGTGGGCGTCAGGGGGAGGGAGGGATGCATTGGTGGAGCACAGAGGACCTTTAGGGAAGTGAAACTATTCTATATAATACTGTAATGATGGGCACATGTCATTACATATTTGTCAAAATCCATAGAGTGTATAATACCAACAGTGGCCCCTAATGTAAAGTATGTACATTTAGTGAAATGATGTCTCACTCTTGGCTCATCAATTGTAACAAACATACCACATTTAGGCAAGATGTTAAAAATAAGGAAGATGTGTAGGGAGGGTAAGGGGATCTATGGGAGTTTTTGGATTTTCCAATAAACTATTCTGTAAACCTAAAACTGCTTTAAAAAGTCTATTAATTAAAAATAAATAGGCTGGGTGCAGTGGCTCATGCCTGTAATCCCAGCACTTTGGGAGGCCAAGGCAGTTGGATCACCTGGATCACCTGAGGTCAGGAGTTTGAGACCACCCTGACCAACATATAGTGAAACGCTGTCTTTACTAAAATATAAAAATTAGCTGGGCGTAGAGGTGCATACCTATAGTCCCAGCTACTTGGGAAGCTGAAGCAGGAGAATCTCTTGAATCTGAGAGGTGGAAGTTGCAGTGAGCCGAGACAGCATCACACAACTCCAGCGTGGGCAACAGAGCGAGATACCATCTCTTAAAAAATAAATAAATACATAAATATGTAAATAAATAAATATAAAAATAAATACATAGAACAAAAACGTTCATTAAAAAACATGGAACATCAGACCCCTTTCCCTGCTGCCAGGGTGCAGACTCCCCAGCTCCCTGGAGTGACAGCGGGTGAGTGACAAGGAGGGCTGTTTCCATGGGCTTGGCCAGTGGCTCCAGGACAGCTGCCCAGGGCTCTTGCGTCACTGAGTGCACTGAACCCGGTACCTGGCCCACAGGCTGAGGGATGGTGGTTTTGACTCGACATGGGCTTGGGGCTGTGTGTAGTCAGTGAGGTCAATGCACAGCTGTTGGGGGGACGGGAGGTCTTTTGTGGACCTGGGGACTGAGATTCAGGATGTCCTGACAGAGTGGGACTGGGGCTCTAAATGGAGATCTCTTCTTTGGAAAATAAAAAAAAGAAATAAAAAGCAAATCTTTGCCCAACTCATGCACTCTGGGTCCACTCTGGCTGGCATTTCCCCTTTAAATGCCTCAGGAACTGTGTAAAACGTTTCCACAACCACTTTCACTGCGGTGCAAGAAAAGATCCAGGCCCTACACCATCCACTGTCCATTTTCAACCTGCTTTTTCCTCTTCTCCCTTAGCTGACTTACAGCTTACTGATGTCCTGCTTGAACTGTCTTTTCTTCCTAGTTCTAACGTAGCATCGTCTTTTCTCCCTAGTTCTAACGTAGCATCGTCTTTTCTCCCTAGTTCTAACGTAGCATCGTCTTTTCTTCTTAGTTCTAACGTAGCATCGTCTTTTCTTCCTAGTTCTAACGTAGCATCCCCAATTTGTTGTTTGCTGGCTACCTGATTAGGAGCTGTCCACCTGGTCCTGGCCTCCAGCTTCCATCCTCAGGCACCGTTCCTGCAGCTGGAAGCCCCAGGATACTCAGTCCTTGGCACTATGGCCCCAGACTATGCCCCTGGTTTCTCTCCTCTCCTTCCAGGCCACAGGGACTCACACACTTCAGTTCTCCTGGAGCCCTCCCTCTATCCAGGAATGGGAGATGTGGCATCGCTCCTAGCAAAGTGAGGCACACTGAGGCTTTGATACTGGGGTTGATGCAATGGAGATTTTCACAAGCCTTTAGGTGACTGTGCCAGTGGGAGGTTGGATTGGTGGATGCCATCATTCCTTTCAACATCCTTATGTCTGCACAGAGGCCAGATCCCAGAGACTGAAACTGCAGAGGAATAAAAGTATAAGATTTTTTAAAAGTCTTTTTGCATAAAAGTTTCAGAGACCAAGTAAGGTTATCAAATATTTGGGATGAAGTGGTGCATACAAAAGTGTGGAGAAATTGGTCCCCCACAGGGTCCTCTCCAGCCCTTTCACCAACACCTCCCCACTATGAGTCACAGGTAACTGGAACTAACAAGGCCTCTGAGACCATCTCAAGTCACCTTTTTCTTTTATCGATGAAGAATCTACAGGCCAGAGACATGAGGGACACCCCTCAAGGTCGCACAGGGTGAATGGAACCACCAGGGCTGAAACTGAGGTCTTCTGACTCTCAGTTGGCCTTCCTCCACGCACCCACCCCTTTTACCTCCCAGTTCTCAAAGCACCCAAATCTCTGGGTCGCGGAAGAACAGAGTTTGGCCCTGGGAAGGCAAGGCTGCAGGCCAGGATGCAAGCTGTAGCAGCTTCCAAGTTAGGCTGCATGGTTTTATGGAGAAGGACGTACATGCTGATGGCCTTCATTGATGTAGAACTAGTCCTGTGGGAACAGAGGCGGGAACGGTGGCTTCAGGACAAAAACTCCTCTGGTCAAAGAACTTTGAGATTGACTGCCCTGAAAAGTGGTTGACCTTGTCCAGGCCGTGAGGAAGGTTAAATGTGTACTCATGAGACATAAGCAGAGATGGGCTAGCTCTTGTTATACAATCTGTAAGAGTTGCCCTACAAACTTGAGGTGCAAACACTGATACAACGAATTCATTTTTCCAGTCAAATGTTGACACTGTAGATATCGGTAGGGAAGTTAATATATTATCTACTTTTTTAGGTTTTCTCTATGAATTGTCTGAAGGTTATCTGGGGCTTTGGAAGCTCAAAAAGGAAATCGGTTCACTTCTACAAACAGAGACCTGAGGCCTAATCCAATGGTCTCGTGTCTCACCACCATGTGGTGTCCCTGCTGAACACTGGTTCTGTGTTGTTTTCAGCCTGAGAATAAATTGTACTGGAATGTTTCTTCCAGGAGCAGCTGGTGGGATCCAGATGCCTGTGTCTGGAATGATCATTTTTCCAGGGAGGAAGACTCCATCCTCTGGGCTGAGCTTGGGTAGGGACTGTCTATCGGGCTCTTGTCTGCAACCTCACGCGTGGGATCCCAGAGTTCTAGCTGGCTCCAGGAGGTTGTAGGGGCCAAGGCAGGAGAGTTATCCTTTACCCTCTGAAGGTTGGCTGAAAAACCAACTCACAAAAGTCAGAATGATAGGAGAAAAGGCACACAAATTCATTTAATGTGTGTACATGGAGGCCTTCAGGATGAAGATCTAAAGTTACAGGGGAAATTGTCCATTTTTATGCTTAGGTTCAATGAAGTATAGACAATCACACAGAAAGAGGATTGGACAAAAGCAGTCTGATCTAATGCTAATAGACTGAGTGGGGAGACCAGCCAGGCCTGTCTGTCTAGATTCTCCCTGGCTTCTCACAGCAGCAACCCCCTTTCTGGGTAAGGGGCAGAGCTCTCTCTGGAATGGGGGTCTTATGACCTACTGTCAAACAAGGCAGGTAAGATCATTTCTTTGTGGCCAGTTTGTACACACATAGGGTAGAGAAAAAGTTAGAGTCATATTTTAGGTTGTATGGCTGGCTTTGGGGAAAAGGGGCTTCTGATAACTATGACCTGCCTTGGGGAAGAGGGATTCTGGTTTCTATGGCCAGCTTCAGGGGAGAATACGACTGAGAGACAGGAGGGGAGAAGGTCAGAGAGAAACTCTTACTTCTGAGGTTGCTTCTGAGGCCTTCTGGGGTATTGGTTTCTGAGCTCCAACAAGGTCAAGGTTGAGGACTGAACAGGTTTTGGGATCTGGTACCTCTAAACCCAGAGCCACAGACCCCTTATTCTTAGAGAGCCATCCTAAGGGTTGGACAGTTTTTCTCTTAAGCTCTCAAAAACAAACAAAAACAACAATAATGCCCAGACATGAAGCCTAAAGACAGACACACTTAGTCTAGGGTAGGACTCGGGTATCGACATGGAAAGACTTCTCTGTAATTTTAATAAGCATCTAAGGTTGTGAATCATTGCTCTTCAAGAATAGGACACAATGGGGCACTCTGCCAAATTTATTACATATCCCTACATTTTACTCCTTGTGCCTGTCAGAAGAGCTTATAGATGAGGTACTTCTCCAGCCAGGTTTTCTTGCTCAGTGCTCGTGTGATGGGTCCAGGTAGCCAACCCAGAGAGACACAGGCCTTTGGCGAGATCGACAACATCATCAATTACATTGGAGCTGTGTCATGAGCTGACTGGCTGGCTAAGGAGGATCTTCTTGTTTTCAAAGTGTTCACCTGGCTTTCTTCATAGGATAAATATTGTTTTCTATTATCATTATTAAATGAAGGCAGATGCACTTTTTCCACCACACATGCAAGGGAATGAATAGCTGTGAATTCTCTCAGAGGCTGTTGGAGGGGCCCCAAGTCTGCCTCCCGCTGTGCTCCCCACCCCAGCCAGCAGGGGTGTGTGGAGCCCAGGGCAGCTGCTGCAGAGTGAAGTGGAGAGGGCAGAGGAAGAAAGAGAAAGGGCTGATAGGGAGTGATGCGGTGGCTGAAGAAAAAAGAGAAAGAGACAAGGGGTAGAGGCAAGCGGCAAAGAGAAATAGAAGGAGAAGGAGGTACAGGAAAACCGGAAGGAATGATACCTAACTTGGTCTTAGTACTTTGCAGTTTTGCCAGGTTTATGACTGTGTTTGACACTCTACATGGCCCTTGGAGGTAAACAGGGTAAGTGAGGTTGTTACTATGTCATTTCCATGAAGAAGCTGGAATTGTGGCGGGATGTTGAGTCATTTTACCTAAATGCCTAAAGCATGTCTCAAAAGAATGGAGGTGAGGCATTACTGCTGTCTACAAAATTTGAAACGGCCTTGTGTAGAGAAGGCTGAGCTTTAACTAATCATTCTCCTCCTATGTGGAGGAGGCACTCTACACGCATAAACTTACTTAGTCCTCACAATAGCCACTTTGAGGTAGAGATTATTATTCTTGTTGTTCAAATGGGGACAAATGACTGCCCAAGAGCACATGGCTGCTGGGAAGGGTGAGCCCAGGTCCCCCAACTCCTGTTTTCCTCATATGACCTCCTATGAGTGGACCAGAACCTATTGCTCCAGGGTAGTGGGAGATCCATTTCAGATCAGTCCAACGAGAAGTCCTTGCCTCAGAACTGCTCATGGATGAAAGGGTACACTGGGAAGAACTGGGTTCTTGGAAGGATCCAAGCATAGGCTGGACAAGCTGTTGCCTGGAATGTGGGGTCAGATGTTCCCGCCATAGATAGATGGGGAGACCAGATGCCTTTCCTCCCCATCCTGGGAGCCTTCGCCTTGGGAAAGTGTCCTGGAGTGCATTTCTCCAGGCTTGTGTTGGGCATCTGAGCTGGGACTAGAGGGTGGGTGTCCTGATGCCTGCTGAGAGCACCTTGTACTTCATCTGGAGGCACTCATGAAAGCAAAGGAGAAAAGCAAATGCTGGGAGGAACACAGGAAGGAAAACATAGAAGTAGCTCAAAGATCCCAGAGAAGAAGAAATGTGGGGAGACGCGGGCACACAGGCAGGGCGTCTGCACCGGCAGGGGCAGTGTTCGTACCCCCTACCCCCCATCTCGATACTGAGATAGGAGGACTCTCTTCTTAAAGTTGTTTGTTTTTCTTAGTTGACTGGGAAATTTCACCTTTAGTAATTCCTTCTGTTGGGCGTTAAGATCTCAGTTTATCAGAATATGCTGGTTAAAATGCAGATACCTCTGGGAGAAGTAACACAAGGTGTCACCTGGAGGCACTGTTTCATCAGTTTCTTTCCCCAAAAGACAGCAAAGTGGCCTGGAAATGGAACTCAGACTAGAGGTGGCGGGGCAGGGAGGCGAGGACGGGGCAGGGAGGCGAGGACGGGGCAGGGAGGCGAGGACGGGGCAGGGAGGCGAGGACGGGGCAGGGAGGAGGGTTCCAAAGAAGCACGTTGCTGATTTCTAAGCATCACTCCTTGTGAGGACCAAGAAGGAATATTTTTGCTACTCTCACCCTGACTAAAGTGGTTCTCAAGTAAGTCTGGGGTCCAAAGCATTGAGGAGACCCCGGGGAGAGTTGTCAGAGGGTCTCAGAGGAACCTAGCTCAGGAGGAGAGGCCGAGGCAATCAAGATGGTTTATCTCTACAAAGAGAAGGCTGAGGGGATACCTAGTGTCTTCCTTTAAATATCTGAAATTGTTCTTGAGAGCGGCTGGTGAAGATTCCACTTAAAACCTCGGGATCAAGGACTTCTCTCAAGCATGAGGAAGTGCTCCCTTCTCCAGAGGGATGCAAATGCTGGCGTGGAGTCTGCAGGGGGCCTGGCTGCTTCTGGGACATGGTGAGTGTGGGGAGAGGTCCCGGCTCTGCCGGATGACCAGGCACAGCCCTGCCATGGAGGCCTCCCAGCGGGGCCTGGGATCCATCTCGGCTGCTGGCCCAGCAGATTCTCTCCCGTGCTGCTGCTGTGGTAAGTTACCCAAGCACAGAGGTGGGTTTCTGTGGGGGCCGGCGTTGGGACCCATGCCAGACTGATGGTGTAGATAAGAGGAAGTGTGACTCCAGCAGAGAGCATCAGCTTTGCTGTAGGACTGCCCCAGCTTCCAACCTCATTGCACCACTTGGCTCCGTGACTCTGAGAAACTTACTAACCTCTCTTACCTTGTTATCCCATGTGTTAAATGGCAGCAATGATAGCCCCTTCCTCATAGGGCTGTTGATAGCCATATCCCAGCTGAGGACAGGAGGTGAGGCTGAGAACAGTCCCAGCACTCAGACATGGAAGCAGCGCTACTGGGAGGCTTGAACATCCACTGTCTCTCCAGTCTCTGGACTAGCTCCTCCGTGCCCCCAAGGCTGATGTGTCAGAGATGAGATGTGAGACCTCAGCCCCTCCCGCCCCTGCTGCCTGGCTGCCACTTTGCATGCAGCTTTGGTCTGAACCCCACCTGCTGCTCCAGACCACAGCTGGGCCCAGCCCACGTCCTCCTTCTTCCTTGGTGAGGAGACGGATATCTTTCCATCAGCCTGGCCAAGGAGGGGTGTAGCAGCAGGTTGTCCTGGGGAGGGAAAGGCTTCCGGTAGCCCTCCCTTCATCCCCCTTTCCATACCTCAAAACCACCAGCCCTCAACCAGGAAGCCCTAGGTCTTCCTTTCTGTCTTCCAAAGAAGAGGAGGACAGGGACAGAGGCAAACAACAGCCGCAGCCACCACCCTCCCAGCCTCACTGTCTTTGCTTGAAAGCAGGGGCATATAAAAATAAAAAATAAGGAAGACTAACCTTCTGGCCAATCTCAGTTTAGATACCCTGCAATTAAACAAATCCACAAACCCGCAACACATATTTACATCTCATTAGCAGAAGCCAAATGCAACAACGGCATTAAAATTAAGAAATGAGGCACAATTATCCCGTCGGCGGCAGTGGGGAAGCCGTCAAGGGCTGGTTTCTTCATTAGTTTGCTCAGAAGTTCAGCAGCTCCCTAATTGTGGGCTGCTATTTTTTACCCCCTCCTCCTCCTGCTTAAAAAAAATTGTCTGAGGTTTTATTTTTCTGCAGTGCAGCAGCTTCGATGGGGGGGGGCCAGCAGGGCCCAGGAAGCTTGGAAGAAGTGCTGTCTCCTCTCTGGCCTCTGTAACCTCAGCCCCCAGCTGGGCCTGGCTGAGTGGCAGTGGCTGGGGGTTAGGAAGGCCTGGGGAACACCGGGTGGTGGTGCCCACAGATCCCAGTGGACTCCCAGGGAGGGCTCTCGACCGCTCACAGCCTGTACTGCTGCCATGGGGCTGGAGCTCCCTGGGGCCAGCTGCATCTCAGGAATGCATCCTGCTTCCCTTGGGCAGGCAGCTGTCCCAGGCACAGCTCTCAGGCCGGCTCTGCTGGCCCTCAGTGGGCCTTTCAGGAATGTGTGTGGGGTGGTGAATGAGAATGTTCTGGTCATAGCCCTTTAGTGCAGGTGAGGGGGGATTCGTGGGGCCCCAGGCTGTGCCCAGGTGGGTAGGCTTGGGCTCCAAGGGGGGTTGAAGAGCACTGGCCAGCTCCAGGGAGAGGCTTTGCCTGGAGCGCCCTCCTTTCTGGAGGGAGTCTTGTAGTGGCTGGCACTAAAATTGCACAGAGCCTTGGTTTTCTCAGCTGTCAAATGGCATAAGTGAGACACCTTCCTCCTCCCTCAGGGCTGCGTTTTGAGGTGCTTTGCGAGTGTCCAGGCTTGTTTTATTGTTGTCCAGCCTCTCGGTCCCCACTGGGAAGCCTGGGCGCTCTCCAGGGCAGGCCCGTCAGCTGGGAGAGCAGGGTTGGTCGGTGCCCTCAGGGCGGTTTGCCTCTCCCTATCAAAGTGGAGGTTTCACAGGCTTCCAAGTTACTGAGCTATGGATTTTCCTAGAGTCTCCAGGTGAAGAATTTTGTAAATATTCTACTTTATTTAATATTTGTGTCAAATCAGTACTTACAAACACACATTTCAAACATAACTAGAAATAAATTATTTTAGGATATTAATCAACAAACCATCAAATGCGACATTAATTTAGTGACTGTTACAGGGACTGCAAAGACGTCCTGCCCCTCTTCCACACTGCCACACTCTGCATGTTACAGGGACTGGAGAGACTCCCTGCCCCTCTTCCACACTGCCACACTCTGCGTTAGAGGCTGCTGCCATTTGGAACGGCTGATGATGAAGGGATCTCACCCCAGGATTTTCTCACATCAGGGATGCAGCAGCAGGTTGGCCCAGGGGTTTGGGGGAGGGCTCTTTGTTGCGGCTTCAATTCTTATCTTCCCAACCTTACCCTGAAACCTCATTCATTCATCCATTCATTCATTCGTCTGTCTAATATTTATTGAGCAACTACTGTTTTCCTGCTGCCATGGTCAAGGCTAGGGTTGATGAGGCCACAGGGTCCCTGCATTTGAAGGCCAGTGGCAGACAGAGAGAATGACAACAGGGCGTGATAGTGCTTAGGTGAGGCTCAGTCAGAAGTCACTGCCCACGGAGCTCAGAGAACAGCTCTCATGCCTTTCTTAGGGGTCAGGGAAAGGACAGCCTGGGCTGGGACTGCCCACTCTCCACACCACAGGCCACACCACTGTGCCTGGCAGCTTTTGTCCCAGGCATCTCATCTCAGGGTCTAAGCAGCTGCCTCTCCGCTTGTTCTGGGAGGGGGGATGGGGACTGAGGCCCACAGGAGTTCCTGGAGTTTGACATCATATGAAGGCAAAGCAGGGAAAGGAAGTTGAGCCTCTTCTGCGGATTGAAAAGCAAAATACTCACAAGGAAATCCCTCTTTCGAATCCATTCACTGTGGCTACATAGCCCCATTGCACTGGGCCCCACATCAAGGATAAAATGACACTATTGATATTTTCCTGAGACTACTCTACCTAATTAACATATGATAACTCTTTCATCCTTCCAAAACCCTACCAGGAATATACTATTATCACAGTGTCCATCTTAGAAAAGGCCAAAGAAAGGCCCACTGAGGCTGTTTAACTCGCCCAGGGCCACAGAGCTGGAGGCCTCTGCAGACTGAGCCCCAGGCTGTGGGTGGCTCCCTACCTGAGGCTGCTTGCATAGAGTGGCAGTTAGAGTCCACTCGCTCATGGCCCCACAATCCCCTGGTATGTGTTCACAGGTGCTCACGAGCACTCTGCAGGGGAGAAAGGCCCTCTCAGCTCCCTGGCATCAGAGTGTCTCTGCCTGTCCCCACCTCTGTGGCTTGCCCCTGGGAGACTCCAGGCTGGCGAGAGAGTGCACTGCAGTCCCACTGCCCCAGGCCGCTGCCCAGCCCCTTCTCACCAGAGGACGTGGTGGTCTGCCCCGGGCAGGCAGGCAGTGCTTGGGGGTCTGACTCCTGCTGTTCACAGGGGGTCGAAGTGCTGCTCTGGGCTCTTGGGGAAGCTGGAGGCTGAGATGGGGAATGCTCTCCAGACCAGCTGTGGGACTGCCTGGGGAGGGCAGGTGTCAGGTGGGGCAGCTGATAAGGAAGGAGAGCTGGCTCTGGGTGGGGGCAGTGGGAGGGGATGGCAGGCCACCCTCAAGGTGACTTCATTTCAGACTGGAGCTCAGCCGGCTGAGGTGGTGGGTCTGAGGAGCCTCTGAGGTAGGTCCAGGGATGGGGCCTTCCCTTTAGAGAATTGCTGAGAGGAGCTGGAGGACAGGTAAGGCGAGGCTGATTTCCAGCCCTGACACGCGGTAGGCTTCTGAGCCTTTCTTCCTCTTTAGCTGGATTGTGTTGTGAAATGTGCTCCTCAAGGACAGGGATGGTGTTTGTTCAACATGTCCGTGCCTCCGGCCCCATAATGAGGACTCTATGTTTTAATGCTTGCTGTGAGTTATCCGAGCATTTAAAACGGGAGACTAGAGACATCTCGTGTGCTCCTCGTTGTAGGCATGGTGGGATTGCCACCATCTTCGGAGGAATGATGGAGCTTCTGTTCTGTGCAGGCACCACTCATGTCCATAGTCAGCAAGCCCACAGCCAGTGCAGGGGGCAGCACAAAGCCTTGAGAACTATTCCACTTGGTGAGAAGGCCAGGACTCAGGGGCCCTCAGATCCGAGTTAAAATCTCAGTTATAGCTGGATTTGAGACTTTTTTTTTTTTTTTGAGATGGAGTTTTGATTTTTAGCCCAGGCTGGAGTGCAATGGTGCGGTCTTGGCTCTCTGCAACCGCCATTTCCCGGGTTCAGGTGATTCTCCTGCCTCAGCCTCCTGTGTAGCTTGGATTACAGGCACCCACCACCATGCCCAGCTAATTTTGTGTTTTTAGTAGAGATGGGATTTCACCAAGTTGGCCAGGCTGGTCTTGAACTCCTGACCTCAGGTGATCTGCCCACCTTGGCCTCCCAAAGTGGATTACATCCAAGCCTCCCATGCTTGGATTACAGGCATGAGCCACCATGCCCGGCCAAGACTTTGGATAAGTTATCTAACTTAGGACTCATTCTCTTCATCAGTAAAACGGGGATAATTACAGTATCTGCCTTGCAGGATTGTTACGGGTATTAAATTAGATGAGCTATATTATTTAAGGCACTTAGTATGATATTTCATGTGTAGTAAATGCTTAAAAATTGAGAACAAAAAAGAAATAGAAGTGCAATGGCTGGTAAATGCATAGCAGCAGGAGTGAAGACCCGGAAAAGACTTCTCAGGAGAGGTGACATCTGTGCCATATTGTGGAGGAGGAGTTGGAGGGGTCAGAATGCAGGAGGAGGCAAGAGCAAAGAGCATAAACCAAAGCTTAGAGATGCCAAATCGTACGCCTTTTTCAAGTGTTGGAGAGAAGTTCTGCGAGGCCATGCCCAGAGAAGGGAAGCAGGGAGTGAGGCCAGTAAGGTCAGTGACAACCCCATGATGACAAGACCCTCTGCTGTGCCTCTGTGGTTGATTTAACCTGCCAGCCACATGGGACCTTCAGGAGTCTGAAAATGAAGTTGACATAATAAGACTTGAGATTCTTGGGGCCAGCTTGACAGATGGGTGTGTGTTGAAGAGGGAGAAGATGAAGGCCAGTGTGATAGGTCCACAGCAATGACAATAATGATAATGATGACAATGATGATGAAAATGACAATAATAATAACAATAATGATGCTGTTGCTGAAGGTGATGATGATAATTATGGTAATGATAATGATGGTTATGGTGGTGATGATGACAATGATGATGATAATGACGATGATGATAATGACAATAACGATGATGATGTGAACCCAGGAAGTCTGAGACAGGTCTCAGTTAATTTAGAAAGTTTATTTTTCAAAGGTTAAGGACACACCCGTGACACAGCCTCAGAAAGTCCTGATGACATGTGTCCAGGGTGGTTGGGGCATAGCTTGGTTTTATACATTTTAGAGAGACATGATACATCAATCAATATAGGTAAGAAGTACATTGGTTCGGACTGGAAAGGAGGGGCAACTTCAAGCAAAGTCAGGAAGACTTGAAGACTTGAAGTAGGGAGGGGCTTCCAGGTCACAGATAAGGGAGACACAAACGGTTGCATTCTTTTGAGTTTCTGATTAGTCTTTCCAAAGGAGGCAAATCAGAAATGCATCGATCTCAGTGAGCAGAAAGATAACTTTGAATAGAATGGGAGGCAGGTTTGCCCTAAGCAGTTTTCAGCTTGAGTTTTCAGTAGTGATTTTGTGGGCCCAGAATACTTTCCTTTCACAATGGTGACAGTGATGATGATGGAGATGACGGTGACGGTGATGGCGATAATGATGACGATGGTGACAGTGATGATGATGGTGATGACGGTGACGGTGATGGTGATGGTGATGATGGTGACAATGAAGGCGATAATGATGACGATGGTGACGTGATGAGGATGGTGATGATGGTGACAATGATGGTGATAATGATGATGATGATGGCGATAATGATGATGATGGTGACAGTGATGATGATGAAGGCCAAGGGGAAGCAGAAAAAGAGACAGATTGAAGTGACTCTTAGATGAGGCCTATAGAAACAAGGGCACTGTTAGAATGTTATACATGAAAAACAAGAGTATGAGGGCTATCAGGGACGACTCCAAAGTTTCCAGTTTGGGCAAATGGGGAGAAAGAATATCAGAGGAGAAGTAGGCTTTGGGGGTAGGTGATAAGCCTAATTCTGGATGTGTTGGGTTTGGGGCACTCATAGAATGTTTAAGTGGAGACTTCACGTCCCACGCCTTCACACTCATCCCCTCATGGAGTTGCTCAAAGTGATGTAATGTTGCTAGTGAGAATGATGAGAGGAAAGAGTAGGAGAAAATAATGGTGAGGTTTATTTGACTTTGACCACCTAGGAGCTAGCCTTGAGAGCTACTCACTTATCCCTGTAGCTGTACTTTGCTCTACAGAGTTTGTTGACATCAAAATTTTTGCTTCTAGGAATGGGACTGAGGGAGACATAGAGCTCCCTAATGCTGAATCTCTTCCCTGTGCTGAAGAAAACTCCAGACCTCCCAGCCACTGGAACTAAAATTGGGTAATTTTTCTCCGAGACATTGGAAATAATTTCTAATATTTTTCAGCCAGTGAAAAAGGCCAGATAATTCTCTTTCTCTTTTCCCATCACCCACACAGCTATGACTTTGTAGTCCTATCTGGATCACTTCCGCAGCCTGCAATCCCAGCCCCAGCAGCCCCATCTACTGCCTTGGGCATTGAATAGAGTCTTGTCCTGCTTAATAGCAAATGCTGCTCAGGCATCCTGCTAGGTTTTTTACGGCCAGGGTAGAGGAGAGAAGAAAAGAGAAACGGCAGGCTTACAAGCATCTTCTCTGCCTCTCTAATAGCTAAGAAGCCTACATTTCCAATCTAATTTATTTTGGTTTCTGCTCTGAAACTTGGAACCCAGGTACATTGACAGATGCAGGAAAGGAGTGACTGTTCCTTGTACATTCAGTGTGAGATGTTGAGAACGGTGGGCTTAGGAGAAGGGCCAGATGACACTACCATCTTTGCATTCATGGACTTCTAATGTATACTTTATCTATAGTTAGTATTAATAAAGTAAAAAAAGATATCCATTTTAATTTTTGGTAACTATGCAAAATCCATAGGTTTTTTGTTAAAATATTAGAAAATAAACATAAATAAAAGACGAAAATATTTTTTACAAGCTCATTTTCCATTACCTTTGGCATTTTGGTAATATAATTTTCCAGAAGGTAAACATTTTGATAATGCTTTAAAGTGCCTTTTAAAAGATACATAAAATATAAATGAATACAAATAGAATAGTGTTGAAATCTTAAGTTTACATTCCCACATTCTGAACACACTTAGGTAATGAGCCCCTAGATCAAGAAACAGAGTGTCACCAGGATTCCATTTACAGCCAATGTTTTTACTGAATTGGGTGGGTTTACAGTCACTTTGTTACTATTAATTTTCTATTTGTACAAACAGCTTTATGTTTATTTTCCTCTCATTTTTTGAGTTCCTGTGAATTCATCTCATATTTTTTATTATTCCATTGTTTAAATCAGCTTGTCATGTATCTTTCTTTTGTTTTTTGTTCATAGTTACTCTAGCTAGTACAATATACATCTTTGATGTCTTCCTTTCTAATACAAATTGTATTTTACCACTTCTGTGATGTTGCTAGACCTTTAGAACCTTTCAGCTATATTTGTACCACTGCTGCCTTTTGCTTTAGAGTTACTGCCCATTTTAAGTCTGCGTATAGTTGAAACTGTACAAGCCGTTACTATTATTGCTGTAATCCATGGTTGATATTCTTTTTGTTTTTGTTTTTGAGAGGGAGCTTCGCTCTTGTTGCCCAAGCTGGAATGTAATGGCGCAATCTCGGCTCACCACAACCTTCGCCTCCCGTGTTCAAGTGATTCTCCTGCCTCAGCCTCCCGAGTAGCTGGGATTACAGGCATGCACCACTACGCCCAGCTAGTTTTGTATTTTTAGTAGAGATGGGGTATCTCCATGTTGGTCAGGCTGGTCTTGAACTCCTGACCTCAGGTGATCTGCCCACCTCGGCCTTCCAAAGTGCTGGGACTACAGGCGTGAGCCACCGTGCCCGGCGGATATTCGTTTTTATCTACTCACATATGTTCCCTTTCTGATTATCTTCATTAATCATGCAATTCTGTTTCCATCTACAATATTTTCTTCAGACTGGTTAATTTCCTTTAGTATTTATTGTAGTTAAGATTTGCCGGCCATCAATTTGCTCACATTTTGTTTAGCCAAGTCTTATTTTAAAAAAATTTAATCATTTTTATAAGACTTGCACTTTTGTTTAAATCTTTTGGCCCTTTAAGAATAGCATTTCATTATCTTTCGTTTCCCGAGAAGTAAGCTCCTGTTACTCTTTCTTTCTTTGAAGGAATATTGTTAACCCCTGGTTGTTTTGAAGTATTTTAAAAATCAGTTTTACTATAATATGCCTACCAGTGGATTTTGGGGTAATTATTCTGCTTTAGGTTTACTGATTTCTTTCATCTCTGTGTTGCTGTCCTCGATCAGTTTTCAATCTTCATCTCTTTGAATATTGCTTCTGGAACATGTCATCACTCCTATTGTTTCAGTATTTCAGTTATGCTCATTTTGCTCATTTTTAGACCTACAAAGTGTGTCCTGCATGTCTCTTGATCTCTGGATGTATTCTTAGTTCTTTTTCCTCCGTGTGCTTTCCTCTGACTTCTTTTACAGTTCACTAATTCTGTGTTTATCTAAATCCAATATGCTCTTAATAATTGATTAATACTCAGATATTGCATTTTCACTTCCTTATAGGTTCCAATTATACATGTCAAAATTTCCATCTTTTCATTTATGTTATCATTTTTTCTTCTATTCATAACACTATTAAATCAGTTTTAAAAGTTTTTGCTGCTAATTATAATACCTAAATCATTGGTCTGCTTTTTCTCTTAATTAGCAAGTATAGTTTGTTATGGTATATATAGCAGATATATACCACATATCATATATATACACACACACATACACACTTGCTAATTAAGTATATATAGACTTAAGTGTATATATGTGCTAACTAAACATATAGACTTAATTAAGTACATATGTGATAATTATGTACACACATACATACTTAATTAGGTTTTGTTAGGGTTACTATGGCCTTTAGAATATGGTCTAGAATATATATATATATATATACACACACACACACACACACACACACACACACACATATATCTTCTTCACCAGCCTAGTGATTTTTTTGTTTTGCTGTGCACTGCATAGTGTCTATAAAAGACTCAAGTGATAGATTATTCCTGCACTTTCACTCTCTTCTGTTGGGCAGAAGGGCGATGGGCTTATCTCACTTTGCTAGTGACATGAGCTGAATTTGGGCTAGGTTGCTTGTTTTACTAAGGCTCAGATGGCAGAGGATGAGAGCAGGGACAGCTGCATAGGGAGGTCACAGAGATCTGTGTGGAGATGTCTCTGAGCTCTTTTCCAATGGCTAGGATGCTTTTGATTAGGAAGGGACTATGGGGAGTCTGCCGTGGAGCAGCTGCTATGGATTTGGGAAGAGAATAAAGGTGCTAGAGGTTAACGGTGGCATCAGAACGTTAGCCTAGCCAGACGAGGAGAACTTGGACGCCCTGGGCATCTGACTGGAACACCAAGGAGCTCACAGCGCTGGAGGAGGGACCTTATTCTAGAGTCAAGACTCCTCTACAGTCACCTTAACAAAGTCTAAAATTAATGAAGCACTTTAAAGATAATTTAGGATTTGGAGATTGAATCTTGCCAGCTAGAAGGGCTTGGATTTTCACAGACCTACACCATAACAAAATATGAAAACAAGACTGCATTTAAAGGCAGTCCACTTGTAACTGAGTTAGGTTCTAGAAAAAATATCCACGGTCTTCTGATGATTATAACAGAATTCAGAATTTCTAGAATGTGTGATCACAACATCCAACGTACAATAAAAATATTATTAACAAAGCAAAGAAATAGGATGGCCCAGGTGTTGGGATTAGAAAACAAAAAATTCAAAGCAGCTAATATAAATATGTTAGAGAACTTTATAAAATTAATTTTAATGAATGAACAGATATGAACTGCCAACAAAGGAATGGAATTTATAAATAAGAATAAAAAAGAAATTCAGGACTAAAATCCTTAACAATTTAAATGAAAAATTCATTGGATGGGTTAAATGGCACACTGGAAATAAAAGGAAAAATTTGAAATAATTCAATACAATCATGCAAACTGAAGAACACAGAAGAAATGGAAAAAATGAAGAAAAAGGTGTCACTAACCAATGAGACAACACAGCACAATATCCTTGAGTCCCAGAAGGAGTAGATAATAAGAATGTGGTAGTAAAAATTATTTGAAAAAATAATAGCCAAATATTTCCTGAATTTGAAGAAAAACATTACGTAGAGATCTAAGAAGCTTAGCAATAACTTAATAGGATAAATACAAGGAAAACGTCGTGTCTATGCAGATTACATAAAAAAACAAAGATGAAGATCAAATCTTGGAAACAGCATAAGCAAATAAACCTACAGAGGGCCAGCAATATGCATGACGCGACTTCTCATAAGAAACAACAAAGGCCAAAAGATAATAGAGCAACCTTTAAAGAACTGAAAGTAAAAAACAAAAATGATGCTAACCCAGAATTTTATATCCAATACATACTGCTCGAATATGGCTGCAAAAATAAAGACATTTTCTGATAATCAGAAGTTGTAAGAGTTTGTTTCCAGCAGAACTGCATTGAAATAAATACTAAAGAATGTGTTTGGGGCCGAAAGGAAACTATGCCAGATAAAAATTGGTATTTACAGGAAGAAATGAGGAGTTTAATACATTAAATGTTTACTACATTAAATATATGAGTCAATATAAAAACCATCTTTTTTTCAATTAATTTTGTTCATAGACAGTTGATGTGTTCAAGGCAAAAATAATATGACTCCAAGGTAGGGGGCTTAACATGTGGAAGTAAAAGGTATAACAATAACAGCACAGAGGACGGAGCCAGGTTAATCAAATTAAACCTTGTCAAAGTTCTTTCATATGTGAAATATGAAGTAGGAAGAGTGGAGGGCCAGGTGTGAAGTGATACAATGTTAATGCTAATTATACTGGGATAAGGATGAATATTGTAATCCCTAGAGTAACTACTAATATAATAACAAAGAGGTCTAGCCTAAAAGCTAATAGAGAAGACACAATGGAATGCTGAAAAATATTCCATTGACCTAAAATAAGACAGAAAAGGAGCAACAGAACAGCAAAAGCCAAAGGAAAAAATGGAAACAATTGGTCAGAAGGCAGATTCACACCAGCCCATACAATTAGATTCCGAGGAAATGGACTAGAGGTTCTAATCAGAAAGCAGAGATGGAAGCCTGGATTGAAAGGTAATGCCCACCGGCATAGCATGTAGACAACATGAATTTTAAATACAAATACGCGGAATGCAAAAGAAAGGAAAAACACAAACTCAGCCTCTCTCTGTTTTGCCCTTGTTCGCCTCAGCCCTGAAAGACTGTGGGATGTTCCTTGTTGCCCTTCAGGGTCCCAGAGCCAAGACTCCAGCCTCATTGTCCAAGGAGGCTCAAAACCTAGTGAATATCTTGATGGGAAGACTTGCAGTGCTTTGAGGCAGATCCCCTGACCTCTGGCCCACCTTTGTTTCCTGAACACAAGACTCCTCAGGTGATTTCAGCTGACTTTTGGAAGCATCAGGCCTAGCTCTGAGCTGCATCCACAGTCTCCTTGCCTGAATCAGCAAAGGTCCCACGGCAGAAACCGGTTGTGTGCTGAGGTAGCTCCAGCATGCAGCTCCCTGCTCCTGCCCTATTCAATGGCTGCAAGCTTCACTAGTTAGAGTTTCCTCCAGCAGGGCTGGGCCAGGCACTGCCACTGATCTAAACCCAGAATCAGCAAATGTGCCCATTGGGAAAGAATAGCTTGCAGGCCTCAGCTCACCTGGGCAGGGCTCTTTTGGGTCTGGAATTTTAGTGCCTTTAAAAATATGATTTAAAAAATTTATTCTGCTTATTTTAATTACTGCAGAAGAAGTATTTTTCTGTTATGACCTACTACATTCTACTCAGAAGAAGTTAACATTTTTCTTTTAATTCCAGAAGTGAATTCTGCTGTGCCCCTGCAAGGTGGAGTGTGTTCCCTTTAGCTGATAGTGCAGATGAAGGGACAGCTGGCTGAGCAGGTCAGGGTATGAGGTCCTTCCCTTAAATGACCGTCTGGTGTGCACTACAGGATTCAGCGTTAAGGAAATTGGATAGGAATGGGTGCAGAATGAACATATGTCAACTCAAGTCTGTAGAATCCTTCCAGAACCTTCCAGGGCAAGAGGCAGATGGATAACAGAGATTCCAGTTTCTCCAGTTCATGCTTCATCCACAGTGCCATGCTGTCTGTCTATTGGTTCAGTTTCAAAAGACACTTAGACTAACCGGAGAGAACCGTTCCTTTCTGGTTGGGGGAACATGCACAGTCCACGTGGCATTTTGAATGAGAGGACTTGGTTCCATTTGCAGCTCTGTAGTTTGAGCAAAGGTATGTAAGTCTTTGCATCCTCTGTTTTTCTAACTGTTAAATGGAGAAAAGAGAATCGTGTCTCTCTCGGGGTTGTAGTGAGGGCTAAACAAGTCAGAGTTTGGAGAAGGGCCCTGTGAGTTCTGCAGCCGTGGACTAGTAAAGATCTGCTCACCTTTAAGGCGCAGACACTTCTCTTCCTCAGGCGGACACCCACGGAAGACTCACTCCAGGAGAAATATTGCCTCACTCATTTTTATTCTAAATCGGTATTCAATTTCAGGATTCATTTATTTGATTTGAGAGTCTTTCTCTTGGATCAAAACAGCATCCAGAGGTCCGGCCTTCAGATGAAACGATCTTCAAGCAAGCAGACACAGCTTGCGCTCCCTCAGGACTGACCAGAGGCTGTGCTTTGGGGAACTCGGACCACTGCGAAAAATCTGAGAAGTGATGATCGTTCCAGGACTGATCTGACCACCCGGGGCGTCCAGCATGATTGGTCGGGGTCCTGCCCGCACCCTCTCACCCCTCCACGCAGAGGCACGGTGGGAGAGGCCCCTGCCCACCCCGGATGAGCCTGAGACTCCAGCCTGAAATGAAGTTGCTGAAATGAGCCCTTTCCCCAGCCGTTCAGCAGCCTAGCTGTTTTACCACTGAAATAAAGTGTCCAATTTATCCTGCCATTTTGAGGAAGCTGTTTTCAGCTGAGACTCCAGCTGGATTTATTTTTAAAAAAGATTATTCTGCAGACCATGGCCAGAACGTGCTGAGAGGCACCCTGGGCAGTTTTCCCTCTGGCCGGCTCTTATCCGTCCTCCCCAGCATGGGGAGATGAGGCTGCCTCAGGCGGCCCAGGCCAGGCAGCTGCCAGGGAGGCTGAGCAGGTCTGGGATGTGCCAGGCAGCTCTATGCCCAGCTCAGCTGGGAACCTGACCCGGAAAGGGCTGGAACCCAAGCCTCACCCTCTCCTGCTCTATTCACTGTGGTCAAGGGAGGAAAGAGACCTGGCGGCTGGGCTTGCAGACAGGCTTCTTGCCCCCATTCCTCTTCTCAGTTCTCGTGTATGCCTGGTGGGGTGTTGACAGGCCCCACTGTGGCTGTGCTGTTTGGCAGACTGCCCTGAGTCTCCCCAGTGCCCATCTCCCTGTAGTCCACGCTGCCCTGGCCTTCCTTGGCCTCCTGATGGCCCCTGAGTTTACTGGAGTCAAAGGGCCAACCTGCGGACTCAGCACCCTTTCTGCTCCAGGTCTGAGGTTTCTGCTGTGAGTGGTGGCACGCGTCACACCAGTTCTTAAATATCTTGAATATGACCCTGCTGGGAGCTGCCCTTGTTCTAAGACTGGGGATGGGGGCAGAGGAGGCAGGAAGGGGATGGAGCTGCTTGTGGTGGAGAATGGAGTCCCCGACCTTCTCTCGAGGCCAGCATCAGCAGACTTCTCCTGGAAAGGGTCAGAGAGCAAATATTTCAGACTTTGTGGGCCATATGGTATCTCTCACAACTACTAAATGCAGGCATTGTAGCAAACCTTCCATAGACAGTCGCTAAAAGCGTGGGCTTGGCTCTGTTCATTGTGGCCTTGTGTTCCCATAACACTTTCTTTACAGACGCGGGTGGTAGGCTGGATTTGGTCCCAGGTTCCTGCCCACACCAGCCCCAACATGGTGCATGCTGCAGGAAGGCCAAGGAGGGGGCCCTCCCAGTGTGACAAGTGCACAGGCTGTGAGGAGCATGAGGATGGCTGATGCCGCTCTCTGGGAGTGGGAGAAACCTGCTTTTCTGCATCCTAGCTTGTGACTTGTCACGTGCCCATAATGGGACACTCTGCCTGCCTCTCGCCATGGCCCCCCGCTGGCCACCTCCTTAGAGTTCACAGTCCAGAAATACGAGGAGCCCGTGGTGGGAGGGGTCCTCACTGCCTCTTTCTCCTGCTTTGTCTGCTTCCCACCCATGAAACCCTCTCCCTATTCACACCCATTGACTGGCTTCTTTAAATTAGAGGAAATTTAATTCCATACAACATGCATGTATCAGATATCTACCTTGTGTTATGCAGTGAGCTGTGCATTGGGGGTACAGCCAGGAAACAAAACTGTAGTAACAGCAGCAAGGTCAAGACAGTAGTGAAGTCACTGCTGAAGGCACAGCACTGGCTGGGGAGCTGGGGCCAAGCAGGTGGGCCTGGTTGCTAGAGGGTGGGTCTAGCCCCTTCCTGCTGATCTTCCAGCAAACTGGGCTTCCGCTCCATTCAGAGCAAAATAAGGCATCCGCACGTGGCTCAGTGTGGCCCTGGCCCCCGCTGGGGCACCCTCTGTGCTGTCCCTTACCCCGCAGAGGTGTGTCTGGTGGAGCTTTTCCACTTTCAATGGCTTTCACACACCGTGGTGCTCTTGGGCCTGTTACTGGCCCAGCCATGTCACCTACCAGCAATGCAGCCTTGGAAATGCGAAGTCAGCTCTCTAAGTCTTGGTTTCTTCACCTGCAGGTGGGGATCATCGTTCCTGTTTTGTAGCGTTGCTCTAGGATGAAATGAAGTCATGAGTGTGGAGCTCTTATGTGGTATGGAGCTTTCCTGCCACGTGGCAATCACTCAATCTGGGGAAATGGCCATTGCTGTAGGCTGAACGTTGGTGTCCCCCCAAATTCCTATGTTAAAACTAATGCCCAAAGTGGTGGTCTTAGAAGGTGGGGCCTTTCGGAATGATGAGGCATGAGGCACAGCCCTCATGGGTGGGATGAGTGTCCTTATGAAAGAGGCCTGAGAGAGCCCTCGTGCCCTTTCTACCACCTGAGGACACAGCGAGAAGACGGCTGCTTGTGAATCGGGACGTGGGCCTGCACCAGACACTGAATATACCAGTGCCTTGATCTCGGACTCCCCAGCCTCCAGAACTGTGAGAAATAAAATTTCTGTTGTTCTACCCAGTTTATTGTATTTTGTTTTGGCAGCTTACATGAGCTATAACAGGCCTGACAGCTGTCCTGTGAGGTCTGCAAAGCACGTGTTATCTTCTCCTTTTTACAGAAGAGTTAATGGAGACTTAAGAATAAAGCAACTTGTCCAAGTTAGTAAGTGGCTGAGTTTCCACACAGATCCGTTCCCTTAATAGAGATAAATCATTGTGTTATATCCATAGAATAGCACACTTTGCAGCTATTAGAAAGAACTGGGTAAACACTCTGCCCATACTGACATAGAGCCTAAGAGTGTGAAGCCCTTACAGCATCCAGGGTCATCACGCCCACCCTCCAGCCAAATACCCAACTATGTCTAATCAGGCCGTGGTGGTCTCAGGGCAGGCCCTGCCATGGGCTTGTCTTAGAGGCTGCTTTAGGGGCTGTTTCCGGCACAAGAGACAAAAGGGGAGCAGCAGGAGGGGCGGCCACCTCTGCTGGGAAGGAGGGGAACCGTCTTGAGGACAACAAATTAAACCTAATTAAATCTATGGAAATATTTGATTACACCTGTGTAATTTATTATGCAAAGTTGCTCTTTCTGACAAATGGAAGCTGCTTCGATAAGTGGGATTGTAACAGAAGGGTTTTCGTCAGGCAAACAAACCCAGCTGGGAGCCTGCCCATGGCTATCCTCCCTCAGCATGATACCCCATCATGCAGACTGGGGGAGAGTGCCCAGGGGAAGGAAGGCTCGGTGTCCTGTGTCCGTCGGCTCATGCAGACTGGGGGAGAGTGCCCAGGGGAAGGAAGGCTCGGTGTCCTGTGTCCATCGGCAAGCCATGAGACCTTAAGCAGGTCCTCTCTCAGCTCTGGAGCAGCCCGTCCAGCCTTCCTAATAAGAAGGGTCCTGGCATTTGCCCGGTATTTTAACATCCACGAAATGCCTTCACATCCATCATCTTTTGTGATCGTCATCCTAACACAAAGTTTGAAAAGCCCCTTACTACTACAAATGTTTTCATTGGACCAGTGTTTGTATATTCTTAAAGCCTTTCCTGACAGGTCCTCGCAATGTATCTGTGAAGTTATGGATGCCGAAGCTCCCCGATCCTTGCTTGATGATGAGAACAGGATAGGAGGGGCAGAAGGGCGGAGAGTCCTGCCACGTTACCCAGCAGAGCTGCCCCACTGTGGGGCTGAGATTGGAGCTCAGGGATTCTGCCCCTGTTTAGTGCCCTCCTTCTGCTGTTCTCAAGGTCTAAGTCACTGCCCTTTAGCCAGCATGGACTTCTGCTCAGTTCCTCTGCTTAGCAGTGTCTAAGGGGCAGGAGGAGCAGGTGCTGTTTCTTTCCAGAAGCAACACGTTGCCGTCGGAAGAATAGGGGTCTCATAGGACTCCTGGAGCCTGGTTTCGGGCCTGCCATGCATTAGCTGTGAGAACTGTGGTGTTAAAAGTACTCATCACTTTTGAACACCCACATGAGTTGGGTGTAGTCCGTGTTTCTTAACACTGTGAACTGTTGCTATGAAGCCTGCTCTCCCTGTAAGGAAACCGAGGGTTTGAATGGGAGGTGGTGTGCTCAAAGCCCCAGGCAGGCTAGCAATCGTGGAGGCTGGGATTTGTCTCGGGGCATCTTTGGGCCAGGCAGCCTCCTCACTGCACCAGGCCTGCAGGAGCTTGGGAGCTCAGGGCAGGGGAGTGGGGGCACTCCAACACCCTGGGCCTCCTGTTCCCTGGAGGAAGCTGAGGGACATGGCCACAAGGGCCGGCAACTTCTGCTTCAAGTGGAGGAATGCCCTGAGGAGAGCAGGAGCCCCGCACTGGACCTGGGGAAAGCTCTGGTGATGCACTGGCCCCACATGGCTCGGTGAGTCCCTGAACCTGCTGGGTGGGCCTGGGGAAGGCGCCCTTTCTTCTGCTGGCTTTAATCAAGACAGGCCCCACTCACTCAGCAGACAGGAAGCCTGCCCGGCTCCATGTTAGGAAGAGCAATGCATTATAGATCATCTCCTGAGACTCTCATCTTACCGACAAAGACACAGAGGCTCAGAGAGGTTAATTAATTTGCCTAAGGTCACACAGTAGGTTAATACCCGACTAACAGAACCAAGTGCAGGCCAAGGTGTCCTGGCACCTGGTCAAGAGATGTCTCTATTACCCGAGCTTCCAGATACCTCCCCTTCTGGTGGTAAAATTGCCAACAGAAGGGGCGAAGCTGTAAAGGTATTAGGACAACTCCATTTAAACCAGGGTTTTTGACACAGTCTTTGGAGGATCTCATGTAGAACGCTCTCCAGGGCTAACTTCAGTGCAAAGCGTGGAGCTCTCTGCACTCCCCATGCATCCCCAAAGGTCCCCTTATTCCAGGATCCAAAAACTCCTTCTAAGCCTCAAAAACCCGCAGCAGGACCAGGCTCTGATTTCTTCTGGGACAAAGAACAGCCCCTACTGGGACTGCTCCAAGTATGGAGCTGAGAGAAGAGAAAGCTCGTTCTGGGACTGGAGTTGCATTTGCCGTAAAGGGGAAGGGGGCCTCTTGACAAGCGCGGGAACCAGCTACAATCCGTTGGTTTAACTGTTTTCCTTCATCTCGTGTGTTGATGCTTATTATTCGGTTTGTTATCTGATGGTTGTTTAATCTATATTTTGTAATTACTCCCCTTCTGTCTTTCTCTTGGATGGTCATGCTTTTTTGCTGTCGCATTGAGGCACTGACCTACATTTCCGCAGGCACGGAAGCCAATTATTTCAAGTGGTGTTTTGTGAGGCGACTCCCTGGCTGTGATTTGGGGGCCCTGTCCCTCTGGTTTGCAGCCCTCCCTGAACTTACTCCACTCACTGGGATCCCTGAAGCCTCAGAGGCCAAAGAAATAGGAAGGACTTGCCTAGCTGGCCGCTTGCTTCCTAGGGGGTGGGAGGGCAATGGTGGGGATGGGAGTAAGAGAATAAGCTTGGCAGGCAGGGGATGGGGGGTCTGGGGAGGGGCACGGCAGTGTGATGGTTTCAGGGCTCAATTCACAGCAGGCAGAGTCTGAGTGAGCAGTTGCAAGGCTGGCCATGTCTGCTTGAGCTGTGCATTGGAAGAATGGGGACCGTGTTCTCCAAGAGAGAACTGTGTATGTTCTAGTGCACTTACAGGCAGAGTGGAAAACCTATTTAAAATTGGGGCTTCTCAGAAAATCCAGGCCACGCTGTTGCTATTCTTAGGTAGCCCCTTGGGTTTCTGAAGGGAGCATAAAGGGAGAGAGAGCTCTGTGGCTGCACTGCAGGCCTGGCCTTGCCATTCCCATGCGGTACAGTCCGCCATCACTCAACCTTTCTGAACCGAAATTGGGATTTATCATGAGGATGTTAATGCCTCAGAGATTACTGTGAAGATCAAATGGATTATACTGCAACTAGCCCTTCACTCTCCTGGGCAACAACCTTAGTATCTGAACTTAGGAACTAAAAAGATTAACTAAAATGATATTTTTTTCACATCTTAAAAAAAAACTGCTCTCTTAGTACTTGCTATGTATAACTCAAGAACCAGCAGATCCAGATAATGCTGTCCTTGTTACCATAACCCTCACTCTGAAGCCAGGAGTCAAACGGAGCTGGAGTGCGCAGGGCCTTGTGTGTGAAAGTGCTTTGTGGACTCAAAGTGCTCACAAATATTGGTTTATGCATTCAGTCACAGAACACATGTTTGTTGAGCGCCTGCTGTACCACAAGCATCCTGGCGAGAGCTGGGAACACACGGTAAAGGAGATCCCAGGGTCCCTGCCGTGCCGCGCTCACGGGCACTGGGGAGAGACTGACAGGTAAAGCCAGGCAGTGCGGCCACCGCTCCCAGAGGATGCGTCCAGCCTTTCTGCACCCCTGGGGGCGCCTGTGCTGAAGAGATGGTGAGTAGGCAAAGTCAGGGCATGGGAAGGTCTCTAGGCACACAGATTCATTCATTCATTTGTTCACTCATTCATTCATTCATCCAAAAACTATTTGCTGAAACCTGCTGTTCCCGGTGCTGCAGGTAGGGAGGGTGTGGTAGGAGAGGGAACTGCGTTTGCCCCATGGAGCTTGCTTTCTGGCTGGAGGTATGTACTTGTTCAGGTAATGCGAGGTGCTGTAACAGATAAAGCCCCAAATCCCAGTGGCAGAATGCTACATAAATTCATTTTGTATTCATGTAAAATTCAGAGCGTGTTCACGGAGCTCATCTGCATGAAGACGGCAGAAAGGGGAAGGGAGCCTGGAGGATTGTGTGTGTCTCCTGTGTCACCCTTTGCAGGGGCCTCTGTGGGTGTCTCTCTGTGTGACGGTGTGACTGCCCCTAGGACACTACAGCCACCTGCTGGTGCTGATCTGGGAGGCCAGGCCTGCAGGCACCCTGCACAGATGCAGTGGAGCTGTGCGGGGCATGTGCTCCCAGGAGTAGGGCCAGAGGTGAGGGTTTGGGGAGGTGCGGACCTTTATTGAGTTTGACAGGCAATGCCTTCCTCAGGAATCTGTATCCATCGCATCCCAAGGTCCTGACAGGGTGGAGGCTGCCTATTTGTCATTTTGGGCTCCCCTTGTCCTGGGAAATCCCTGTACAGTAAGAACACAGCCACTTGGGGCAGTGAACTGGTGGGGTATGTGGAGAGGGGAAGAGGGACAATGGGGCTGGCTGCCCCTCCCGCCACCCTTCCCCACAGTGGCAGCTCAATGCCACGCACCCCAGCCTGGCTGTCTCTTCATATTCCGTGCTATGCAGAGACCATTGTGAGGCTCACTAAACTCACCCATTCTGAAAGTAAATGAGATAAATAACCCTTGATAGGGCAGTGGTGGCAGCACACTGCATCAAATCTGGCGGCTCTGTCATTCGCAGAGCTGGAGGAGACTGCAGTCCCAGGTAGAGGAATCCAGCAAAGAGTGTTCCCGTGCTGACTCATAGGGCGCTGTATCTGAGCCTTAATGACGGCAGATCAATGGTCTAGAAAGTACAATCCTTTTCCTAGTAACCAGACAGGCACACATTCTCTCCAGACTCCAGAAGGGAAGCACCAACAATTTTCAATTAGTATTTTACATCCCGCTACTTTGTAATTACAAACAATTAGATCAGAACACAGCACAGGTGACACACACGCAGCCGCGCCTGCAAGGGAAGTGGCTCTGGCAGGGCTCGGTGCCAGCACCCTCCCTGCAGATGGAATCTCTCTCCTGGAGCAGAGGTCTGTGGGTGGGGAGCTCTGAGGGGTGAGCCCTGTGGAAGGTGCCTCATGCAGGTCCAGGGTGGCAGGTTCAGAGGGGGCTCAGTTACTGCTGAGGCCTGCGGGTTGCTGTGGGAGGGGCCACCACCCCCTCCCCCTGCCACACAGCCGCACCCAACTGTGTGCCTGAAGACTGGAGCCCCAGCCCTGTCTCTGTCCTGGTCAATAAGGCGCCCTCTTCTCAGCCTGAGTGCCCGCCTCCAGCCTCAGAGTGGGCATGAGTATTCCTCTTTTCTGTCTCCAGGGGCTCCTGGGGGCATCGGGGCGAGCCATGGGGGTGGCAGCCTGGTGTGCATCCAAGTTGGTGCTTCTCAAGGGTGAGCTCCTCAGGCCACCTGCGCTAGCTGGTTGGGTACTTGTTACACCTGCCAGTCCCTGGGCCTGGCCCCAGACACACTGGGTCTGAATCTCTGCAGGTGCGGCCTGAGACTCCACAGACCAAGTTCCCGGGGTGGATCTTTCACACACGATGGGCAGAATGACAGCCTACGGAACCCCACTAATCCCAAGAACCTATGAATATGCACCTTAGGTAGCAAAAGGGGCTTTGCAGATGGGATTATGGTTACGGATGGGGATTACCATGGATTATCTGGGTAAACCCAATCTAATCACATAAGTCCTTAAAATAAGAGAATCCTTACCAGCTGTATTCAGAGGCAATGGGGAAGGTGTTTTGAATGACACTCTATCAATTTAGCTGGTAACTACTGTCCCAGTTGCTGAGAGGCTTGGACGAAAGAGCACCAGCAGGGAGTCCATGTCCATGGGGCTTCTGGGACCTCGCCAGTCCTCAGAGGTTGGACCGTGGGCATGGTGTCAATGACACAACCCTAATGTGAAGATTTAGGAGTTTTTGGCACTTACAGATCTGAGGGAGTACATGGTACATGGAAATCAGGGGCGCAGGCGGAGAGAGAAAAGAGACCTCTTGGCCAACGCCTTTATTGGGCCCCGTGTGTTATCCAAACAGTGCGTTATCCAAACAGTGCATTATCCAAACAGGTTTCCTGTGGGAGCTTTAATCGGTGGGTTCAGAGCAAGCAGGCACAAGTTCCAGGAGGTCATACTGTGAATGAGAAGTGGTCCCTTTAAGTTCAATGGCAAATGTCTGAATGGTCCTTTTAAAGAAGTGTGGGAAAGCAAGAGTCCAGCATGGCAGGCAGGAGAGATGCCTCTACATTTTATCTCTGGCCCCTGGCTGAAGCCATTGGGTGGGGTATAGTATTGGGAACTGTGTCAAGGGTGACAGAGCCCTGCTTCTTGTATGAGAAAGTTAAACTTACTATTTTTTTTTTTTTTGAGATGGAGTCTCACTCTGTTACCCAGACTGGAGTGTAGTGGCCCATCTCGGCTCACTGCAACCTCCACCTCCCAGGTCCAAGTGATTCTCCTGCCTCAGCCTCATGAGTAGCTGGGACTACAGGCACGTACCACCACACCTGGCTATTTTTAAATTTTTTATTTTGCCGTGTTGGCCAGGCTTGTCTCAAACTCGAGACCTCAGGTGATCTGCCCACCTCGGCCTCCCAAAGTGCTGGGATTACAGGTATAAGCCACCGTGCCTGGCCTAAACTTACCATATAAACATGGATGCGAAGTCAGCATACAGTTGCAAGCACTCACTATAGAAGGGTCAGAGATACAACATGAGAAGGACCCCCTGACCTTGCTGGCTTTGAGGATGGAGGAAGGGGCCAGGGTCTAAGGATGGAGGGTGGCCTCTAGAAGCTGGGGAAGGCAAGCAGAGTGGGCTCTCCCTTAGCATCTCCAGAAAGAGATGCAGAGACCTGTGGTGTGCACGCACCTGAGACCCATGCTGTGCTGGACTCCTGATCTGCTGGACTGCAGACAGGGAGTTTGCAGTAGTAAGCCACTACACCATGTGACTTGCTGCGAAAGCAGCAACGGGAACCAGACACACACACTGGGTTCCTCCTGCCCTCCCCCCTGCCAAGGGTACATTTTACATTTTTAAAATTAATTAATTTATCTTAATAGACTTTACTTTTCGAGCAGTTTTAGGTTCACAGAAATACTGAGTGGAAGGTACAGAGAGTTTCCGGATACCCTCTGCCCCAGTACATGCACAGCCTCCCCCAGCAGCAACATCCTCACCACAGTGGAACATTTCTTACAAGTGAGGAGTCTTCACTGACATCATCATCACCCAAGGCCCATGGCTGACATCAGAGCACACTCTTGGTGCTGCGCATTCTTTCAGTTTGGTGGAAGGTATAATGGCACGGATCCACTGTTACAGTCTCATGAGGGACTTTAAGAACCACAGTTTCTAGATAAACTAACATGAGGGTCACACCTGAGGTCTGGACACCCTGAAAACAGCCCCATGTGACTGAGGGACAACAGTCCTCATTTCCTTCTTCCCTGAGCAGACACAGCATCCAAGCCAGTGAGCACTCACAGCCCTGTTGACTTAATGAGGGTCATGTTATCTGTTTCCTTCGTGGGCAGGCCAAAGGTCCTAAAGGGTATGAGCACTGTGTAGGTTATCTTTGAACCCATTTGATTGTTCACTTGCTCATTCATTCATCAAGAGTGACTGAGCAGAGGCCAGGCATGGTGGCTCATGCCTGTAATCCCAGCACTTTGGGAGGCTAAGGTGGGGTGGATCACCTGAGGTCAGGAGTTTAAGACCAGCCTGGCCGACATGGTGAAACCCCGTCTCTGTTAAAAATACAAAAATTAGCCAGATGTGGTGGCTGGCACCTGTAATCCCAGCTACTAGGGAGGGCGAGGCATGAGAATTGCTTGAACCTGCGAGGTGGAGGTTGCAGTGAGCAAAGATCGCACAACTGCACTCCAACCTGGGTGACAGAATGAGACTCCATCTCAAAAAAAAAAAAAAAAAAAAAAAAAGAGTTACTGAGCAGAGCCTGTGAGTGGAATAGACTGGGCTTTGTGTGGGGGCGAGATGGGAACATGAGAAGGTGAGGTTGGAGCACACAGAGGTAGAGATGACATCTCTGAAATGAAGGCATTCACGTTCAAAGAACGGACCTGGAAGCTGGAGAAATATGTTGTACGGAGCTAGATGTAATCAAGTGACTATGTGGTAGCCTGCAGGAAGTTCAAGGGGGAAGTGGTGAGCTCTCTAGATACAGTAGGGTTTTCTAAGAATAGAAAATGTCAGGGTGGACAGCCAGCAAGGGCAGAGGGAACAGAGGTGCCCAGGCACAGAGGAGGCTGAATCTGTTGTCACTTACCTGCTTTCTTAAAGTTGTCTCTCCGTCACCCACAATGTGCTGAAAACATCTGACTTCACTTTTTCAGCTGCTTTTCTGGCTAGGTCATGGGAGGATGCCCCATCCTGAGCCAAAGGTTGCTGCAAGAAAGTCAGATGGGACTTTTGGAAAAGGTTTTCTTCTGAATAAGACAGCTGGAAGAAAACACTGCTCTTCTCACTCTTGGACGTGGCCATGTCTACATTCTGAGCTGGCAGTGGCTTCAGCAAACATGCAGGGAGAGGGCTGCAGTCTCTGAGGGCAGCAGGGCAGAAAGCCTGCGTGCAGCCCCCGATGCAACCACTCAGTGGCTGCATGAACCCGAGCACTGGCCTGCATCCGAGCGTCTAGTTGGAATCTGAAATAGTGATTGTGCCCATAGATTGTGTCCCCATTATGGGGATTTCCCGTGACCTGCAGCCCAGCAGGTGGAAAGATGACAACGTGAGGCAGGCTGGTGACGAGCCTCTGCAGTCAACACTGGAATTGCATGTGGTCACTCGACATCACAGGGGGTGTGTTGGGCGACACCCTCTGAAGCTGCCGCCCTCTTCGAAGGCCTCTTGACACCTCAGATCCCACCGATGCCCTATTTCATGTGTCAGTTTTCATCGACAATCCCTGTGTGTGGTGTTTGAGTCTGAAATAAGTGCTGCTCCTGCCTCAACCCCACCCCCCTGCTGCCTCCCCACACATGGGAGAGAAGCCAGCAGCTCCAGCTCCTGGCCAGGGAGCTGCCAGGGGCAGCCAGGGGCAGGCCTTCTGTGAGGGCTCGGGAGACACACACTCATTCCTGTTATCTGTTTATGAATTGAGGAAGAATTAATTTGCTGATTGAGCAAGCAATCTCTCTCTCTCTTTCTAGGACATTAGTTGACCTTTATTCGTGTCTTCAGTTCCCTGAAATAATTAAGAACCAGAGCAACAGATGATTTGCGGTTCGATCTTGATGGCCACTGCTTTGAAATGTGGTTTTTGGAAAGTCTGAAGTTTGGCTGTAGAGCAATTTTAACCCTGGGTCACAGCGCCGAGGCACATCAGGGCCAGGCCTCTGCACCTGCCGGCCCTCTCGCCGCTCTGCAGCTCACGTGGTACAGCTTTCTTAGGGGATTCCTGATGCTCTGTGAGGCTGAACCAGCAGGCAGGGCTGAGGATGAAAGGGCTCCCCCTCCTCCCCGGCACGGCTGCACCCACAGCCATCCAGCATGATGGGAGGTGACACTGTCCCTGGGCCGAGAGTCCTTCCTTCTCCATTTCCTACTTGGTTTCTTACCAGGACCTTGGCAATGTCCCGTGAACAATGGTTCTTTGTCCCTGGCTGAGTTCAACCATTCAGTAAAGCAATCCTCTCATCTGAGCCTCCAGAATTCCTTCACTATTGCTGTCAATTTTTCTTTCTTTCTTGGATATTTTTGTTTACCTTTCATTGTTTACTAAACAAAACGTTCCTCTATAGCTGGTGGCCCACACCCTGCGGGAGCTATTTCTGCCCAGCCCCCAACTTCTGCATTCCGACCTCAGCATTACCCCAGCAGTGGTGGCTGTTGACTTGGTCACAAGGCCTGGCCATAGCTCCGCTTGTGGTCTGGCCTGGGGAAGCCCATGGAACTGTGTTTCTCTGCCTTCCTGGAGACCTTGGCATGTTTTATCTGTGTGACCTTGACAAAGCTGACTCCATGGTTCTTAACTTATGCTTCAGTTTGCTCCCTAGTTGTCTCATAAGGAAGGTCATGTGTCTGAGAGCTTTGTATAGATTGTGTAGGATAACCTGTAGCCCAAAACGCAAGTGTTTGGTTTTATTCCTGTTACAGGAAAAACAGGAAGGATCCCTCAGTTATTTCTGGAGAAGAAAGGAAACCAGGCCAGTAAGCAGGGAGTAATTCCTACTCAGGTGAGGGAGGGGCATCCACACTTTGTTATGTTTGGAGATCCTTCGTGTGCCCAGACACTCTGCCACATGCCCTTGCCACACATAGAGCAATGCCCCTTGGGACCCAAGGCAGGTAGGGGCCCGAGAGGTTGGAAAGGAGGGGAGCATGATAGCGAGGGCTCAGGCACAGCAGTTCCGTGCCTGGCATCCATGCACTCTATCCTCCCACCAGCCCGCAGGCCACACACGCTTGTGACCTCTGTTCTGCTGGACACTGCAGCAGGGAAGCCATGTGTCCAGGCTGGGGTTGCACAGCTAGCAACCAGGGCATCTGGGGTGTGTGCCCACGCACTCCCACCCCAGAAAGCACCCCGATCCAGGCAGAACACTGCCTCTGAGATGCTGCACCATCTCCATCTCGTCAGCTCAAGCCCCTGGGCTCCAGGCCCACTGGACATCTCATCTGGGTGATTGGCCAGGGCCTCCCACCCAGGGACAGAGAACCCTCATTGCTTTTCTCCAGCGAGGAGGCTCAGGTGCCGGCAGAAGCTGGCTCAATGCATGTTAAGAAAACTAAGGCCCAGGCAAAATGGGCCTCAAAATGGGGCTCCCTGACCCCTAACCTCTCTCACATCCTGCTGCAGTGGCCCCACGGCCAGCCCCAGGTGTCAGCACCCAGTTCCCAGCCCCTCATCCTGTGCAGACAGTGGAGCTGTTCTCACAGAGTTAACAGGAATTCTGGGTGGAAATACAGCTGTAATTACACACTAATCAGCCTGCACTTTGACCCACTTCTTTGTAGGCAAAAATCAGTAGATACTGCCCATGCATATCCCAGTCGCTCCTGTAGACATGCTCTCTGACATTAGGGTGGCACGGCTTTTGTTTAAGAATTGATCAGACAGATCCTGAATGCCAGTGAGACAGCCAATGCCAGCCAGTTTGAAGACCCCCACAGAAGGACGGAACCAGCCTGAGAATACAGCTTCTTCATCTCCCCATCCCACTACCCCACCCTGCACTTTTTGACCAATCAATGATCTCCACACTTCAGCCCACTTCCAAACCCTTAAGAACCCTAGTCCCAAACTCCTCTTGGAGATGGATTGGAGGTTTCCTCTTTTGTCCTCAATGTGGGGCCGTATAATTCAACCTCTGTCTCTGCAGCAACCCTTGTCTTGGTGCATCATCGGGCAATGGACCTGTTACAATTACAAGAGAGGGAGTGGAGGCTCGGGGAGAAGGCAGAGGACTGGTGACCGGTAGGAGAAGAATCTCGTGAAAGTGGGTTGGTGAGGGCTGCACAGGAGGAAGGAGCAGGTCAGAGGGTGCAGTGCCATAGTGTGGGGGTCCTGCGGCTCATGGAACACACAGACACCAGAGGGGGCAGGAGACAGTCTTCATTCTCTGGAGAAAGAATCCTCACTAATTAAGCATATCTGCCTGGACACTCAAGGGGCCCCTTAAAACACCCACTGCTTTGAAAATGGAGCAGCATGTCTCAGGTGCCTCCTGACCCATCAGGGCTGGTGCTTCCTTGGAAGGAGCTATTCCTCTTGCTGGAGACTCTTTAAAACAACTTTTCTTAACACTTCTAATAATTCTGCTTGACCTGAACAGAGACAAACCTGGCTTGGGAATTGAACTGTGGATCTGTTAATTGAGAGCTGGCAGCTTTCAAATGCACCCCTGAGGTGAGGAAGCACTTCCCACCTCTCTCGGCGCCTCTTCTCTTTATTTCACTTGTCCTTCAACTCACAAAATGGTTCCTTATTATCCAGGAGCTGCAAAGAGCAGTAGTGGTTTTCCACATGTTACGAGTGGTAGGGAAAAGGTGAAGGCTGCCACCGGTGCACCTGCCTCCCAAAGAATGACAGAACTGGACAGACACTGGCCTGGCGTTGAGAGACAGGCACTTTGTGAGGTTACAGGGGATGCTGCTGATCCTGGCCTCACACCTGCTGGGAGCACCACCTGCCTGTCACTTTGCATGTGCGCACACACCCACAGAGGCTGTGAAGGTGACGGCTTTTCCCTACCATTTTACAAGACAAATGAAAATACTCTTTATAAGAGAAGTGAAAATAGATGGGTTGTTTCGTTTCCTCCAGAAACAAAACAAAATAAGCCCACTTAATCTTCAGGCGGCCTGCATGTTACCTGTCCTGCTGCTCCAGACTGTGGTTTAGCATCTATAATGATGATTTAGGGTCCTTGATGCCAGAAACCTCTGACATTGAAACTGGAATTGTAGGATTTAATACAAGCTCCTTTCTAAACAAAGATGCAACACACTTCCTCTGACTTGGGGAACTGAGCAGACCTTGAGAAGACCTCAGAGAAGCTAGAGGTTTGAAACCAGAAGTGGGACTCAAGAATTTTGCCTTGTAGATCACGTTTTCTGCAGCTGGCTTAAAGTATTTAAAACATTTCAATATCTCTGGAATCCATAGTGTTTCTACCTTGATTTATCTCAGGGTTGGAAATAGAACCATGATTTAAAATAAAGGATAATTTAGTGTCTAAATCTGGTGGCTGAATCCAGCCCCTGACACCCACAAATGGGGTTTGAGTGGCCAGTTGACCTGGCTGCGGACTGGGGTCAGCATAGGGGCCACAGCCTGGATTCCCTGCCATGTGCTGCATCTGCGATGTGAACCTGTGCTGGATTCCCTGCCGAGTGCTGCACCTGCGATGTGAACCTGTGCTGGATTCCCTGCCGAGTGCTGCATCTGCGATGTGAACCTGTGCTGGATTCCCTGCTGAGAGCTGCACCTGTGATGTGAACCTGTGCTGGATTCCGTGCCGAGAGCTGCACCTGCGATGTGAACCTGTGCTGGATTCCCTGCTGAGAGCTGCACCTGCGATGTGAACCTGTGCTGGATTCCCTGCCACGTGCTGCACCTGCGATGTGAACCTCTGCTGGATTCCCTGCCGAGTGCTGCACCTGCGATGTGAACCTGTGCTGGATTCCCTGCCGAGTGCTGCACCTGCGATGTGAACCTGTGCTGGATTCCCTGCCGAGAGCTGCACCTGCGATGTGAACCTGTGCTGGATTCCCTGCCACGTGCTGCACCTGCGATGTGAACCTGTGCTGGATTCCATGCCACGTGCTGCACCTGCGATGTGAACCTGTGCTGGATTCCCTGCCGAGTGCTGCACCTGCGATGTGAACCTGTGCTGGATTCCCTGCCGAGTGCTGCACCTGCGATGTGAACCTGTGCTGGATTCCCTGCCATGTGCTGCACCTGCGATGTGAACCTGTGCTGGATTCCCTGCCGAGTGCTGCATCTGGGAAGCCTGAGAGACCATTGCTCACCAGTTAAGGTTGGTGCTCTAAGCAAGACGACATTCCATCAAGGTCTGCCCAATTCCTCAAAGCAGATGAAGTGTTTTACATCTATGTTTAGAAAGGAGCTTGTGCCAAATCCTACAATTCCAGTTTCCATGTCAGAAAGAGAATGGTGGAGTGTGTTCTTAAAATCTAACTGCAGTCATTTCTGTGACATTTAAACCTACCTTCCTCCACTCAGATCTCTGTCAATAGAGAGCGACGTTGCTTTGCTCTTCCCCAGTACATGGCACACGCCCTTTCCAGGAAACTGCTTGCCCATTACTTCCACAGTTAGATGTTGCTGCTACTGTTAACCAGCTTTATCAAGGTGTAACTTGCACTTAATATGAGTTACCAGCCTGGGTGTGGGGCTCACACCTGTCATCCCAACACCTGGGGAGGTCGAGGTGGGAGCATCACTTGAGGCCAGAAGTCAAGACTAGACTTGTCAACATAGTGAGACCCCAGGTCTACAAAAAAATTAAAAATTAGCTGGGCATGAAGTTGCATGCCTATTGTCCCAGCTACTCAGGACGCTGAAATGAGAGAATCACTTGAGCCCAGGAGGTTGAGGTTGCAGTGAGCCATGATCACACCACTGCACTTCAGCCTGAGCGACAGAGTAAGATCCAGTCTCTCAAAAAAAAAAAAAAAAGTTACCAATGTTAAGTGTGTCAGTGGATAAATTTTGACAAATATATATGGTAGTGGACCTATTACCACAATCAAAATAGAGAAGATTTCTCTAATGTCCCATTTCAGCAGTTCCCTCCCGCAGTCCCTGGTTCTTGGCAACCACTGATCCATTTCTGTCACTAATTTTTTTTTCTAGAATTCATGTACATGTAGTCATACAGTATAGTCTTTTGTGTTTCTTCTTTCATGCACCATAATGCTTTTGGGATTCATCCATGCTTTTGCATGCATTAGTTCATTCTTTTTCTTCACTGAGTAGTATTTCATTGTATAGATGTGCAATGATTTGTTTGTTTTGCTTTTTACAATTTTGAGCTATAATGAATAAAGCTGCTATGAACCTTCCAGTAGAAGTGTTTGTGCAGATATACATTTTAATTTCTCTTGGATAAATACATAGAAGTGGGATTGCTGGGTCATATGGTAAGTGTAAGTTTAACATTATAGAAAACTGCCAAATAGTTTTCAAAGTGCTGTACCATTTTTGCATTCCCCCCAGTAATATATGAAAGTTTCAGTTGCTTCACCTCTCCTCCAAAGTTTGATATAGTCAGTCTTTTAAATTGTAGCCATTCTAATGAATGTGTAACGGGTTTCTCATGGTTTTAATTTACATTCTACTAGTAACTAATGAGTTTGAGTATCTTTGTCATTTTTTTTGTCATCAAGTATCTTTGTCATATCTTTATTGATAAATATGTTTGCCCATTTTATTTTATTAATTCTATTATATTATTTGTGTTCTTATTACTGAGTTGTAAGAATGTTTTAAATGGACAGACATCAAATATACATTTTGCAAATATTTTTCCTAGTCTGTGTCTTGCTGTTTTTTTTTTTTTCTAACAGTGTCTTTTAAGGAACAAAAATTTTAATTTGATAAAGTACACTTTATAGAAAGTTTTATTTATAGTTTATATTTTTATGTCATATTTGAGAACTCTTTGCCTAACCAAACATTAAAATGTTCTCTCTATTTTCTATTTCTTAGAAGTTTTTTACATTTAGTTCCTACGGTCAGGTCTATGAACCATTTTTAAACTTCTTTTTGCATATGACGTGAGATAAAGGTAAAGGTTTGTTTGTTTTTGCATATAGCATCCAGATTTATAGCATCATTTGTAGAAATTACTATATATGCCCATTGAATTGCCCTGGCACTTTTGTAAAAATCAATTGACAGTCTAGGTATATGTCAGTCTGGGCTGTTCCATTGACCAACTGCATATTTTATTGATTAGTATATGTTTATTATGAGCCGAGGAATCACATAATAAAAGGTCTTCATTTTTGTTTTTACTTTTCAAGGTTTTAGGGGCTACATTAGGACTTTACATTTTCAGATACAATTTTTAACAGTGTTATGAAGATATAATTTGCTACCATAAAATTTACACATTTAACATGTACAATTCAGTACCTTCAGTGTATTACAGAGTTGTGCAACTTTCCACCACTAATTCTGGAATATTTTCATCACCCCAAAAATAAACCCCTTACTCATTAACATTCACTTCCCATTCTTTCTCTGCCAGCCTCTTGCAGCTACTAATCTAGTTTTTAGGTCTATAGATTTGGCTATCCTGAATGTTTCCTATAAGTAGGATCATGCAGTATGTGTTCTTTTTTTGTGACTGGCTTATTTCACCTACCAGAATGTTTTCAGGATTCATCCATTTCTCAGCACATGTCAGTACTTCATTTATATCTGATACCACTTCAGTATATGGCTAGATCACATTTTGTTAATCCATCTATCGATTGATGGACACTTGTATTATTTCCACTTCTTGGCTATCAAGTACACTTTTTTGGGTAGGAGTACATTTTCATTTCTCATATTCCTAGGAGTAAAATTGCTAGATTATACGGTTACTGTATGTTAAGCACTTTGACGCACTGCCAAACCATTTTCCACAGCACTGCATCATTTTACATTCCCATCAGCAATGTGTGAGGGTTTCCATTTTTCTAATTTCTCCTTTTCAACACTTAAATTGCCTGTCTTTTTCACTATAGCTAGTGGGAATTAGGTGATTTTGATTTGCATTTCCCCAATAACTAATGATGTCAAACATCTTTTCATGTGCTATTGACTATTTATTTATCTTCTTTGGAGAAATGTCTTTTCAAATAATTTGCCAATTTTAAAATTTTTTGTCTTTTTATTATTGATATTCTCTTAAAAATTATTTTTATAAACATCCTTTATATAGTCTGAATGCAAGTCCCTTACCAGGTATATGGGTTTCAAATACTTTTCTTATTTTATGATTTTTCTTTTTGTTTTCTTGATAGAGTCCTTTGAAACACAAAAAATTTTAATTTTGATGAAGTCTAATTTATCTTTCTTTTTTTGGTTGCTTGTGCTTTAGGGGTCCTATCTAAAATCCCATTGCCTTGCCAAGATCATGAAGATGAACACTATTTATTTTCCCTAAGAATTTTATGGTTTTAGCTCTTACATTGACAACTCAATCCATTTTGAGTTGATTTTTGTATGTTTTGAGGCAGCAGTCTGACTTCATTCTTTAGCATGAGGTTATCTGGTTGTCCTAGCACCATTTGAATCATGTTAGTGCCATTGTTGAAAATCAACTGACCATAAATGTAATGGTTTATTTCTAGACTCTCAATTCTAACATACATCTATATATATATATCTATATATATATACACATATATGCTAGTACTATACAGTCTTGATTGTTTAGCTTTGTAATAAGTTTATAATTGGAACATGTTCTGAATATCTTCTATTAACTCTGTTGCTACAGTGGGGAGTCACATCCTAAAGTATGAGATGGTTGAACATACAACATTTGATACTGAACAGATGAGATGACAGCAGTTTATTAGTCACATATGCTCACAGTCTGGGAAGGAAGATGCCACACATTATTCAGGGCCACAGGATGATTGCACAAAGAGCAGAGTGAACCAGCAGGGGGCAGTGCAGGTAGGCTGTGTAGTACCAGAGGATGGACTGCCCCTCTTGCCACAGGAAAATGGGGTTGGCTTGTTTGAATAATTTCATGGGCTGGCAGGGAACTGAAGCCTTTAAGGTTAAAAAGCCACCCAACCTGGTAATGCTGGTTTAGTTGGCAGGAGAAGAAGTATAGCAGAGAGCCTTTCCTGATGGGTAGGGGAGCATATCTGCTAAGAGCAGAGAGACTCATGGGCCTGTATGGCTCAGAGTTGTCAAGCAGTACTTGAAATTTTAGTTCTGAAAATACAGAAAGTATAATCCTCTTTTCCAATGTTGCTCTTCTTTTTCTAGATGTTATGGCTATTTTGGGTTTCCTGAATTTATGTGTGAATTTTAGAATCATCTTCTCAATTTCTTTAAAGAAGCCAGCCAAGATTTTGATATTGTGTCAAATCTATAGAGCAATTTGGGGCTTGTTGACATCTTAATATTAAGTTCTCAGATCCATGAACATGGGATGCCTTTCCATTTATTTAGATCTCCTTTAATTTTAATAATCTTCAGACTGTAAGTCTTGCATTTCTTTTAAAAATATATCAGACAAATTCCTAAGTGTTTTATTCTTTTGAGTGCTATTGCAAATAAAATTTTAAAAAATTATTTTTAATTTTTTTTTGTTGCTTAGGATTTTCTGTATACAAAATCTTATCATCTGCAATAAGAGATGGTTTTACTTTTTGCATTCTAAACCAGATGCCTTTTATCTGACACCTTCTGCCCAGTTGCCTTGGCTGGTAACAGCTGAAAACAGCAGACATTCTTGACTTATTTCTGGTCTTGGGAGAAAGCCTTCGGTCTTTCATTATTTAGTATGATTATCAGCTTGGGATTTTTGTAGATTCCCTTATCAGGTTGGAAAAGTTTTATTTTATTTCTAGTTTGTTGATTGTTTATATCATGAAAAGGTATTGGAATTTGTCACATACTTTTTCTGCATCTATTGAGATAAAAATGTGATTTTATCCTTTTTTATTCATATTGTGCATTACATTAATTTTTACGTGTTAAGCCAATTTTGCATAATTGGAATAAATCTCACATGATCATGGTGAATTTTTAAATGTTGCTAAATTTGGTTTGCTACTATATTATTAGAAAATTTTGCATCTCTCTTTATAAGAGATATTATTAATAGTTGTGTTGTATTCTTTTTCTCTCCCTTATGGGTCACATGTACCTGCTTATTTGCATGTTTACTAATTTTTGATTGCATTCTGGTTGCATGATATGTTACATTATGAATGCTTGGGTTTTATTGTCATCCTTTAAAGAGTGACAGACTTTGTTTTACAATCAAGTCATTTGTAAGTCAGTTTGATCTTTTTGAGGTCTATCTTTAAATGGTCTTAGGGAGAGTCTACAGTAATCTTCCCCCTAGGAAATTCAACCCTACAACTGAGGTATGTCTCCTCTGGCTCTTCACCGAATGTCTTGGGTGTTCACTAAAGACTCTTCACTGTGGCTGTTTGAAATTTACTGTAGACTGCATGTTTGTTTCCTGTCCTCCCTCCTGCTAAATTTGTAGGTTAAAACCTAGCCCTTAATGGGATGGTATTAGAAGGTAGGTCCTTTGGGAGGAAAGTCATGAGGATGAGTTAATCTCATACATGGGATCAGTGCCTTCTTACAAGAAGAGACAAGAAAGAACTTGCTTCCTCTCTTTCTCTTCTCCACCATGTGAGGATATAACAAGAATACAGCCATCTGCAAACCAGGAGGCAGGCTCTCTCCAAACACTGGATCTGCTGGCTCCTTGATCTTGGACATCCTAGACTCTAGAACTGTGAGAAATGAATGTTTGTTGCTTAAGTCACCCAGTCTGTGGTAATTTGTTATAGCAGCCTGAGCTAAGATATAATTGAACATCTCCCTACCCTATACCAGCTCTGAAAATTGTTAGCTTCTAACTCCATGGTAATCTCCACCAGCTTTGTGGAGATTCAATCAAACATGCACATCCTAATACTCAGCAAACCCTTGAGAGGATACTACAGAAATTTCTGGAGCTCTTTAACTGTGAGTTCTAGATGAATCCACTGCTCTAATATCTAATCTCTGCCTCTAAACTCAGCGGGGCCAATGGGCTCTGTTTGCATTTCCCTTCCCTCACCAAACCTTGAAATTCTTTTCAGGTAGAATAACAACACAATCATAGGGCTCTTTATATGTGCTTCTGTCCTCTCAGAGATCACAAACTCTTCAATAACTGTCATCCAATGTCTCAAAACAGTTGTTTTATATATTTTGTCTTGCTGTTTATGGCAGGAGGTTAAATCTGTTCCTTGTTACTCCATCATTGCCCCAAAACAGAATTTGATAATGTTTCCTTAACTGTAATCCTTGTCAAAAATAATGAGGAGCAATCTTGGAAGGTAAAAAGGACATTTCTGAGCACCGTAGGGGAGGGAGCCTCTATACTCCGGGTCTGGTAGGGTTGTTACTGGGAATAGGGGTGGATTTCGTAGCCAAACAATTAATGCCAATGTGGAATTTGTCTCTTTTTTTTTTCCCTGGGCGAAATGGTAACTGATTTGGGTGTGTAACGGATAAATGCAGCAGAGAGAGAAACAAAGACAGAAACTTGAATATGGTCTCAAGGAGTGTTGAAGATGCTTCTTAGTCCCTTATTGGAAATGTGCTCCATTAATAGTAATTGACTGAGTGGATGAGCAAACAAGTTCCTGAGTGAATACATGGGCTATGAGCCTAAACCCTGCAATAAAGGGACCTTGATGCTTTAGAAAGCTACCCCACCATGACAGGTGACTTAGGATTGGAGCTTCATCATTAACAATGCTCTAAATAATTCATTTTGTCCACTCCTACCATTTTATAAATAAGGAGGTTAAGTGACATGCCCAAGGCCACAGGCTAATTAGTGAAAAATCAGGACCCACTCCAAGTCTCCTGATGCCCATTTGAGCACTTTTTCTAGAACATCAGCTTTTAAAGGTCTCCTAGGTTGCAGCCACCCCTAGGGTCTCAGGGTGAGCACAGGGCGGGGAGATCAGTGTGCCACAGACCGAGGGTCTGATCTGTCTTGATTAAGGCACTGTCACTGTTTCATGAGAAATGTTCCTCTCCTGTCACTCCTCAGTCCCTGATGAAGTCATATCATCCTTGCAGAGAGAGGCCTTTTGTGATGGTTCTTGCTATTTTTCATGTGGGCCCTTTCCCTGCCACTCTGTCCTTATTTCTATCTCTGTAATAAGGATTTATGACCTTCGAACAAGAAACATGGGGGTCATTACTGCTAAAGCCTCTCCTCTCTGCTCCCTTGGCCCCTGTGTACGAGGGTAGTAATGACCTGATCTGTGGGATGGTACAGCCTTCTCGGGGGGATAATACATTGCACATGAACTGAATCTGTATGGGAGACAGAATTTACCCTACTCAGGTGGTGGACAACTGAAGTGTATTGCCCATGCTGGCATTTTTTCTCTTAGAGGTATCTTAAAACTTGTTTTCATTCAGCATCTCTAAAGAACAAACTTTTTTTTCTTTTTTTTGAGACAGGGTCTTGCTTTGTTGCCCAGGCTAGAGTGCCATGGTGAGATCTCAGCTCACTGCAGCCTCTGCCTCCTGGGCTCAGGCAATCCTCCCACCTCAGCCTCCTACAGTCACATGCCACCATGCCAGACCAATTTTTTGTAGTTTTAGTAGGCATAGGGTTTTGCCATGTTGGCCAGTCTGGTCTCAAACTCCTGAGCTCAAGTGATCTGCCCACCTCGGCCTCCCAAAGTGCTGGGATTACAGGCATGAGCCACCGCATCCAGCCTAAGAACAAGCATTTAACTAGATAGCTAGGTCTGAAGTTAAGAGTGAAAAATGTGTAGGTGAACTCCAAATCTCAGATTCCCTACAATCCAGTGAGCTCCTGGGGCTCAGATAAGGGTTCTGTGGTAGCCTATTTGGGGCCTTGCCTCATCTACAGAGGCATCTCCTTAGCCACCCGAGAGGTTAGCAGCTTTGAGGAGGTTTTGGGCCAGGTGCTCATCTCTTGACAGCTTAGGTTCAGGGGTGGGGAGTCCCAGCAGGCACTCTAGCATTGGCCACCAACAAAAGAAGGGAGGTTCTTGGAGATGAGCCCCCTAAAATGTGGATGCCCTTAGTGATTGTCCTAGGGTTATTCTTTATTGTCCGCTAACGCATTAGCTACTGCACTGCTGGCACATAACACTTCAGGATTCCCCAGAATGGGAACCAGGAATGGGGATGAGGATAGACTGATGGGACTGAAAAATCTCTCCTATGGGAGGACTAGGCAAGAGGAAAAGAATCGTGGCAGTATCAGAGAAGGCCCCAGACATGGCTCTCTCATTGTATTTATTTCATTCTGCTTAGAGCCTGCCCTGGGCTGCCAATGTTTTCCTAGACAACCCAGTTTGTGTCTCTCTACACTGTTAAGTTCAATACCCGTGCCTGATAGAGTCTTGTCCATTCTTAAAAACCTTCTTGGAAGAATTCAGATGCCCCAGGGTATCCTATTTTAGAATCTAGTAACCTTTCTTCTCTGAAGAGGAAAAAAAGCATTTATTTAATTGTCTGTTTATTTTTATATTTATTAAATATGACCTGGATTCCCTAACACTAATGTTGCTCATTTCTTCCACAAATGGCCATAGGCCCAGCTCTGGAAGCGATGCACGACCTCCTTGCGTGTGACTTGGGTTTTAAAGCCAGCATGCCAGAGTTCAAATTCTGGTTTTGCCCTTTATATACCTCTCCTGTTAGCTGTACTGCAGCCAGCAGGGTATAATCAAACGTAGGGTAGATTTTCTGCACTTCACAGCAAGGCATTCTAGAAGACCACAGGCAGCAGAGTGCCCAGTGCAATCTAAAACAGTGCGATGAATTTCTCCTCATGCAGGCGCGGGAGGGCGGGCTGGGCAGGGATTCCTGGAGCAGAGCTGCCACTTGCCTGTCAAATGCCTGGACCCCGCACACCCAGGCTGCAGTCCTCAGTCCATCGTGCTGTGTGCTGTATGCTTGCAATTGCTTCACTGTGCTGACCGCGTCCATCTGCCCCTGCTATGGAAAGGGAAGGGCACCTGTCCCCTCCCTGGGAGTTCCCTGGGTGCCCTGCACCAACAGGCACTCTTGTGTTCTGGCTGCCAGCTGGGCTTCAGAAATGGAAAGAACTAGCAATAGTGGAGAGGAGGGGGGCATGGGCCAGGACATGGAGCCTTGTCTTCCTCCTGGAGTGCTGTGGGCTGGCTGCTTCTCTGCATGGAGGCACAGCTCTCTTCAGGTGTCTCTTTCCACAAAGCTTGCTCTTCATCTTGTATGTAACCTCCAGTGGGGCACTGCATGTTCCCAAAAGCTTCCATTTTACTGATTGTTCCCTCCTCAAAAAGCCGAAACATGGTGCAACCCTGGAAGGTAGATGTGACCTCCTCAAACATTTCAGACACAGATGACACTGCCCATGTTGGAGCTTAAGAACTTGTCTTTTTTTCTGTAGTGTTTCTTGTATTCCTTAAAGCTTTACAGCAATTGCTTCTAAGCAGTAATAGTCAAGTGGAAATTCCTTGTACTTGTTTCAATAGCAAAATGAAAAAAAAAAAAGAATCACCTTCCGATCCCAACATGCCTTGAGCTTCTGAAGCAGATTGCCATCCACTTTGCACGGTTCTCCCTGCCCAAGGGTTCACAGTCTCTGCCCATAGGGCACATTCTCGAAGGTTGGCACCCAGACACCTTTCCGATGGCTCCAGCACGGGCCTCCAGTCACTCTCTTTTCCTTTGTCCCGTCTGGCTTTTCTTCCTACTTGACTTTAAATTGTATGTTCGTCATTGTCTTCCTTCCCCCACCGGAACGTGAGCTCCTCGGGCCAGGGACTGCTCCTGTTTGTTCTGACTCTCTCTGGAGGCTTTGGAGATCAGATCATCCTTTTGGCCCTCTGCAACCACCTCACCCCTCTCCTCTCTGCTCTGGGCAGCAGGAAGTTGGGCCATTTGAGGGCAATAGTGGGGACTCCTGACTTTGGGCTCCAGTCAGCTCCAAGGGGAGCCCTGTTTGAAGACTGGAGGGTGGGAGGAGAGTGAATGCAGGGTCTTGATTCTCCCTGGCCCTGGTCACTCCCCTTGGGGCCTAATGGTATTATAGCTCCCCCACACATTGATTGACAGCCCTGGGAGATCTCAGCATCCATTGTGGATTTTCCTATTGAATATTTCTATTCCTGATTCCTAGTCCTTCCTATCAAATTGCCCACACATTTGTCAATATCTCCTTTATTAATTATTCCTTATATTGCTCCTCAAACTGCCTGCCCATTTGTTTCATGCCTGAAACCTGACTGATCATGGTAACCATTCTTGGCATATATTAGGGACTCAATAAATATTTATTGAATGTTTTCCAATGATTGGAAACTAGGAATCGTAACTTGTTCCATGATGGCAACAGGAGCACTTTCTTAAATGAAGAGAGATGATCAAAGTGTCCATTAACATATTGATGGGAAATGAGTTTCCAAGATATTTCATAATTTAGAAAAACACTTTCTAACTAATTACATTTCTTGTATTTCTAATCAATCAGAATGGATAATGAATTTATAGATGAGGCTTGTTCAAAATCTCTGAACTTTCAGCAGGAAGAACCGTTTTTGGTGCTTCAGCTGCTACTTTTATATTTTTTTCTCATCTTATTCTGTCTTCTCCTAAAAGCTTCAGACACAGATGTTCTCATGCAGGCTCTCATGAGCTGAATTAATTGCTTGGTTTTTAACCACATCTTAAGCAGAGGCCCCAGCAGCCAAAGGCAAACAGCGGGTCAATTTGAGCAAAGCAGCTGTCATGAGGACGGGTTTGGCTTGCTCCAATTCACAAGTGAAGGTCAGGGGCCTTTGGTGATGTCTGCCGGGCCAGAGCAATCTGGGCTTTGTGAACTGTGAAATCTAAGCAGCTGAAGATCCCTTCCAAGACAGAACACCACGTGGCTATATAACCTCCTGGGAAGAGCAGTCAACCTAGCAGGGCAGGACAGGACCAACGGGGCAAATGAATGCAAGGTCCAGATACAAGAGGGGCAGAGACAGAGCCAGGCGGCCACAGGAAGTGCTGAGTCATCTTTTCACCCACTTTCCTAAAGTAACAGAAGAGGAAGCTTTAGGTGTGAAGCTGGAAAGCTCTTGTGATCTCTCGTCCTGCTAAAAGCTGAGGAAAATTAGTTTCATATAAAAATCAGAAACAGAAAAGGATGATGGTTGAATCACATATAGGTTTTTCAACTTACCATTTATTTTTATTGTATATATTTAAGATGTACAACATGTTTCCATAAGCATTTGCACAGTGAACGATTACTATTCTCAAACAAACTGACATGTCCATCACCATCCACGGTTATTTTTTCTTTTGTGGTAAGAGCACCTAAAATCTACTCTCAGCAGATTTTTAATATACAGTGCAACAATATTAACCATAGTCTTCGTGTTCTACATTAAGTCTCTAGATCTGCTTAACCTATCTAACGGCACTTTGTACCCTTTGACCTACTTCTCCCTGTTTCCTCCACCTACCACGCCTGGTACTTCTGCTCTGTTTTTATTTATGTGAGTTTTTTCATGAAGATTTCTGTGCTCCCATGTTGAGGCATTACTGATGAGAGCCGAGATATGGAAACAACCTAAGTGCCCATCGATAGTTGAACGGAGGAGGTGATTGTGGTGTACATGAGTTACCCCTTTCCCACAGGGGAGACTTTCTGAGAACCGCAGTGGATGCCTGAAATGGCAGATAGTACCAAACTCGTAGATATTATGTTTTCCCATACATACATACCTATGACAAAGTTTAACATATAATAAATTCAATAAATATTGATATATTAGACGTAATAAGAGATTAAAACAATAATAATAATAAAATAGAACATAATAACAAGATTCTGTAATAAGTGATGTGTAAATGTGATCTCTCTCACAATTTTGTTTTTTTTTTTTTTGAGATGGAGTCTCACTCTGTCGCACAGGCTGGAGTGCAGGGGCATGATCTTGGCTCACTGGCTCACTGAAAGCTCTGTCTCCCAGGTTCACGCCATTCTCCTGCCTCAGCCTCCCAAGTAGCTGGGACTACAGGCACCTGCCACCACGCCAGGCTAATCTTTTGTATTTTTAGTAGAGACAGGGATTCACCGTGTTAACCGGGGTGGTCTCAATCTTCTGACCTTGTGATCCACCTGCCTCAGCCTCCCAAAGTGCTGGGATAACAGGCGTGAGCCACCGCACCCAGCCCACCATTATTGTACTGTATTCACCTATTTTTGGAATACAGTTGATGGTGGGTAACTGAAACCACGGAAAGTAAAAACCACGAATAAAGTGGGATTCCTGTACATATATAAAGGAGCATTATCCATACTTTATAAAAGGATAAATTTCTATCTACAACCACATGGATGAACCCAGAGGACATTGTGCTGAGTGAAATAAGCCAGACACAGAAAGAAAAATGCCTCATGATCTCACTTATATGAGGAAGCCACATAATGTTTTTTATAAGAATTTAATGAGAATGAAGAACAGAATCACATTCTTACAGCCATAGGAAGAATGTCAGAAATACATGTCTACAAAACAAATAAAGACTATAACCTTATATTTCAAAACATCTCTAGATACTTAAGAGAATAATAGAAGACATGAAAATCAGCATTAAAAGTTAGAAAATTTCAGAAAGGAGGAAATGAAATAATTGAGAAAATAAGTAGAAATACAACAAAAATAAACATTAAAATGAAGATTAAACTACAAGGAGACTTAAAAAAATAAACCAAATAGATAGTGGCTTAAGAAAAATAAAGAGTGAAAAGAAGGGGAAATTGACTTTAGTCTTTAATTCACTCAACAAACAAAAATAATTTCCAGGATTATGAACTTAAATGTGAAAAATAAAATAATAAAGAGTCTAGCACATATGAGACTATCTTAATAAACTTAAGTAGGAAAGCATAAAACAGGAAGCAAAAAAAGCAATAAATTGGATTACAATAAAACGAAGACTCTTCATCTGACCATCATGAGAGTGGAAAGGCAGGCCAGGGTATATCAGAAGATATTTACACCACTTACATTGAGCAAAGAATCTTTATCCAGAATATATACAGAGCTATCAAGTCAATAGAATAAAGGGCAAAGTACTTGAATAGACATTTCACACATCAGCATATCAAAATACACAACAAATACATGAAAATGTGCTCAATGAGTTAATTATCAGGGAAACAGAAATTAAAGGCACAATTAGGTAACACTATGCACACACTGCAATGGCTAAAATATAAAATGCTGACACCATTAAGTGTCAGAGAACACATAGAACAACTGGAATCTTTATTCTGAGGGTTGGCGTATGGATTAGTAAGACCATTTGGAAAACTGGCCGAAGATGTCTACTAAAGGGTAGTGTATACATTCGCTGTGGTGAAGCAGAAATTTCACATCTTGGTATGTACTCATCAGAAACACAAGATGCAGCAAAATCCAACCATGTACAAAACCAAACATGGCAGCATGATTCTTAATAGCCTCAAATGAGAAACAATTCAAGTATCAGTAGAAAATATTGGCTGTGCTCACATAATAAAATGCCAATAGACTGCAGCTACATGCAACAACCTCAGTGTGTTTTACAAATAAAAGGCTGAGCAAAAAAGCCAGACACAAAGCTTCTATGTACTCTACTGTTCTGCTATACTTTTCTACTTCAAGATCAAACCCGCAGAACTAATGTGTGTTATTAGACGTCAGAACAGTGTTAGCTTTAAAGAAGATGCCAGTGGTGGCTGGAACAGGATGTAGGGATTCTATTCATTATTTTTGGTGGTAGTGGTTACATGGGTGTGTTATTTTGTGAAATTCATCATCGTATACACATATTTGAGCATTTTATGTAGGTGTGCTATTAATTTAAAAGTTTATTTTAAAACTATGAGTACTTAAATATATCTGTATCTCTGTGATACTTATATAATCATATACAACTGTACTTATTTACTTAAAATTAGATTCTTCTCACACTCTATCTACTGCTCAATGTAGACTATCAAATAGGTACGCTATTAAAAAAAACCAAACCTAAACAACTCTATTAGGATTCTATTATCAGTGCTTATTAGAATTTAAGCATGCATCTGTCAGGTACCCATTAAGAAAGCTTTTAGATGAAAATTTCAAGGTGTTAATTGACCCTTCATGGGCATTTGAAGTTCACTTTCCTTTTGTAGCTTCTTTGAAGCTTTGATTGGCTTCAAAAAAGAGGCAGCCATTTATGTAAGTTGGGTCCTTGATTTAATTGTTTGAAGGTATAAAAGATCTCAGTGAATATGCTCAAAGTGAGATTGACCTGCATTTTATGGAGTTCACTAAATTTTCTTTTCCCTAAGATGTATGTATTTCCTTTACTGTCTGGAATATTTTATTGGGTATGGATTATACCATAGTAGAAGTTTTAGGTAAGCTGGAGCTCCACCACACATTCAGGCAATGGAAGAGCACACAGCCTAGGGCTGGAGACAGGAGATCCTCTCCAGAGCTGATACATTTGAGTAGGGTCAAAAGCGATGTGGGCTCCAGAGCTCTGTAAGATCACACGTTTTACTGAGAGCCTGGGAATATTTTACCTTAAAGGGAGTTAATTCTATATTCCTACCTCAGGAGTGAGATAAGTAAGTTACATAATTCAACAGGCACAAACACTTGTAGTGCCCTTTTCTAAGCCATCTTTTGCCAGATGCTGGGGATAACAAAATGAACAGATCTTCTCCACACAATGAACCCATCATACTGCAGGGAAGGCTCGCTAGCAAGCCTTCCACTAGAGTGACACAGAATGAAGGCTACCACTGTGCTGAGCACAGATGAGTCACTGACTTGCTTGACATCCTCCAAAATATCCTCAACATAAAACTTTTTACCTTGTGCTACAGTTTGGATGGAGGATTGGTGCCAGGCTATGCTAAGGGAATGAGAGTGTGTGTGTGTGAGAAAGAGAGACAGAGAAAGAGAATCTCCACAACAAAACTACTTACTAACTTTGAAAATGTTATGTGACTTCTGGTTCTATGTTCATGATCATGTTGTTTATAGGTAAGTTTCTTTCTTTCTTTCCCCTCCACATGAATTTCATTTCTTTATCTTGTCCTAAGCACTGACTAGCGACTCCAGTACAGTATTGAATAGAAGGAATAAAAGGCGGCATCCTTTCCTTGTTTTTTCAATAATTCAGTGTAAGTATGATATTCACTTTTGGGATTTGATTTACAAGAAAGGAAATTTCACGTGATTCAACAAAATAGATACAATTTATAAGATTCATGACATTTCATTGTATTTCTAACTTTCTACGATTTTTTTATTGTGAATTTTAACAAATGCTTTTAAAAAATTGTGAAGATTATGTAATTTTTCTCCCTTTTCAGTTAATGTCTTGAATTACATTGGCACTATCATCCCTGGAAAGCCCTGGCTATGGAGGATTTTTTATTTAAACAAAATAACAAAACATAAATAAACATACTCTTTAAGACAATTAGTAGGCTTTATTTTGTAGAGCAGTTTTAGGTTTATAGAGAAATTGCTCAGAGAGTGCAGAGAGTTCTCACTCACAACCCCGTCCCCCACAACTGTGGCACACCATCTTCCCTGTTATCAGCATCTTACATGAGTGTGGTCCATCTGTTACAATTGATGAGCCTGTCTTTTTTTTTTTTTTTTTTGAGACTAGTCTCACTCTGTCATTCAGGCTGGAGTGCAGTGGCATGATCTTGGCTCACTGCAACCTCTGCCTCCCAGGTTCAAGTGATTCTTCTGCCTCAGCCTCCCGAGGAGCTGGGACCACAGACAGGCACCACAAAGCCCGGCTAATTTTTTTTTTTTTTAATGGAGATGTGGTTTTGCCATGTTGGCCAGGTTGGTCTCGAACTTCTGACCTCAGGTCGTCCATCCACCTCAGCCTCCCAAAGTGCTGAGATTGCAGGTGTGAGCCACTGCACCCAGCTGAGGAGCCAGTCTTGACACCTGACTACTAACTCAAGGCCATGGCTTACATTAGGACTCACTCTTTGTGTACAGTTCTATGGATTTTGACAAATTATAGTGTCACCCAGAACAGCTTCACTGACCTGAAGATGCCTGTGCTCCACCTACCCATGATTCCCACTCTCCCCCAACCCCTGGCAACCACTGGTCTTTTTACTATCTCGATAGTTTTGCCATTTTTATAATGTTATCGTGTTAGGCTCTTCTTGCATTGCTATAAAGAAATACCTGAGACTGAGTAATTTATAAAGAAAAGAGGTTTAATTGGCTCATGGTTCTGCAGATGTACAGGAAGCAGGGTGCTGGTATCTGTTAGGCTTCTGGGGAGGCCTCAGGAAGCTTACAGTCATGGCCTCAGGAAGCTTACAGTCTTACTAAGATAAAGCAAGAACGGGCATCTCACATGGCCAGAGAAGGAACAAGGGGTGGGGGAGGTGTCACACACTTTTAAATAACCAGGTCTCGTGAGAAGTCACTCACTGTCACAAGGGCAGCACCAAGCCAAGAGGGATCCGTCCCCATGACCCAAACACCTCCCACAAGGACCCACTTCCAACACTGGGGATTACAACTCAATATGAGATTTAGAGAGGACAAATTCAAACTGTATCAGCCATATAGTTGGAATTATGCAGTATGTAGTGTTTTCAGATTGGCATCTTTACTTAGCAATATACCTTTACATTTCCTCCACATCTTTTCATAGCTCAATCACTCATTTCTTTTTAGCACTGAATAATATCCCGTAGTCTAGATGTACCCCAGTTTATTTATACATTTCACATGCTGAAGGGCATCTTGATTGCTTTCAAGTTTTGGAAATTATAAATAAAGCTGCTGCAACCATCTTTGTGCATGTTTTTGTGTATACAAAAGTTTTCAACTCATCTGGGTGAAACCAAAGCAATATGATTATTAAATTGTATATTCAGAGTATAGTTAACTTTGTAAAAGATTGCCAAACTGTCTCTCAAAGTGGCGATAGCACTGTGCATTCCCACCAGCAATGAATGAGAGTTCCTGTTGCTCCACATTCTCGTCAGCATTTGGAGATGTCAGTGTTTTGGATTTTGTCATTCTAATAAATGTGTAGTGGTATCTCATTGTTTAAGTTTGCAGTTTCATAATGGCATATGATGTTGATCATCTTTTTATATGCTCATTTTCCATCTGCCTATCTTCTTTGGTGAGGTGTCTGTTCAGATCTTTTGCTCATTTTTAAACCGAGTTGGTTACTTTCTGATTGTTCAGCTTTAAGGGTTCATTGCATACCCAAGTCCTCTATCAGTATGAGTTTTGCAAATATTTTATCCCAGTCTTTGGCTTGTCTTTACATTTTTTAACCGTGTCTTTCACAGAACAGAATATTTTAGTTTCACGGATGTCCACTTACACAATTTGTTCTTTCATGGAGTGTTGCTTTAGGTGTTGTATTTAAAAAATCATCACCAAATCCAAGATCATCTAGATTCTCTCCTATGTCACCTGCTAGAAGTTTTAAAATTTTGAGTTTTATATTTAAGTTTATAATCCATTTTGAGATTTTTGTGACACATGAATTCTGTATAGATCTCCTCTCTTTTTTGCATGTGGAGGCCCAGTTGTTCCAGCACCATTTGTTGAAAACGCTCTTTCTTCATTGAATTGCCTTTGCTCCTCCATTGAAGATAAGTTGACTTCGGTGGATCTCAAGCTAGTCACATGCCTCCAGCAATTCGTCAATTACAGTTTAAGTGTTCCTACAAGAACCGGCTGTGCAAGGGCTTCTGCCCCTGAAATGTTGCTCCCAGTAAGCTGTGATTCTTTGTACCCACCTCTGTCTCCAACTATTGCAGCATCCTTCGCCCGTGACTTCAATCCTCTGAGAGATCTCAGAAGAGTTATTTCTCAGTTTGTTCAGCTTTTTTCTTGTTGTGAGGATGGGAGTGATGGCTACAGGTCATATGGCAATGGAACTTTGAATCTGCTTTTTCTAAGTTGATTTCAAGGGCACACACCCTGTTCCAAATTTTCCCTAGACTAGAGAAAGGGATTATTTTGTTTTTCACTTAGAGGAGGAAGAAACTATCAATCATGAAGTAAGGGCACAATCATGTTTAAACCTCATCTTGCATTGCTTGGCAATGGCCCTGCATCTCTGAAAGTGTGTGTGGTTCTGTGAGGGTGGGGAGTGCTGAAGGTGGGCTCTGCTCTCCTTTTCTAGGGACTTTCTCATATTTGTATAGATTTTGATGGACTTACTAGCAAACCTGCCTTATTTTATAATACACAGCACCACTCCAGATTCATCTTGGAGGTCTCTTTCTGTTCTTCCCTCCCACCCACATGAACACTCAATGCTTACAACTGAGAATATTTCAGAAACCTGCTCCTCTCCTGGTTTGGCAGTTGGTGATTTGGATTCTAAAGCCAAGAATGCTGGGATAAGCTGAAAGATTTATAACTATGAGAGTCCCTGCGAGCGTTGGCTACAAGCACGACGGTAGCCCAACATGCACAGAGGGAAGAATGAATGACAGCAAGATGCACATGTCCAGCCATGACCTGGACAGCTCCTTGCCCCAGCAGCTGGGATCTAGTGCTGCCTCCCTCTGACTCAACTTCTGCCCTGTCTTGGGCTGCTGTTTCTGTCTGATTCTCCTGAACCTCATCCACTGTCCTGGTCCATTGACATCAGGCAGACTATCTTTCCTGCCATTCCCACTGAACTCCTGATGAGGCACTGACTTGATCCCATCTTCCAGATATAAAAACTGATGCATAGCTTGCTTAAGCAAAGCAGGTATTATTCGCAGGCCAGCTGACTAATGTCCACGTTGTGCAGAATGATGCTCCAAAATGTCACTTGCATGGGTCACTAATAACTTAGCTGCATTTCTTAACCCTCACTAAGCGCCAGGCACTATTCTCAGAAACTTGTACATCCCATGTAGTTCAATCACTGCTATGTCCTTGTGTTGTAAGTGCTACCTGCAGCGTATATATTGAAAACAACAACAAACACACAAACCAACTGGAGGCTTCGTGCTGCTAGGTTCCCTGCCCAAGATTATACTGCCAGCAAGCAGTAGCATCTCATTTTGAATCAAATGATCTTACTCAGGAGGATTCCTGACCTGTTGTCCAGAGGAGAGCCGGGAAAGCATCCAGGCCCCCTCTCACCTGCCATGGACTTTCCTCTGCTCCAGTTTCTATGGAATGGTTCTCCAGTTTCTGATCACATGCAGGATGACAGCCCATTCCATGGCTCTGTACTGTGAATGTCTTCCTTGTTTCTCCACCAGACCAGCCTCCTCAACTCTCCCACTTATTCCTTGCTTAAGATCTGGAGAGGGCTTCCTATGTCATTTAAAATTAAGTCTAAATTCTGTATCATAACCTTCCAGGCCCTATGCAGCCCAGACCCTGCTAGCTCTGTCACCTCAGAGAGTAACCACACACCACCCCCTCCCCGCCCTGTCCTCCCATGACATTTCAGCCACGGGCACCTCTCTGTGCTGCAGGTGTGCAAGGCACCTTCTCATGACATGAGTACCCACTTAGCATTTCTCTCCTGATGCCTGCACAACTGACCCCTCAGATTCAGGCCTCAGGTGCCTTTTCTAAGGCAGGTCTCTTATCCCCCAGCTCTGCCCATCCTCTGTTACTGTAGTCTCTTTTCTTTATCTCTAAAACATTATCACAATCTGAAATTATCCTGCCCCACATTCTTGTTTACTTCTTTACCTTCTCTCCACCCTGGAACATGATCTCCAGCAGAGCAGACCCTGCCCGACTGGTTTGCTGGTGTTTGAACAGCCTCTGAACAGCCTCTACCTTAGTGCTCAATGCATAAGTCTGTGAAAAGGTAAGGAATAAGCAAATGCTCATAGCTCTCCCCTGCACAGCAGCACAAAGCACACCTTCCATGCCACAGCCCTCTGACCAGGACATGCAACCCAGGGCGCTGTTCAAAATGAAACGGGGGCTCTTGTTCATAAGTGGTTAGATTTCCAAGCTGGTGTCCACACAGCCTTGAACCAAGCACCAGGCCTTCTCACCTCAGGGCCCCGGACTGCACATCCAGGAAGCCGGCACTGCATCTGAGTCATTTCTTTCCCAGACTAAGCTTCTGGTCCCTTCTTCTTATGACAGCCCCCACAGACATGGGCCTCACACATCCCAAGGTCCCCATCAATCACCCTGTGTGCTCCCCACGGATATGACCCCTTTGTGAATTCCTCCTCACAGTGGTGCTCAGGATATGTCCCATTCCTGGATGTTTGTTCCTCTGTAATTGAGTGGGATGATTAGTCTTCCCCAACCACCCTGGATGGCGCCACTGAGCATTTTATTAACAAAGACTTGGGTTTACTCTGGGATGAACATCAGCATTGGCTGTAGTCAACCTACCAGCAAGTACAACCCCCGTTCACTCACACTTTAAGCTATTAACAAGTTCAGTCCTTTGAAGCTGACTACCTGTTAGCACTGAGTGCAGAACATTGCCACAAGTAAAATTATTTTTGTTAATTTTTATACATCAAGGACCTTTGGACTTTTGTAGCTTTCATTGGCGTGTTGGCTCGATGACTCCGCTAATTTAGACGATTTCACTTGATACTTCATCCAGATCATGTATACAAACACTGAGTATCAAGAGGATATTCCTTTGAATACAAAAGTTTTTGTTTTTATCTTCAAGAGATCTTAAGGAAGCTGAAACCAATACCCGTGCTTTTCCTGAACACCCACTGAGTTCCAGGTCACCAGACGCACTCAGGATGAGGGTCCCTGCCGCTGAAGGTCCTGCGGGAGCTGGAGAGATGAGTCGCGGAGGGGAGCAGCAGCTGAGCCGGCCTTGGGTGCGCGGGGACCGCATGTGGAGATGCTGTGCGGGTGGAGTTGGCACGCGCTGGACTGCTCCAAGGAAGGCAGGCTTTTGGTGTTGGCTGCTGATCAGGAAGCCTGACCGGAGGATGTTGTGCTTGGTGGGTTTGAACAGGCTGTCCTCAGGGGCATCTAGGAGAGGGGAAGGCAGGCTCTCCAGGCAGGGATGCCGGGGAGGAGGAAAGAAGGTGTGGGCTGTGTGTAGGGGAGAGTGAGGGCCGACGTGGCAGAATCAGAAGTCAGGTTGCTGATTTAAACCTGGGCAGTTCTGGAGCAGCAAGGAGTGAAACACCTGCAGGTGCGGTCTCCGCGACGGTCCTCTTAAGCAGATGCTGTGGGTTAGGTTCCAGAGGAGCTTGGCATAGGCTGGGGCAGGTGGGAGGATCAGGAGGACAATGCTCGGGCCAGCGGGGCTCAGGTATGTTGAGGACAAACATCCTCATTTTGCCAGTTGCCCCGGGCTGGCTTCGGATGTAAGTGTCCCTCTGGGGAAGATTCGTTCATACTCCGGGACCACTTTCTGCACTTCTGTGTCCATCTCCCAGTTATGTAGCAGAGTGAGGGGCTCTCAAGAAGAGCCGTGCATCAGTGTGTGCCCGGGACTGCAGATGTCAGGAGCAGAGGCCCCAACGTTACCTGCAGCTCTTCCACAGATGGCCCTGGAAAGGACACATCGGCTAAGCCCCTCAGCCTACTCTCCCACTTGTCCCCTCCTGCCTGCCCTCCCTACAGCCTGCAGGGGCCCACAGAAAGCTCTGTCAGTTCAGAGGGGTGCCATCCGTCTGGGAGCTCCACGCCCGGGGGGCTGCCGGCTTCCCTGAGGGCTGGAGGTGCTGAATCTCTCTCATTCAGCATTAGCTTTTCGTAACATTTTGCTGTCTTTGTGCAAACACACTATCAGCCTACCTGTGCCTGACAAGGGATCTAGCTCCTGTTTTCTGCCTGCGCTAGGAGGCTTGGCATCCCTCGGGCTGCTGTGACACCCTCCCCACAGCCACACTCCCTTCCTCCCGCCATCGCTGGCAGCTACAGCAGAACCGGGAGCTTGGGCCCTACACCCAGCAGCACGGGCCTGGCTTTCCGCAGCCGTGTGAGCCTCAGGAGCTGTGGTGCGGCCCCTGAGGACTGCCTTTCTCAGACAGTGTCTTAGGCAGATGGAAAGCTCCAGAGAGCCAGGCCAGTCCCCATGGGGGGTCTCCCTGGCTGCCTCGAGGCCTGGTGCACACGGAACCGTGTTTAACATCCCAGGAGACAGGCAAAGCCATGGGAAACCAGCTTGGTAGTTTTTGAATCGTGCGGTCCATGGGTTTTATTATTGAGAAGCTAATGAGTCCCAGACACTTTGCAGGCATTTCCCCAGCATTTCTTGGGAGAAGCTCCCGTCTGCCCTCAGGTTCAACCCAGGGCCCCTTCTCCAAGCCCCTGAGCTTGCCGTGTTTCCCATCCCCACACTTTCTGAGAGTTGCCTGCCTTCTCTTCTATGCCCTCCCACCGTTCTAAAGACTCCCTGAGAGCACGAGGTGGGTCTGTGTTTGGCCTAAGGCAGGCTGTTAATACATCATTGTACATAGTGAATCTTTACAACAGCCCGAGCCAGAGGTGTGGGGACCCCTATTGCTGTATTTTTCCCTTTGGAGGATCTGGGATGGGAACTCACTGGGTCTGGTTCTGAAGTTCGGACACTGTCATGGGTTCCATGATGCTCTCCAACAAGGTGGGACATGAGGCCTTCTGGTCCTCTCACCTCTACAAGGGGTGTCATAGCACTGCCTGGGCCCCCTCAGGACTATCACACACATGCCCAGCTCCACAAGAGCTGGCTGTTGGCGTATCACCATGCCTTCTCCAGCAGTGACCCCTTTCTGAAGGCAGATTAACCTCCCAAGTTTACCCACCTCCCTGGGAACAGCCACATCATATGACTCATGATTTCAGTATTACAAAGGCTTCCTTGCCTTAACAGGAATACGCCGAAGGGTCATCCCAGCCCCAGAGCACCTGACAAGACTGGCCAAAACCTCTTTGGCAGCTGCATCCCAGTTCAGTCCCCGTGCCCACCCGGTCTGGCTTCCCTCAATAATTCCCACCCTTCTCAGTAATTCCCTACGTGAGTCTCAGAGGCTCAGAGTCTGCTTCCCTGGGAACCCCGCCCACATCGACTAGTACAGGATGTAGTCTTAGGGTGCAGACTTGGAAATGGGATTTAGGGGAAGCATCATTTGCTGGGGGCTGGCGACAGGCCTCTTGCTGGTGGTAGAGCACTGGTGGGCCTCTTGCTGGTGGTGGAGCACTGGTGGGCCTGCTGGTGGTGGAGCACTGGTGGGCCGTCTCATGAGGTTGCAGTGTGATTGTTTACACTTTCACTGGTGGTGATCCGGGCTGGGGGACTGTGGAAAGGAACACATTCCTGGGTGTGTTTGTAACCATTAGGAAGAGCCATCCAGGAATCTGAGAAATGGGCGCTCATTGTCCTAGCCCTGGCATGGCTGATGATGGAGGCTGGTTGACTTCAGCTGGAGAGGTCACTCTGTCTGCTGGCTTGTCTTGCAGTCCCAGTTATTAAGGACTATGGAACTGGATAGCTCTTGTTGGGAGCCAATGCATGGGAGAGAGATGATCAGATACTACACTTGATCTTAGCCAAAAGGTGGAGAAGCGATGAGAGATGATCAAAGGCAGAAACAGATTAATCACTGATAAAAAGCAGAGTGTGAAATCCAGAGTGCCTCCCCAGCACCGTGTACAGAGACACTTGCCTTCAGCAGAGGGCAGGAGAGGCTGAGGATGAGGCACAGACATCCCGTGAGTAACAGAGCTCCAGAGCATTGGAATTTCCAACCCTGAAGGACTTCTTTGCCATGTTCAGGGCCCTGATTAGAAAGAGGTGGAGCCCTGAAGCCAAGGTGAGGATATTTAAGTCAGTGCCCTTGAAATATTGAATCCAGCTTTCTCTGGATTCACCCTCTGGACCTACAGCAGTAGCCCCTCCTCCCAGCAGAAGGCTAGCCCTCGCAGACACCGTGCAGGCTGCTGCTTTGCAAGACAACAGATACCCCATGGTCTATCTCTGCCTCTCCCGAGCATCATACCAATACTGGGGCTAAGTCACATGGTGCACATGCTGAGCCTGGTGAGGAAGGGGCAGCATGAGATGCACACAGCCGTAGCACCCAGCCAATGTGCACTGCAGGCTCTGGGGGCTGTTGGGCTAGCTCTGAATGTATTGGATCAAAGAGGATTGAGTTGGATATAAAGTTGGATAAGAAAAAGCATTATTGATATAGAGGCAAACTTCCCTGAAACAGAATTTTATATCAGGGCGCAGTCCCCGGGAAATGGCGCTCATATGCTGCTAGACTGGCTGGAAGCTTGAGCAAAGGGTTGTTCTCCAGTAAAAGAAGTAGAAGTACTGGGCACAGTGGCTCATGCCGTAATCATAACACTTTGGGAAGTTGAGGTGGGCGGATCATTTGAGGTCAGGAGTTTGAGACCAGCCTGGCCAACATGGCAAAACCCAGTCTCTACTAAAAAATACAAAATTTAGCTGAGTGTGGTGGTTCATGCCTGTAATCCCAGCTACGTGGGAGGCTGAGGCATGAGAATTGGTTGAACCTGGGAGGCAGAGGTTGCAGTGAGCCAAGGTCGCGCCACTGCACTTCAGCCTGGGCAACAGAGTGAGATTCTGTTAAAAAAAAAAAAAAGAAGAAAGAAAGAAAGAAGAGAAATACATGGGTAAGAAGGATTTTCTGCATAGCAGTGAATTGTTCTTAGGGGCCTGGGACAGGCCAGAGCATCCTCTCCAAAACTTGAGAACAACTTATTGCACCTTGTGCTTCCCTCCACCAAGAAGAAACACAGCCCCTGTGCAGTCTTGAGGCTCTCAGGCAGCTACAATGAACATCCACAATTCCCCTCTACCCATCTATGGAGTATGGTCTAAAGGAAGGTGGTGTGCGGTTCTCAGTAGGCCACATCAGGGGGATCACATGGAGACACCCAGGGTTTTAAAGCAAGGACATGCTATTTGAATAAAATATAGAATTATATACACACCTGAAAAAGAGCTCTTGGCTTACTTCTGGGCCCTGGAAGAGATGGGGTGCCTACCTGTGGGATAACACATTCGCATGTGCCCAGGACACACAACATGAGTGGGATTGTATCAGACCCACTAAGTCCTACCATCAGGCGGGTCCAGCAGCACTCCGTTGTCATATAGATCACAGCATGGTGTGAATGCGGCATATTCAGGATCAGGAGACTGTGGGGCCAGAGAGCACTGGGGAGCTGCACAAGCAGGTGCACCCACATCGTTCACCATTGTGGCGCCAGCATCCCTGCTGCCGGTCCCCGCATGGCTTTGTGGGTAATCCCTTGGGACCACTTGGCAGAGTCTGAGAAAGCCAAACTTGGTTTATAGATGCTTGGGCAGGTGCAAGACAGAAAGGATGAAGGACCACTCAGGGTGTCGTTGAAGACAGTGGTGACTAGAAAGCCTCCCCCAGGGAAGAGCTCTAAGTGATGCGTCTAGCCATCTGCCTTGTGGTAAGGAGGGAGGCCGAGACTGCTGTGGTCTCGTGATGGTCAGTGGCGGGAGGCTTGACTGGTTGCTCAGAGCCCAGGAAGAGGAAAAACAGTAGGGTTAGAACAAGGAGGCCTAGGAAGCATCACGTGGATGGACCTATGGCAGACGCATGGAATTAACCTACCAACATCCACCAAGGAGCAGCCACCACAGGAGAGGTGCAAGACAAGCAAGAAGACAGAGTGACCTCTCCAGCTGAAGTCAACCAGCCTCCTTCATCAGCCATACCAGGGCTAGGACAATGAGCACCTGAGTAGAGTAGCAGGGATGGCAGGGATGGAGGCTATGCAGGCAGCCAGATCACGGGCTCCACTCGCCCAAGCATATATAGCTACCACCACTGCCATATATCCAGCCTGGTAGCAACAGAAACCAACAGAGTCCCTGATACTGCATTGCTTGAAGAGGCCAGCCAGCTGCTCAGTGGCAAGGTGGATTACATGGTACCCCTTCTGACATAGAAAAGGACAGAAGTTCATCTGGAGTGAAACTGACAATTCTGAGCAAGTGCAATAAACAGAATGTTTCGGTCCCCCCAACATTCATGTTGGAAATCCTAACCCCCAAGGTGATGGTATTAAGTAGTGGGACTTTTGGGAGGTAATTAGTTTATGAGGGTGGAGCCCCTATAATTGGGATAAGTGTCCTTATAAAAGGGACCCCAGAGAGCTCCTTCATCTTCTTTCCACCATGTCAGGACCCAGTGAGAAGGAGCCATCTATAAACCAGGAAGTAGACCCTCACTAGACACCAAACCCACTAGCATCTTGATCTTAGACTTCCCAGCCTCCAGAACTGTGAACAATAAATGTCTGATCAAATCAATAAAATAGCAAAAAGCTACCTCCAGGAGCCTGAGAGGGACACTCTGTCCATTTGCAGGGCATGGCAGGCTCCGTCTTAGGCTCTCAGCCCTGTGCATTCCCGTTTCCATCTTCTGGGTTTGCAGGGGTTTGTGAGCTGCTTTCTCCCGTTGGAGTCTCAATCGAGGTGTGGCTTTTTTCTTCCACAGGGTTGTGTGTGTGGTGAGGTGGGGCCCCTCAGCTCTCAGGGCAGGGTGCTGTCCTTGCCTCCTCTCCCTTATTCTCTCCCTCCAGCTGGCTCACCGCCGTGGGCTCAGTGCTCACTGTGTGCATGGCACAGAGAGGGCTATGGGTGAGTCTGTGTGGGGAGCTGCTTGCTGTGTGGAAGATGCATACTTCTGGCTAGATGGGAGCAGAGCCCCTCACTGCAGCATAAGGCTGATGGTCTGCTTGCTCAAGGTGGCACCTCCTGGGTGGCTGCCTCACCACAGCCTTGCTCAGAGGGGAGGGTTTTCCTCTACCACACAACAGGGCTGCATGTGTCTCAGCCCAGCACCCTCTGGGCTCTGAGGGCCCCTTGCCTCCTGGTTTTCTGTCTTGAGTAGGCATATGTCCAGCCCAGTGAGATGGCATCTACCACAGAGGGATGCTGTGCACCTTTGTGTTACACCCAGGCTCACACTTTGAGGTGCAATGTGTGTGTGTGTGTGTGTGAATGGGGGATCTGTGGAGGGAGAACTCTTGGATTGGGTCCCACGCATGACTGTGAGGCTGCCTCCTCCTTCCAGGGGTGACTGGGTTGTGTTTTCTGAGGAAGCCAGCCTCAAGACCTCCTCTTCCTCACGGCCCTTCCTCTCGCTTTGGTGCAGTGGAGGATTTCATTCTCTTCCTGCCACTGCTCCAGGGGTCCCAGGCTCAGCTCTTCTCTCAGAGCTTGTCTCTCCCTCTGCTCGTTGGTGGGGTTGGCCCTGAGTGGAGTGGAGATGGTGTCTTCTCAGGCTTCATGCTCTCATGTTTGAAACTTTGGAGCCTGTAGAGAAACATCTTGTGTAATCTTGGGAAAGGGCTGAGGGAGAGGGATCTCAAACTTCCCAGTCTCCTCAACCAGCTTGCTCATTACTCCTGGGGCTTTCTGGAGACACTCCCTTTATGTTGCCCAACCAGGGGAGCCACACGATGGTGAACCTCTTAGGCTCGATAGGAAAACAGGCAGCTCTGTGATCACTGCTGAGGGGTGGGTGGTGGTTGTGTGTGTGTAGGGGGGTGATATACTTTGGATGTTCATCCCTTCCAAATCTCACGTTGAAATGTGATTCCCAATGTTGGAGGCGGGAACTGGTGGGAGGTGTTTGGGTCAAGCCCTCGTCAATGGCTTGGTGCTGCCCTTGAGTAATGAGTGAGTTCTCGCTCTATTAATTCTCATAAGATCTGATGGTTAAAAACGGCCTGGAGCCTCCTTCCACTCTCTCTCCCCTCCTCCTCTCTCTCCGTGTGATGCCTGCTGCCATTTGCCCTCCACCATGAATGGAAGCTCCCCGAGGCTTTTCCAGAAGCAGATGCTGGTGCCAAGCTTCCTGTGTAGCATGTAGAACCCTGAGCTAAATGGACCTCTTTCCTTTATGAATTACCCAGCCCCAGGTGTTCCCTTGTAGCAAACTAAGTAACTAACACAGAAGAATTGTTACTGAGAAGTGGGGTATAAGGATATCTGAAAATGTGAAATTGACTTTGGAACTGGGTAAAAGGCAGAGGTTGGAAGAGTTTGGAGGACTCAGAAGAAGACAGGAAGATAAGGAGAAGTTTGGAGTTTCTTAGAAAATTCCACTTGAACCCACTTCTGGTTAAGTGGATGACCAAAATGCTGATAGAAATATGGACAGTGACAACCAGAACGACAAGGTCTCAGATGGAAATTAGGAATTTGGGGGGAACTAGAGCAGAGGTCACCCTTGTTATGTTGTAGTGAAGAACTCTGCTATGTCATGTGCATACCCTAGGACTCTGTGGAAGCCTGAATGTGAGAGTGATGACCTATAACACCTGGTAGAAACATTTTCTGAGCAGCAAAGCATTCAAGAAGTGATGTGGCTGCTTCTAACAGCTTATAAAATAACATGGGAGCAAAGGGATGACCTAAAGTTGGAACTTATAATTAAAGAGAAGCTGAGCATACAAATTTTAAAAATTTGCAGCCTGGCCACGTGGTGGAGAAAGAAAGAGCATTTTCAGATGAGGAATCTAAAGGTGCAATGAGCAAACACTTGCTAGAGAGATGAGCCCTGCTAAAAGGGAACCAGGTGCTAACAGGCAAGACAATGGGAAAAGGCCCTGAAGGCAGTTCAGAAATCTTTGAGGCCACCCCTCTCATCACAGGCCCAGTTGCCTAGAAGGACGCATGGTTTAGCGGGCAGGCCTGGGGCTCTGCTGCCCTGTGTCACCTCAGGATGCTGTTCCCACGTCCCAGCTGCATCACAGGCCCAGTTGCCTAGGAGGACACGTCGTTTAGCGGCCAGGCCTGGGCACTGCTGCCCGGTGTCACCTCAGGATGCTATTCCCACGTCCCAGCTGCTCCAGCTTCAGCTGCTGCTCAAACTGCTCCAGGTATGGCTCAGACCTCTGCTTCTGAGGGTGCAAGCTGTAAGCCTTGGCGACTTCCATGGGGTGTTAGGTTTGCAGGTGTATGGAATGCGTGAGTGAAGGAGGCTTGGCCGCTTCCACCCAGATTTTGGAGGATGTATGGGAAAGCCTGGGTGCCCAGGCAGAAGCCTGCTGAAGGGGCAAGGCTCCACATAGAGCCTCTACTAGGGCTGTGCAGAGAGGAAATATGGGGTTGGAGGCCCCACAGGGAGTCTCCGCTGGGACACTGCCTAGTGGAGCTGTGGAAGAAGGGCCATAGCCCTCCGGACCCCAGGATTGTAGAGCCATCAGCAGCATGCAACTTCTGCATTGGACTCCAACCAATGAGAGCAGCCATGGGGGCTGCACCCAGCAAAGCTGTGAGAGTGGGGCTACCCAAGACCTTGGGAGCCCACTCCTCATGCCAGTGTGCCCAGGATGTGGACATGGAATCAAAGATTATCTTGGAGCTTTTAGGTTTAATGTCTGCCCTGCTGGGTTTCAGGCTTGCATGGGGCTTGTTGCCCCTTTCTTTTGACTGATTTCTCCCTTTTGGAATGGGAATGTTTATACATTGCCTGTACCACCATTGTGTCTTGGAAGTAAATAACTTGGTTTGATCTTACAGGCTGATAACTGCAAGGAACTTCCTTTGAGTCCCACGTGAGACATGAAACTTTGAACTTTTGAGTTGGTGCTAGAAAACGTTAAGACACAAAATAAATTTCTTTTCTCTGTGAAGCTACCCAGTCTCAGATATTCCTTTATCGCAACACAAATGGTCTAAGATGGGGGTCCTCTGGGGCAGGCGGGTTCTGGAAGGCTCTCTCTGACATGGGTTTGGGCAGGTGTCTACTGGACAAGCATGGTCCAGCATGGGCTCTGAGTGCCAGCAGAAAGTAGTCTCCACAGTATTTTTTTTTTTTTTTGAGACAGAGTCTCACTCTGTCACCCAGGCTGGAGTGCAGTGGCGTGATCTCGGTTCACTGCAAGCTCCGCCTCCCAGGTTCACACCATTCTCCTGCCTCAGCCTCCCGAGTAGCTGGGACTACAGGCGCCCGCCACCACGCCTGGCTAATTTTTTGTATTTTTAGTAGAGACAAGGTTTCACCGTGTTAGTCTGGATGGTCTCGGTCTCCTGACCTCGTGATCCACCTGCCTCGGCCTCCCAAAGTGTTGGGATTACAGGCGTGAGCCACCGCGCCTGGCCTCCACAGTATTTATGAAATGATCTGTCCAAAGGAGCTGCAGCCCTGGGCACTCAGATACACTAAAAGGAGAGACACCCAAGTTCTCTCTTCTGAAAGGCTGCTGCCTGGTGGGAGGGAGGGGGACCATCGGGTTAATTGCAGGAAGCAGCAGGATTAGGGAGGCACTGGCCTTGCAGTTGATGGCTCAGGTTAAGCAGGTCGTTGCCTCTGCCTTCAGCAGGGCTGGGAAAAGTGGGTGCTGCTCTAATGGGTCACAATGTCTCGTCCACCCCATTCATTCAGCATATTTATATAGAGCACCTGCTTGGACCCAGGAATATGGAGATGAATAAGAAAGCAGGCCCCTTCATCTAGAGAGAGAAAAAGCCAAGAGAACACATTTCAGAAGGGAGAGCCACGGATGACAGAGGGTAAGCATAGTTGTCACTGGAAGACCTCAGCCTTCCTGTGCTTGTTTACCCACAGCTTCTCATGAACATTCTAATGTTTCCCCCTAGCTTTCCCCCTTTCCTGCAGAAGCAGCGTGGGACTGTCAATCACCTTCCTCGTAAAGCCATTCAGAGTTTGACTGAATTGTTAATACCTCAGCTCTGGCCTCCGCCCTTCAGGCCTGTCCTGGTCCTCCTGGGCTGGATGCATTTGCACATTTTTCATGCACTTCTTGGGGATGCTGGAGATCATGGCAGCTGGGAGAAGTAAGGTAAGAGAAGTGGGGATAAAATCCAAGGACAGAGTCAATGGGTCATTTTAAAAACCTTCTTTATTTAGTAATAATTTCAAAATTACAGAGAGTTGCAAGAATAGGAAAGAACCACATCTGTCGTTTTCTTAGATTCACCTATTTTTGAGATTCTTTTCCCCATTTGCTCTCTCTCTCTCTCTCTATATATATTTTTTTAACTGTACATTTATTTGATAGTAAATCGTATATATATGATATATATCATGTCCCTTTATTCTAAAATATTTTGGTGTGTATTGTCTAAGGAAAAATACTCTCTTTTATACCCATAGTATTACTTTCTACTTCAGTAAATGGCCTATTAATAGAGAATTTAGAGAATTTAAATTTATGGCTCTAGCTCCATTTCCAGTTTATAATGTCCTTGAGAGCACTGTTTTTCCCCCGTGAAGGATTGATCACATATTTTACTCTGATGTCATGTCTCTTTCATCTCCTTCAATCTGTGAAAGTTCTCCAATCCTCTTAAAACATCTGTGATAATTGAAATGTTTGAGGAGTTCAGTTGATCGGCTGTTTTCATAAGAAATTCTACCCCCTGGAAATTCTCATCCTGGAGCTTATTTTTGCTCAGACTTTGAAGGGTGAATTTACATATGGGATCCTTGCAGCCTTCAGGGCTGCCCAGAGCCAGAATCAAGCCAGAAGTGACAATGCCAGAAACAGAAGATGTGCAGAGGGACTTGTCTAAACAGAAGGTCTCTGCAGTGAAGGGAGGGAGGGAGGGAGGGGAGGCCTGCGTGGGTAGGACCTGTTGCACAGGAGATACAGAGAGGAGCTGCCCATGCTGGGAAAGACCCATCCCGTGGGGGGAAATATTCTGGGCCATGGCGAGTTCATTAGAATTAGCTGGGAAATCAAGTTAGTAACAGAAAGAAAAGGATACGAAGATAAATTTCAGCAGCATATAGTTTTAATGATGAAACTCTAAGTACTTCAACTCTATTACGTGCTTGTGTAACATGGGGAGATAAACATACATCTCCCTGATCTCTGTCTCTGTTTTCTACTTACCTGTCTACCACACATCTACTTATTCCCAAACTGTTTATTATCTGTCTATCGTCTACCTACTGTCAACTAGCTGTTATCTATCATCTACCACTCTGTCATCTACCTATCTACCTAACTCTAACTTCGTATTATTTAGAATTATTGAAAGACTGGTAGGGATTTTGGAAAAACCCAGAAAGTAAAAATAAATCTATGTATCCAAATCATAGATTTATCTATTCCCATATCATGTCATCTATTTACCATTGATGAAATGACTGCATGGATTTTTTCTTAAAAAGCCTTAAGAGTCCAACAGAGATTTTAATAGAAAGAAAGTAAATACAAAATCAGGAGCCGCTCACCACAGGTATAACTCAAAACTAAATGAATTGGGAGGCCAAGGCTGGTGGATCATCTGAGGTCAGGAGTTCAAGACCAGCCTGACCAAATGGTGAAACCCTGTCTCTACTAAAAATACAAAAATTAGCCCGGCATGGTGGCGGGTGCCTGTAGTCCCAGCTACTCCAGAGGCTGAGGCAGGAGGATTGATTGAACCCAGGAAGTGGATGTTGCAGTGAGCCGAGATCACGTCACTGCACACCAGCCTGGGCAACAGAGCGAGACTCCATCACAAAAACAAAGAAACAAACAAAGAAACAAACACAACTAAATAAAGATATTGCCATATATAACTCCAACTGCCCTCCTAAAGGGTTTGGATTAATAGAAGACATCACCCATTCTTCAAATCCAGATGGATTTAAGTCACTTGGGGTAGGAAGTGGGCAAGCTAAATTGCTCTGAATGAATAATATGGGGGAAGACTTTAAAATGTTGGGTTGGCTGTGGACCTGGGTGAGAGCAGAGATGGACCCTGAGGGCGGGCACTGCATGCCTGGAGGAGGAGAGTGGAGAGAACTCAGGGGCAAAGCAACCCTTAAGGACTTGGAAAGGAAAACAACTACAGGGCAGTAATTTTAATATAAACAATTTTCTATAAGGTGGCTTAGCAACTCCTTCCTGTCATTCTTACATGATCCTTAATAAAGGATACCTTGCTTCCTAATGCTTTCCTGTGAAAGTGGCTTGATTTGAGAAAACCTTGAGAAGGTGTTGAGTTCTATGTCTGGGTTGGTTCAAGATAAAAATAGTATACAGGGAGGCTGGAGGTGAGGAGACAGGAAATCCAGAGTGCTGAAAATGAATCAAATTCCAGGAAATGTCAAGACCTTCAAGGCTGTGAAACTGATGGTGTGAAAAGCGGGATATCCAAGGGCGAAAGCTGGATCCAGTCAGCACCAGCTTATGTGTGGGGCAGCTACATGGAGCACGTATGGGGCATGCAGAAAGGTTGGAGCTGGGGAGGAGGAAGGCCCCCAGGAGCATGGAGGGATGGAGGAGGCTCAGGCAGGTGCCAGGGCCTGTCAGGTTGGTGAAGGCTGAGATGCTAGCGGTTCACCTTTTCCTTTTTGTTCCATGAGAAGCCTTGATGACTGTCCTACTCTGTGATGCAGGCCTGGAAATGCAGACTAGAGAGCTCCTACTCAGTGTCCACACACCAGAGGGAGCAATGAGCTTCCGGTGATGGAGGAGTATCTTTGTGTTTGTGAGAGTTCTTTGTGCACATGACTGAGCTCCACCTCAACTTCAGGTGATATTTTATCTATTTTCTGTTTGCTTCGTGGCATGGGGTCCTGGATACTGTTTCTTTGCTCCCTTCAGGAGGATCCATGTTCCTCGGCATGCCTGAAAATGAAGGTGGAAACCAGGTAAGCAAGCCCTAGACTCAGCTCTCAGCTTATGTTTGGACTCCTGTTTTCCGAACTTATTAAATTAATGTTGTTTTCACAGGAGACACCTCTAGTAAGAACTCTTGGGAAAGATGGAAGTATCGTCCTTTGTAGGGGGACCAACTTATCCCAGTTAACCAACTTATCCCAGTTATCCCTTTGTATGGGGACCAACTTATCTCAGTTGTAGGGGGACCAACTTATCCCTGAAAATCTCACATCTTGGGAAATCCCTGAATCCTGGGAAAATGGCGTGGCTGCTAACGGCTTCTCAGGAAGCATGCTGACTGGGGCATGACTTACGGTGGGGACCAAGGCTTCTATCCAGAGCTCATAGGCAAAGCTCTCTGGTGTGATGAGGGTTCCAGGCTAACGTCCCCACCACTGTCATCCAGTGGTCCTGGAGGGAACTACTGAGAAAGAGTAGGATATCTATGAGAGAAGGCATCTCCACTTCTTCATCAGCTGCCTTGCCCTCCCATGTCCAGTGTCCTTGAGCAGGCCTGGAAAGTACGGTCGGCCTCTGGGAGTGGATTCTGCCCAATGGAGCTCACTTGCACCTGCAGGTCTGAGATTCTGCACTCATCTTGGCAGAGGGTTCCTGAGGGTCACAACAGAAAGCCTTCCTTCATTTGACTTTTTCAAAGAAGGAACAATGTGGTATAATTTATCTCTGAAAGATGAATAATGACAAAGAGACTTAGAGCTCCATGATTTAAAGAGGAAAATGGTAGTATTCATGGATAATGAATGTTTACACCTTGCCCAGGGAGAGGAGAGAGAAACCTGGGTCCCCACCTTTTGTGTTGTTCTTGTTATTCAGTGTCAAAACAAAACCATGGGTGCCCTTGCCTGACACCACACACTCATAGGTGAGAATTTTCCCAGGTTCAGTGCCCTTTCACCTTTCCCACCCTCTGTTCTTCTCTGTAGCTTCACTTTCACTCGGACTCACCTCACGTGGCCACCATCCTATCCTGCAGGACACGGTCACAGAGAGCTTAGCCCTGAGGTTGACTTCTTTTGTTCCAAAATTCTCAGGCCTGGGCCATTGCGTCTTCTGCTGGAGGCACGCATCTAGCGGCGTGTACTCCTCCCCTGATCCTCATGTTGTGTTTTCTATCAAGAACTACTTTCTCTTAATAAGACAGAGCCCATTCTCTAGGGAAAGCCTGCAACCAGGCATGTAGAGCCTGGTAGCATCTCCATCTTCAGGCTTGCTGTTCAAGAATACCTGCAGCGATGAATCATAAAGAGGGTATATTTCCAGATATGCTTGGAGAAAGAACAGAAGGAGGCATCATTGCCAAAACAGTAGAGGGCAGGCCATGAACTAGCTTCTATGAATTCCTTAGAGTCACTTGCTTAAAAGGAGAACCTCAGTCCTTCTGGAGCACTGAAGGCGGACAAGAGCAGCTGCAACCTTCACCAGATCCCAAGCCCTAGGGCTGTGGTAGGCCACGTGCTGCAGCTGCCTAGGCTTTCCTTGCTACGCACAGAGAATGCATGATGGCCAGAGCCCTGATCTTGGGCAGACCGTCCCTTCCAGGGACTCTTTTTGACTTAAAGTAATTTTTAATGCCCCAAAGCCCAATCTAAAGAACCCCGACTCCTGTGCCACCCCAGCCTCTGCCCCAACACAAGTCCCAGCCCCAGCTCTTACCTGGAATGCTGCCCAAGGACAGACCCTGGATCTCATTCAGGCATAGCCCAGGACCCCTCAACTACCCTTCGCTGCCAACAACTCTCCAAGCCAGGTCTGGGACAGTGGAGTGTCCCTCCATAAAACCCAGAATGAGGTACAATCTTTCACCACAACTGAAGTCCCAAGCCTCAAATGAATCACGTGGAAGAAGTAATTGGAAAGTTTACCGGGCTTATCTTCTGAGGCGCAAAGGTCTCAGGAAGGCTTTGGTTCTCCAGTTCCCTCCTTTCTCCAAGGCAGCCTGGCCTCTCAGTCCTATGTGCTGGTTTCTGTCCTCCGTGGAGAACTCACTATCATGAAGGAGACGTGGAAACAGCCTGAGCACTACCTGCAACATAGGGTCACCCCAGACCAAAAGGGCGGGCACAGGTGATGCAAGAGATGGCTGTCTGTGCAGCCTCCAATGACCAGGGCATCTCAGGTGGTGGCAGAGGTGGCCTTCATGCTGCTGTGTGTCAGGGCCAAAGCAGCAAGGGTGTCAAGAAGGCTGAATTCTGGTGACCAGGAAGACACTATGTGAGGAACTCAAGAAAATTTCAGTAGGAAAGGAAATAGGGCTTGCCCGGGAAGAGGCCCTCAAGGAAAACTATCAATGGGCTCACAGAGCCTCTCAGTGAGGGGGTGGGGTTGATTCTGAGAAGGAGCAAGAGGGTGACTTTGGGGCACTCACAGAAGAACTCACCAACAGGTCCAAGGCAGATGCAACGGATACACCCTTGAGTGGACACTTAGGAAAGAAGTTGGGGCAGGTCCCCCGCCCATGCGCCAGTCATGGTGTGCAGTCCACCTTCCTGTCTCCTGGCTTCCCAAGCCTCTTGGAAACCAACTGAACCTTTATCTGATGCTTTTCTGATCAAGGATCAAGTCCTTGATCCAGGCCTTGGCAGGTACAAGGAGCCCAGCTTACCTGGTTTCTTGTGTGGCAGAGGCTGCTCATCTCTCAGGGTCCTTGAGTGCGTAGAACAGTATCAGTTGAGGCAGACCCAAGCCTGGCTGCATTTCCAGTCTTTCTTTCCCCCTTCAGCCACCCGTGGTTCAGGGGAAGACTCCATAGTGACGTTCTGCAGCCCCTTAGAGGAAACTGTAGGGGCCAAAGGAAAACTTCCCCTCTGCCCTCTGAAGTTTCACGAAAAATCAATGGACAAAAGGCAGATTAATAGGAGAAATGGCACAGAAATGTTTTAATATGCGTGGAGGAGAACAACAGCATGACTGCCCTAAATGCCCATTGGGGTCCAGAAGCTTTTATATAAGCTCAAGGGCACAGAAAGAATTGGGGCTTGGAGCTTGACAAAAAACAGGCAGGGCAAATCAGGTTCAGTGGCAAGACAGAGGGTGAGAGGGAGCAAAGAAGAGGGGTGGCTGGCGGAGGTGGTCTTGTTATGTGGATGGACCCCACAGGAAGCAGCCCTCAGAGAGAACAGGTGTAAATGTTTATTTCAGACCTTTGAAGGGGTCAGACTCTCTGTTGATCTTTCATAGCCTGGCTGCATCAACGCAGATGCTCTACAGAGGCAAATCTCACCCACAAGACAGCTTTGCATGGCTGCTTCTGCCTGCAGGCCCTTTGAACAGCCACCTCAAAATACGTCAAAGATTTATGTTTTAGGGTGAAATATTTTGATTTCTTTCAAAGCAATCAAGCATGTCTTGGAGGAAAGGTGATCACAAGAAATTCAGTGTCCTCCTTGGTCCTCCTCTCCCTGACTCTGTGGACGAGGGAGGCCACATAATGCAAACATGTTCTCCCCTGCTGCTGTTTGTGGCCTCATCCCCTGCATCCATGATGGAACCTAGCATAGTGGGATTACCTGGGGGCCGATGGGGCCAGCCCAGAGCTGCATCCAAGTCACAGGATGATGGAAGAAGAGCAGTGCCCAGGAGACTGCAGCCAGTCTAGCCATGTTTCAGAAGACACAGTGCACAGGTGAAGGTGGACCTCTTCCCAGGGCCGACAGTTCTAGGGAGAGAGTTAAGGATGAAGGGTCTATGGCTGTCAACCAAAACCCAGAGAGCTCCTGAAAACCAGTGAGCTGGGAAGCTCCCCCAAATTAACGGAGCTCTGAGTAGTCTGAGAGTTCCAGTAACTCCCTGCAAGAATGTGGGTGGTCCTAGGCCTGGGGAAGTATCTCCTGAAGGCCCTCATGACAGCAGGCTGGAGCTCAAATTTGAGATGGAGCTCAGATGCCACCACTTGAGATGTCCTGGTCATTCGAGGCTGCACAGAGAGCCGTCTCTTGCATCACCTGTGCCCGCCCTTTTGGTCTGGGGAGGGTGCAGAGCTGTGCTCATGGCTATACCACTGAAGTGCCCCTGATTTGACACTTTTGCTTCCAAAAGCTCCCAGCTGGTCCCTGTCCCCTGAATGTCTACACAGGATATCTGGCTGCCTCCAGCTTTCCAGGTTTTCCATATCCACCTTCAGGACAGAGGGAATCCCTTGAGTGCCAGCCCTCAGGAAACTCAGAAAAAGGATGAGTTGTTTATTTCAGTGGATTCACTCTAGAGGTATAAGTCTTATTAAATATTTTAGAAACAATGTTTAAAACAATGATACCGTTCTTTCTTGTGATACCATAAGATATTTTTACTTTTTTTGTGTGGGTTTTTTTCCCCAATATTTTTATAAACTCCCTGTAGCCTTTGGATCATTTTTTCTTTTCTTTTTTTTTTTTTATAAACGAGTAACACAGAGTGTGATCCGATGTAAAATTCATTTTGACCTTCCTTCTCTTATCAAGGTGCCAGTCCAATGTGATGATATCAAATTAAATATCCTCTCCACAAGTGTCTCAGCATAGAATTGTTAGGATTTTATCCACCAGCAACAGCAGTAGGCTTTGAGATTGTAGCAATGAGTTTCTAGCTCTGAAAAAAAGTCCATCCACTTTCAACCTGCACGTCTGCCTCAGCTAGGTCCTCTGCATTCTCAGTTTATCACAGGGCTGTTCATGCCTGAAGTGTCCGTTTTCAAACACTCCAAAGCGCACTGGGTGTTACAACAAGTTAAATCTCTCTTTCTCATGAAAAATGATTTCAAAGTGCAGAGTGCAGCTTGTAAATTTAAAGCTGGATATACAAAATAAGTTACAGTCTTAGGAAAGAAATGAAAAAATTCTGGTTAACTGCACTGCCTGATTTCTGCGACATTATTTTGAATTAAAAAGCAGTCTTACCTCCAAGAAATGAGTCATTTGTCACTTTTAGAGTTTTTGTTGAAACCTGTACATAATGTCAAACAACATAGGTGTAGTTTGTTCGTCTTTTTTTTTTTTTTTTTTTTTTTGGCTGTTTATCTTGAAAGATCACAGTTTTGGAGAAAGAACATGACAGTTTTTGTTTTACTCTAATCTTTTTCTCCATTCTCATTGCCAGTGCATTTCCAAATGAGACAAGGACATTCTCCTTGTCCCCCACTTTGAAAATATGATTTGATGGCAGACCAACATTTTAACAACAGTATCAGACAGCTTGTAAGTCCATATCTAAGGAAACTATCACCTTCCATTTCTATCAAGTCAGAAATCTCATTAAGCGACTCTGCAGGTTAATGAGAAACTAAAATGTGACAAAATTATTCATTCTGAATGTTTCCATGTTACAAGCAAGCAAATCACACCCCTTCATAGCAGAGTCGTGCACAAGATGAACCGACATTTAGCAGGTTATACTCTTCTCATCATTTTCTTTGGTAAGAAATTAACAGGCTGAGTTGAATCTGCCACAGTTCACATTTGCATAATGGAAACTTGAGGAATATGCAGATATATGAACAATGTCTAGTTTATATCTAGATAACATTATTTTTATGATTTCTGTGGTTACACAATTATTTTTCACAGAAATCAGGATGACTAAAACCTTTTTTATTTTTTTTACAAATCAAAGTTTGATCGGAACTCAAATGTTTCCCTAAGAGTCGGGGAACACTTTTGTATTGATGTGGTCACTCGGTACCATAGAAAGATCTGACAGAAACAACTCTGCACTCCTGGGCCAACACATCTGTCATCAAAATTCTCCTTTTGTTTGCCCACAGGGCACTTTAGTTGGAGCTTCTAAAGGAGGAACTGTCCCTTTGCTTAGCCTGATGGAACCGTAAAGGGGATGCTAGGATAATGATATTCATTCCTGCCCTGTGTCCAAGCTCATCCAGCCTTCACTCTTCACAATGCAGCTTTGGCATCTTTTTGAGAGATGACAAACCTTGATTGATTTAGACGTGCTTTCCTGTCTCATCCTGGACCTGTGAGATCAGCCTCCACAGAAGCTTTCCCACCCCTTCTCCACTGTGCCCCTGCCTGCCCCATACTGTTTCTGCATATTATTCTGGGGGGCTCTGTTTTGGTTGTTTGCCTAATTCAGCTGTAGGTCTTCGTTCATTTGTCATTAAAGTAACACAGACATTTAGACTTTTTCAGTGGTGCCTGTGTCGTACTGCTATTATTATTGTGAGCCTTCTCGTTTCTATTATCTGAACTCTTAGAATATGTGGTCAGGATGTTCACAGTGTTACAAATTAAACTAGCACTCTCTTGATGCGAAGCATAAGTTAATCCACAGGCAACTCACAGATCTACTGCTTTGCTCACCATCACAGCACAGTCACACACTTGGGTCGCGTTGCCCGAAGTGGATGACCCATTACTGTAATGTGCCCATCACTGCTGCCCACATCAGCAGGAAGACAGCCACAGCGGACATGGAAGACAATGAATCTGTTAGACATGGAAGACAATTTGATACTAAAAACAGCATTGCTTTCAGCCCCTATTTTTTTCTTTTGGTCATTGTATGGGTTTCATTTCCCATACAATGACCATACCTGACTACAGTGGTTGTCACCCGGGCAGACACCCCATGCAATGCCCACCTCCTTTCCTTCATGACCACCTCTGCAACAGCACCATGCACTTGGAGGAGGGTGCCAGATGCCTGAAGAGGGCCTGTAACCAGTTCTGCGTGAGGCTGGCTCACCGAGGATTAGCTGGGTTCCCGCATTTATGCTGCAGGTGGTGTTACAAGGGAAACATGTTTTTATTTAAATATCTCTGCTCTCAACATATTCATTTTATTTTACTTTATTTTGCAGGAGTGGCTTTCTACAGCTCTGCCACTGAGGAATACAAGGAGTTTGAAAACAGTTTTATTTTTCCTTTTCTGTCACAAGGGCCTGGCAAACGGACAGAGCCCAGGGTCAGTACCGTGTGGTGGCAGCAGGCCTGGGGTTCTCCCTGCTCTGCCCACAAAGATGTGTGACCCCGAGCAAGTCATTCTACCCCTGCAGTTCTCATTTTCAAATCTTATAGCAAAACAATCTGTATAACTGGATTAAAAAATGGACAAAGGACTTGAATAGACATTTCTCCCAGGAAGATACACAAATGGCCAACAAGCATACAAAAAAGGGCTCAGCATCACCCATCATTAGAGAAATGCAAATCAAACCCACAATGAGATATCACTTCACACCTGTAAAGATGGCTATTATCAAAGCAAAACACAAAAACCAAAAAAAAACCCACGAAAGGTAAAGGTTGGCCAGGCTGTGCAGAAATCAGAACCTTTAGACTGTATTGGTGGGAATGTAAAATGGTGCAGCCACTATAGAAAACAGTGTGGAACTGTTGGTGGGAGTGTAAACTAGTTCAACCATTGTGGAAGACAGTGCGGTGATTCCTCAGGGATCTAGAACTAGAAATACCATTTGACCCAGCCATCCCATTACTGGGTATATACCCAAAGGATTATAAATCATGCTGCTATAAAGACACGTGCACACGGATGTTTATTGCGGCACTATTCACAATAGCAAAGACTTGGAACCAACCCAAATGTCCATCAATGATAGACTGGATTAAGAAAATGTGGCACATATACACCATGGAATACTATGCAGCCATAAAAATGGATGAGTTCATGTCCTTTGTAGGGACATGGATGAAGCTGGAAACCATCATTCTCAGCAAACTATCACAAGGACAAAAAACCAAACACCGCATGTTCTCACTCATGGGTGGGAATTGAACAATGAGAATACTTGGACACAGGAAGGGGAACATCACACACCAGGGCCTGTTGTGGGGTGGGGGACGGGGGGAGGGATAGCATTAGGAGATATAGCTAATGTAAATGACGAGTTAATGGGTGCAGCACACCAACATGGCACATGTATACATATGTAACTAACCTGCAAGTTGTGCACATGTACCCTAAAACTTCAAGTATAATAATAAAAAAAAAGAAAAGAGTGTGGAAGTTCCCCCCAAATTAAAATAGAACTATCAAGTGATCCATCAATCCCACTTGTGGGTATTAATCTATAAGAACTGAAGTCAGGATCTCGAAGAGATATCCGCACTACCATCTTCATGCAGCATTGCTCACAGCAGTCAAGATGTGAAAGCAAGCTAATTGTCCATCAACAAATGAGCAGATGCAGAAAACGTGGCTTTTTTGTGTTTTTATAGCAGTCTGAGTGAACTAAGACACTAGTGATGGGCTCTTACAGGCATCACCTCATTAAATACCAACACTACTCCATTATAAACCCATTTTAAAATTGTGGCTTCAAGAGGTTACATTAAGTAACTCATTCAAGATCAGGTATACAGGCTGCTCTCTGGAAGTCCAGATTTAGGCTGGAAGCCCAAGATCAGGGTGCCAGGATATTCAGTGTCTGGTGAGGGCCTGCGCCTGTGTATGTGTGTGTATACACACAGTGGAATATTACTCAGCCTTGAAAAAAGAAGGAAATTCTGCCATTTGTGGCAACCTGGATGAACCCAGAGGACATTATGCCAAGTGAAATAAGCCAGACACAGAGAGACAAACACTTCATGATTTCACTTAGGAGATGTCTAAAACAGTCAAATTCATAGAAACGGAGTAGAATAGTGGTTGTCAGAAGCCAGAGGAGGCAGAAATGGGGAGTTTCTGTTTAAAAGCTATAAACTTTCTGTTATGCAAAATGGAAAACTTCCGGAGGTCTGCTGTGCAACGTCGGCCAATGGCTCCATTATTGTACTGTGTACTTAACGTTTGTTAAGAGGACAGATCTCACACTGTGTTCTCACCACAGTAAAAATGAGAGGCGCGGCCTCTGCCATTCTTTCACCACGCTTTGCTGGGTGCTCACTACCTACGTGCTGAGCACTCTGCTCGGTGCATCGCTGAGCTGCCTGTTGAGGAGTCAAAGGGGTTTGAAGACCCGTAATGTATTTACATTGGGAAGGACAGATTGGCAGTTTCACCCTCGGGTACCCCAGTGTCATCTGGGGCCCTGGTCCCTGGTGCCCACCAGAGTTTTCTGCTCTCCCCTGATTCCCTGCAGACAGGGAAGCATCGGTTACATTATCCCCCAGAGTCCCACTAGGCTGAGAACTTGGGGAGCCACCTGCACACCTGATCTTGAAAAGTTACTTAGCCTCTTGAAGCCACACCTTTAAGATGGGTTAATAATGAAGTTGTGTTGGTGTGTAATGAGGCGGTGCCCGTCACTGATGTCTTAGTCCGTTCTGACTGCTATAGCAAAGCACCTTGGCCTGGGCAGCCTGCCGATGACAGACATGATTTAAAACAGCTGTGGAGGCTGGATGTCCAAGATCAAGGTGTCAGGAGGCTTGATGCCTGGCCAGCGCCTGTTTCCTGATGACATCTTCAAGGGTGAAAGGGGTGAGGGGTGCCTTTTTCTTTTTCTGAGATGGAGTCTTGCTCTGTCACCCAGGCTGGAGTGCAGTGGCATGATCTTGCTCACTGCAACCTTTGCCTCCCGGGTTCAAGCAATTCTCCTGCCTCAGCATCCTGAGTAGCTAGGACTACAGGTGCAAGCCACCACGCCCAGCTAATTATTTTGTATTTTAGTAGAGACGGGGTTTCACCGTGTTGCCCAAGCTGGTCTCGAACTCCTGAGCTCAGGCAATCCACCCACTCGGCCTCCCAAAATGCTAGGATTACAGGCGTGAGCCACCTCGCCCGACCAGGATGTCCTTTTCTAAGAGCATGAATCTCTCTCATGAGGATGCTGTCCTATGACCTAATGACCTCCCAATGCGCCACCTCCTAATATCGTCACCCTGGGGTTAGGGTTTCCACCTAGGACCTGGGGGAACACAAGCACCCCATCCATAGCACCTGGCAAGTACTCAGTAAATGTTGATGCCTACGTTTGTTACATCTCGGAATGAGACTTGCGATGATCCCCTGCACGCAGTGTTTCTCGGAGCCCCGGCTCCACTCTCAGAGGATGGCATTCCAGCTCCTCAGGCCGCCTTCTGCAGTCTCACCTTATTCTTGTTTTCTGGAAGTTTTTTTCTAATTTTAAGCCAAGCACCACTCGTTGATATTTTAAGTACTTTTCCCCCTTGCTTCCCTCCCACCACTTCCAGAAATAATGCAGAGCTGCCCATCCCCTTCCCTGCCTAGCAGCTCAAGCTTCTTTGTGTTGTTAACATACGCACTCCAGCCTCATCCCCAGCGCTGCTGTCAGGGGCCAGCACGGCAGTGCAGGAGCCGGGTCAGAGCGAGGAGGCCTGGGGCCCCTGCCAGGTATAGGTCTGCAGCCCCATTGCAGGCTGCCCCCCACCATTGTTTCTCGGGAGCAGTCCCAGAGCCCCAGCAGCCCTCGGCCTGCCATGGGTGACGGTCATGTGTGCAGCGAGTTGGGGAGCCCAGGCCTGGGCTGCTGAGCTCATGCTGGGAAGGTGGACCTTCTCGGGGGCTGAGGCTTACTCCCATGCAGGAGTATCTGTGTATTCCCTGAAGCAGGGAGCCAGGGCTGAGAAAAAGATGGGGAGGCCTGGCTCTGGTGTCTCGATTGACCTGTGCTGTTTCAGGAGCTGTGAGACAGGAGCCATGGGGAAGCTGACGGACCAGTGCCACCAACAAGAAGAAACAGCCCTTCCTCCAGACAAAGGCTGCAAGCTGGCCTGTCTGCACCGCTCAGGATCTGGAGCGGGAAGGCCTCCGCTGATGTTCTGACTCTGCTGTGGCCTCTAGATGCCTTCTCTAGCAGGGATGCTGGGTGGGGATCCGGTGTGCCTGGTGTAAACTCTGGTGGGCCTGCCCTCTTTTCAGCACCAACACCACATAGACAGTGATCTTGGCAGGCCAATAACCAATCTGGGTCTCCTTTTTCTTGTCTGTATACAATAAGTAGAACAATATTCAGCTGAATTTGATAATGTGAGTGATAGGGTAGTATCCTCATACATTTTCCCGTTCACCTATTCATTTCATTTGTTCCTGCATGCATCTATTAACTGGCAGGCCACACTATGCTGGGTTTACACACTGAGGATTCAACTAGGAACAAGATAGATGATTGCTCGCTGTTTTGAAGTTTACATTCTGGGGGACGCAATGATAAACAGATACATGAGACGGGGAGGACTCTGCGTGTGGGTGGAGAGCCACTGTGTTGTGTTGGAGAAACCCGTGCTTGCCAATCATGCCATCAAGCTGGACACTGCTGCCTCCCATGCCCAGTGCATAGGGCCTGGGGTTGATGGCCTTGAGGACTGCACGGCTGATCAGTCTTGGGGTCTCTTTAGCTAATGTCCTGCTGCTAGCAGGATGTCTGGTGCTTGGTCAGCCCCATGCAGGGTCCTCTGGAGAGAAATTTGCCCTGAAAACCAGTAAAATGTGATTGTTTAGAGCAGGAAATTTGCTGTCAGAGCACTGCTGCATACTAATTGCATAACCTTGGGCAAGTTCCTTATCCTTTTGAAGCCTCAGTTTTCCTATCTGCAAACGAGAGATGAGGATACCTAACTTCACAATATGTGTGAAGCACTCAGCAAGGCCTCTGAAGGTAGTAAGTGCTCAATAGATGTTACTCCTGTGTCTGTACTATCATTGTTATTGGTAGAAAGTGAGCAGTTTTAATAATATGCTTTTTTTCCCCCTTAAGTTGATGTTAGGGTTCACTCGTGGTATTGTACATTCTATGGGTTTGAAGAAATTTGTAGTGACATGTACTCACCTTGATAGTACCATACAGAATAGTTTCACTGTCCCAAAAATCCTCCATGCTCTGCCTATCCATCCCTCCCTACCCTGTAACCCTTGGCAACCACTGATCTTGTTCTTGTCTCTGTAGCTTTTCCTTTTCCAGATGTCATACGGTTGGAAACATGCAGTCAACAGACAGCCTTTTCAGACTGACTTCTTTCATTTATTCATGTGCGGGTTTTTTGTTGTTTGTTGTTGTTGTTTTTCAGAGTTTCGCTCTTGTTGCCCAGGCTGGAGTGCAGTGGCGTGATCTCGGCTCACTGCAACCTCCACCTCCTGGGTTCATGCGATTCTCCTGCCTCAGCCTCCCGAGTAGCTGGGATTACAGGTATGTGCCACCACGCCCGGCTAATTATGTATTTTTAGTAGAGACAGGGTTTCTCCATGTTGGTCAGGCTGTTCTCAAGCTCCTGATCTCAGGTGATCCGCCCACCTCGGCCTCCCAAAGTGCTGGGATTACAGGTGTGAGCCACCAAGTCCAGCCAATAATATGCATTTAATTTTCCTCCATGTCATTTCATGGCTTAATAGTGCATTTCTTTTATCACTGAATAACTGTCTGGATACACTGCAGTGTATTTAACCATGCACCTATGGAAGGGCATCTTGGCTGCTTCTGAGTTTGGGCCATTATGATTAAAGCTGCTGTAAACATCTGTGCAGGATTTTGTGTGGACGTAAGTTTACAGCTCCTTTGGATAAATACCAAGGAACAATAACGTGCTTCTTTAAAAAGATAATTTTCTAACTTATTTTAAAACTACAGTTGACCTATTATTCATAACTATTCATTGCTACTTTAATCAGACTTACTGATTCAGATTGATTTGGAGCCCTACTTCTTCATTAACTCAGCCAATATTTACCAAGCTTCTCACTAAGTATTGAATATGGAGCTAGGGATAGAGACATAAATAAGCTGTCAACCCTGCCCTCAAGACTAGCCCAGAAACACAGACAAGGAAGCCAAGGAGTGGAATACGAGGCTGCCGTAAAGGAATGAGTGGGTGTGCACAGGCGTGTGGAGTGCAGAGGCCGGGTCTGCACCGGTGAGGCCCTTGAGGGAAGGGGTTACAGGGGAGACCAGGTGGGGGGTTCCCTCCATATTGAGCCTCCTCCATGTGTCTGTCCCCCAAGCCCCCTGCCCTCCTGAACTGTCGCAGATTGACGGATGTGTAAGATAAACCCCCAGCAGTGAAGCCTGGACTCGCAGAGGAGCAGAACGAGGGGAAATGAATACGTGAAGTCACGGGCATTTCATGGGTGGACTTGACAGGTATCAGTGATGAAAAGGATGGATTTGCCGAACTGACAGAAAAGAAGACAATTTGGTTTTGTCATTGTCCTCTGCATCCAGGCAAATCCGATGTGATCGTGGCCGTGACTTTTGGTCGGGTGACATGCAGTTGACGTCCTGGTTGCTGACACCTCCTTCTGGTTCATCAGGCAAAGCGTTTCTTGTTCTCTGTGGTAGGGGATGAGATTCTTGTGACACCTGTGGCATTCGTGACCAACCCTCCGCTCTGGTGTCTCTGAGAGGCACCCCCATGCCCTCACTCCACTCATTACAAGGAACAGCAGGCCAGGTTAATGAGCCTGGCCTGGAAGCCAGAGGACGGTGGCTTCCCTTTCTCCTGCTGCTCCAGAACAGGGCCCCTCGAGGGAGCTGTGGCCAGGCTCAGTCTCCATTCATAGCTCCATCTAGTGTCACTGGTCTGTGCTTCCTCTCCACAAATGTACTGATTACTTCCATTCAGGCTTCATGCTCAGACATTTAGAGGAAGCTTCAGATGCAAAATTGTTTACAAATTCAACCTTTCTTGAGTCTGAACTCTGAATGTAAAAAATATATCTGCATAAATCTGAGTGCTAAAAGGCAGACACAGCTTCCATTAAACACTCAGCTCCCTGCCTGCTGCAGGTGTGCTGGGGTAGTGAACCCCGGTGTGTAGGGCGGGGGGCTCCTCACCCTGGGCATTGCCATGCTGGGGTGAGCTGGACACATCTCGGGATGAGACTGCCTGTGCTTCCTCTTCACAGTCTCCTCAGACCCAAACTGTCTCCCACACTATAAATCACTTTTATGCTCCACCCCATCACAATCTCACTCCTTATACAAAGTCTCCGACTCACTCCTGTCCACACTTGCAGTACAAGATGCCTCCATGCACCTCCTCATGTCTCCCCGGCCCTGCCTGCCTCCCAGTCCCACAGACTCCCGCTGTGCTCGGCTGACATTGGCCGGTCCGCTGCACGTGGCTCTGAGACGCTGCTGTGTGGTCTGCTCAATGCCTCCTCCTGGCTTGCTGGGACTCCCTGGCTGTGGCTGTGAAGCCGTGCCCACTGGTTGCATTGCTGGGGCTCGGGCCTCTCTGCCTCCTTTCAGACTTGGATGAGCTGCTGTGGCCCAAGGAGGGCCTGCCGCCGAGGTCTTCCCACTCCCCATAGGGCCAACTAGACAAACAGACCTGAGGTTATGGGACAGAAAGGAATTACATTCCTCCCAACCTCCTCTCCCCTGGACCGCGTCACAGTTTGGTTTCATAGAGCACAGCCCATAGGAGATCCGTGGACGTGAATAGATGAAGTCGCAGAGTGACTGACCACCTTCTCAGTGGCTCACCAGGAAGCAGAGGCCAGTGCAGGATACCCTGACCTCGAACTACTTTTCATTCTTCTCTTCTCCATCTCCCATTTATTTCACATGTGTATCAGGATTGCATCTATTAAGTAAAGCCTGAGTCTAAATCCTCACATCTGACTCTACTCTTTAGGGGAATTGGGCTGCATAAATTGTATGAGAGAAGTTCTTGAAAGCCAGCTCTCAGGGTGAGATTTTGGAGCTGGATGAACAGCTTGTGAAGGGCAATCGGAGCCATATGGATGATCGGTGTCAGAGGTGATTACCCTGGGCAGGCTGGGCCCTTGCTCGGTTTCCTTGGGAAGCAGAGAGCCCAAGACCCGGCGATGAGTGCAAATAGTTTTATGTTTTATGTTGAAGATGATAGCAGGAAGATGGAGTGAGGAGGAAGGGAGATTAAGAAAGACCTGAAGAAAAGCCCGTGTAAATGTGTGTTACTGAGGGAAGTCCCATGAGAAAAAGTGACTAAAGTTTGCTGAGACCTCTGATAATTTTTCACATAAAGATTACTGGGATGGACATTTAGTCACTGAGGCCCATCTCACATTGTTTGAAATTTGTCTCCAGGGACATTAACTCCCACAGCTGCTACACTACTTGTCCTTGGGCCGGTGAGCCAGGTGAGAGCTTGGTCAGCGCCACACAACAGGACCTCCAGGCCCGAGTGCCATAGGCTGGAAGAAGCTGAGGCACAGAGAGGCTGTGGTGGGGGAGGAGGGCCCTGAGGAAGAATGAGGGAGGATCTGACACACGCTGCTTGAAGCAGGGCATTTCCACTGAGAACCTGAACTTGCATGTAGTTGTCTATCTCAGGCAGCTCTGAAACCAGAGCTGGGTTGAAGACATGCTGTGGGAAACCAGAGACATCTGCCACAGTCTGTGCTTTCCTCATTCAGCTAGGCTGTGTCTTGGGCCATATCCTTATTAAAGTCACCCTCCTGGCCCCTATACAAACAAACTAGATTGGCAGTTGATGGATAATATCATAAGCTTAGCTAGGGGGAAGCTCCAGGCACAGCTACTCCTCTGGAGTGGTGTTCTTACTGGAGTGAATTAATGCGCCGATCATCATCTCACTGCCTCTCCACCGGAATCTGTCTTCCCTTGGCCTGCTTTGTGATCCTTGAGCTTGGCCTTGTGGCTGTGTCTCCCCAGCTAGCGGGTGCAATGCGATGCTTTTTCAATAGTCGACCCTGGAGGGAAGTTACAAGGTACAGCAGAGGTTGAGCCCTCTGTTCCTGATTCCTGTGTGCTCTTTTTCCTATTGCAGCATGGCTGGAATTCTGGGGTCCTGGGGTGCCCAGTAAGCTTGTCCGGCATGCCAGAGGATGACTTCCCATGGACCATCCCTGCCCTGTCAGCACCTCAGGGGACTTCTTTTCCACCCACAGTTGACAGCCGCAGGTCTGACTCTTAACTTTGAGGCTGAGTGAGCCCTTTTCCTCCTTGGCTGTCCCACTCAGTCCTAGAGGTAGGTAGAAATCCCTGCATTTGCCAAGTCTGTATTCCTTTGAGTTATTTTTCTCTTACCCCTTTTAGTAGTTCACCATGTTACTGTTACTAGTTAGTAATTCTTTACATTAAATTTTCCCTGTTCTAATTACAGAAAGTTGGCTTCTGTCTCTTGCCAGGGCACTTACAATAAGACACAATCTCTGACTCCTGAGAGGCAGCTGCTTATTTGGTGAAAATTTTTTTTTGCCAATTCTCATAATGAGGAAGAACCCATGGCAGCTTGCTCTTACATAGCAAGTACAGCAGTACAGTTTTACTCTTGTGCACCATAGCTCTGCTAACTTTCTTGATCTCTAATCCGAATGCAGTCCAGCGGGATCTAACTGCCTCAACATTCCAGGGCTCATCATGCTGGTCACATAAAAAACACCACACTGATTGGACCTGGAGATTAAGAAATGTGCAAATAGTGATATGCGGGTGTGCCAGAAATGGGAGGACAGAATCATGACAATACATTCACCTGTATGAAATTTTGAGGGCCTAAGGGACTAGGTTATGGTCCATCTCATTTAAGAAAAAGGACAAATTGCTGCTCCTCACACTTCCTTCAACTTAAAAAAAAAAGGTGTGCAGCTGTCTCTGGATCTTAGGGTGCTATTCTCTGCATTGCTAGCACTTCCCTGATGACAGAAACTTGTGCTGAGGTTTGTGATACTTGCCCTCATTCTTCCAGACCTGCTCTTGCCCTGTTTCTTCTCTGGCTTCTCCACTCCTAGCTCTGTAGCCCACCCTGTGATCAGGTGGGTGAGCATGGCCTCTAGGTTAGATCTGAGCTTTCCCCAGAAGACTCTGTCTTGCCTGCGGCTTTGGCTCTCAGCACCTTCGATGCCTGCACTAAAGATTCTGCACTCCAGTCCCGGTCCTAGGACTTGTCTTGGCAGGGCTGGTAGGGTCTCTGTGAAGGACACTTCATTTGGGCTACTTCTGGAGCTCAGTGCGGGGAGCCCAGCCTCAGCAGGCTCTTGCTGGGCAGGAGGAGGCCCCAGATGGCATCCCCAGCTGCCGGCATGAGTGGGAATTTTTGTGGCTAGAAATCAGAGAGCTGATGCAGGGCCCACGTTGCAGCTGACAGTGCACCTGACACGGGAGCCACCGCAAGAGTAGAGGGGAAGGAGGACTTGGAGGGAAATAGAAACTGCCTGACACGAGACCCACTGCAAGAGTAGAGGGGAAGGAGGACTTGGAGGAAAATCCTGCAAGAGTAGAGGGGAAGGAGGGGAAGGAGGACTTGGAGGAAAATAGAAACTGCCTCGAGGGCTGACCAGGAGACACCCCAGCCTCTGGGATTTCCCAGTTTGGAGAGGGTACTGGGCTGCCACAGGTCATGATGCAGCCAGTCTCATCTAGAAGCTCAGAGGCAGGGTGAACTCAGAATATATCTGATTTCAATAAAAACTGAACATTTAGGTCAAATCACTATTTAAGTCCTTCCAGTCTCAGCTTGGGTGATTTCATGAGCCCTCTTCTCTAGCTAAACTCTGAGGTCCAGACCTGGGGTGAACCCACCTGCAGCCCAGCTACTGGGGTCATTCCAGCCCCTGTCCCCATGGTCTCCCACGGGGAGGGTCTCTGTTCCCCCTGAGCTCTGTGAGCAGCCCTGCTGTGGGACAGCACTTTCTCCCTGATTGAGTGAGGATTTTGACCCACCCCAGCAGTGACAGAAGGGTGCGTCACATGAGTGGAACCAGGGACAGAGAGCAACATTTGGAAGAGTCCACATGGAGACACCAGTGTGCCTGGCAGGGTAGAGGCGGGCCCTGGAGAAGGCAGGGTAGAGGCGGGCCCTGGAGAAGGCAGGGTAGAGGCGGGCCCTGGAGAAGGCAGGGTAGAGGCGGGCCCTGGAGAAGGCAGGGTAGAGGCGGGCCCTGGAGAAGGCAGGGTAGAGGGGGGCCCTGGAGAAGGCAGGGTAGAGGCGGGCCCTGGAGAAGGGTGCGGCTCCCTAGGGAGAGCATTGGGTGGCGCAGGAGTCGAGGAGCAAAAACCAACCCACCCATGACTCACAGGGCCCTGGAAGCAGAACGAGGCGCCCCAACCCAGACACTTGGGCTGCATTGGAGAGGACAGAGTTGCCGTCCTGACCTGCTGTGAGCAGTGTGGCTGTGGCAAGAGACAGATCAGCTCTGGGGGGAAGCCTCAAGCGATGAAGCCAGGTAGCCCTCACCTTGTCACTACCTGTGTGACTTTCAGCAGGAGTCACACTCTGTAAGCCTTAGATTCCCAATCTGTAAAATGTTTCATAGGACTATTGGTGAAGGATGAATGATGTAGAATGTATTGAAAATTTAGTCAGGTGCCTGACACAGAGCGAGTGCTTGGTGAGTGTGAACCATTATTCCAGTTCAAGGGAAAGGCAGGTCAGAGGTCCTGGAGAGGAAGTGCCTACACTCCAGGTGTCTAAGGTGGCCCCTTCCCTCTCCTCTTCCCTGTGGGGACAGAGTGCTGAGGTGGGAGCAGGCTGGAATGAGATCCATGCAGCCTGGGACCTGCCTGTGCCACTGCCAGCCACCACAGGTCTCCCTATTGCCTTTCACTTGTGCGGTGGGCACTGAGCAGGGGCCTCTGACCCCCAGGGACAGGAGGCTCTGGGCAGCAGGGGCGCAGGCACTCCCAGGAGGAGAGGGTCACAGGGACAGGCAGGAAGGAGGGGAATTCCAGAAAGCTTCCCAGGGAGATGCTGACCCTGGGGTCTCTGTCTGGAAGGGGAGAAGGTAGCAGCGGGTACCAAGATGGGGATAGACTCGGGGGCCAGGCGTGGCACTGGCTGGACCATCATACATCAGGGCATGGCCCCCGTGCTCTGAGGCAATTCACGGAAGCCCCAGGCCTCTGTGCAGCCCCCAAGAGAAATGTTTCCCCAGTGTCCACAGGCCGCTGTTGGGACATAATTCATGAGGCTGATCTGTATTTCCAATAGGACACAGTGCAGAACGGCTGTTTGATGGGGATGGGGAGACTGGGAGCAGCTGTGCGGAAGTGCAGAGGAAAAAGGAGCTCAGCCTGCCCTCAGGAAGCTCCGGATTCATGGGAGGAAGGTGCTATCCATGTCACCAGTGCTGTGTAGGCTGCCGTGGAAGAGAAGATTCACTCGGGAGACCCCTGGACATCCTGGGAAGAAAGCAGGACACTCTGTGTAACCAGAAGCCTTGGACCCACTACCCACTGCCATGGATCCTCGAACAGGCCTTTTGCCCTCTCGAGAATTAGCTTCTCTGAGCCTTTTTTGGTCCTGCCAGGGCCCCAAGCATTGTTGGGAAATTGGGGAGTCCCTTGGCTCTGCGATGAGTCATTGGCGCTGGCAGAGAGAAGCCTTCCCATTTGCATTCACGCAAATGAAGTGGGGAAATCCTAGGTTTGGAAACTTAGACCGTGAGCGCTTCTCTTTTCCAAGTTTCCTATAACCCATAGAAGTCAGGGCTTAAATCAGAAGAGCTTCCTGACTTTGCCCTTATTATGATCCTGAATAGATACTGCCCTCTGCATGTTAGTTTCCTCATCTGTAAAACAGACTCACATGCTAATTGTGAGGCTCACCTGAAGTGAGAGGGGTGAAAGGTGTCTGTAAACTTGAAAGTCCTATGCAGATGGTGCTGCTAGGAGGGTGACAGCATGAGCCTGGTTACTGTCATCCCTCAGACCTATGGCTTCTCCTGGAGCCTCACCACCACTAGGTCATAGCTGGAGGCTGCCTGGGTTCATCTTGTGACATCACAGCGGACACACAAGCCCGGGCAGAAAAATGAAAATGCTCTATAGATGCTCCCGAAATGTGGTCCCTACGTGTTGCCATGACCAGAGAACTTTCTGGAAACAGCACCCAAGGCATTGGGTAGCTTTTCTTTCCCATAAATAGCATCTCCTGCTGTGTGGCCCAGAGTCTCCCGAGAATCTCTGCTGCCCAGATCCCCCTTCCAGCTCCTCCTGTCAGTTGGGGGGCAGGCTTGGCAATGCTGGAGAACAACTGGCACCTGCAGACATCAGCAACGGCTCGGTCTGAGGTGCACTCTGGCTTGGTGCAAATGAGCCCAGCCCCTGGGCTCCTAATATGGCTTCTCCAGCCTTCTTTCCAGGAGGCTGGCTCATTTCTCAGTCTCAATCCTGGAATGACAGAAGGTTCTCTCCTCTAAAAACCCACTTTTCTAGGCACTCTATGTTGAAATCTCAAACTCCTGGACACAATCCAAAGGTGAAGCTTCCTGATACACCTGCCCCTCCCATTTTGAACACAGCATTCCAGCCTCTTGGCAGCTTGGGATTGGTTCGTAGCTGCATTGCGGCACTTTCCTCCTCTGGCCAGGTGTCATTGCCATCTGGGCATGTGGTCATCTCCTGTACATGACTGTGACCCCTACAGGATAAGGAGCCTCTCCCTCTTCCTGCACCTTCCACAGTGAACCAAGCACTGTGTGGGATGAGAGACTCAGGCTTTGAGACTCACTCAATACTCGCAGTACTGCCACTCGTGGTTTGGTATTGAGCAGTAGTTTGTAAACCAGTTTCATACGTATATTTTTTTTATTTAAACTTTCCTGAAATGTTGTCTTCTGCATCAGGGAGATGGCAGGAATGAGAATGACTGTCAGAGCCTTTCCTTCCCAGGTCCCAGCACAGTGCAGCACGTCGGAGACCCTGCGGCACGTCGGAGACCCTGCAGAAGGGCCTATTCAGTGAGTTCTCAAGGTGCTGTTCTCATGATGGAGGTGGGAAGATGGAAGCTCAGGGAGTTTAAATGAGCATTCTAAGGTTTAGTAAATGCTAAAGACCAGACACAAAGCCAGGTCCTCTGATCCCAACAGCAACACTTTTTCCAGTGGAGGAGAATCCAGGAAGAGCTACAATCATTCTGATGCTGAAACTGCGCTTTTCAGCTCCCTCGGTCACTTGAAGACATGATCTTTCCCACCGTGGCTCCTGGCTTCTCCCTCCATTCCAGCTTGAACACTCTACATACTCGAGCACTAATCACACAGCCAACATTGGGACTTTCTGACGGGGGGTGCCATGGCAGCCTGTTGCTCTGAGAGCTGGTTCACACCTGGGCTGAGATGTGGATTCCTCCCCTTTGCAGGTGGAGACTGGGACTGCCATGGGCCTCCCCAGCTGGCCCCCTTCGGCAGCAAGTAGCAGCCCCATGGAGGGATGCCAGCATGCCCTGGTGCCTTGCAGTGCTCACACTCTCCACATATGCATGTCACGAATGAGAGAGGGCTGGGCAACACTCTCTGCCCCACACCCGTACCCAGACCACATGCATCCTCTCTCCTCCTCCCCGGAACAGCTCCCGCTTTGAGAAAGCTTTTCCTAAACAGGTCGTAAGGAGTTTTCCCGGTTGTCTCTCTGGCACCCAGGCTTTCTTAACAAAACCTCCCCATTCACTTATCTTCTGTCCCGCAGGGTCGCTGGTGGACGCTCCCCTGCACTCAAGTCACCAAATCCCACAGAGGGTTGGAGAAGAGGGGGCGGCTTTGCAGTGAGACAGACCTGCGTTCGAATTCCAGCTTTGGTTCAAATGACGAGCTGTGTGCCCTGGGGCAAGTCATTTGTTTAGTTTTTGTTCATCAACTTCCTCCTCTGTAAAATGAGAATGGACTTGAGTAAAAACATGCCTGTGAAGTATTTAGCAAAGAGCCGGCACAGGGTAATCACTCACTGCATAGTTACTACTGTCCTGGTCATTGTCATGACAATTACCAGTCACTCTCTGTTTCCTTCCTGACTTTAGACGGCACATCTAAAAGCCCCCACGACAACATCTGACACAACGTAACGAGATTGTAGCGCTGTCTAAGAAACAACCCTGCAAAGCAGCCACAAACTAGGCTCTCATCCCGACGATTTGAGCGCCCTGGTTACATGGAAGTTTAATTTCTTCCTGGCTAAATCTAGAACGTGGGAAATTCTGCAGAAATAAATGACCTAGTTTCTTGAACAGAATAAACTGCATGGGAAGAGGGGAATGCAGGTGTGACAGGTGTAAAGAAAGCAGCCGGTGTGTGTAGGCCCTGGATAAAACCTGATTGAAACACAGTGACTGTAAGAAGGTCCCTCTCCCCACTTTTTTGAAAACCTCAAGAAATTTGAGCATAAGCCAAGTATTAGTTTAATTGTTAGAAATCTTGTTAGATATAATTGTAGAAGTGCAGTTATGGGCTAAATATGTTTATTTATTAAAAATACATGAGGAAGTACTTTCAGGTAAAATTGTAATGCCTGGAATTTGCTAGAAAATCTCTGAGGAGAGATCTGAGGGTGGGGAGATGAAAGAAGCCAGGCATGAGCCGGGGGAGGTACAGAGGCTGAGGCTGAACACCCTTCACTCTTCTTTCTACTCTCATGTAATGTGGATGTTTCTATAATGAAGTAAGTATAAAAGTCAACAAAACCTCCCACTAACCTAACTGTGTCCGGGTTTCCGAGGTTCCCGGTTTCAGCTCAGCTGCCTGTGTTCTGGGGAGGGACTCCTCTCCAGCTGAGGGATCCGCGGGGACTGGCTCCCTCACACACACACAGCAGCACCTGCTGCCCGGGCACTCAGGCCTCTGCCTTACACCCTCTCTACCACGCTAGACACGCAGGACCCTGGGCCAGTGACCTAACCCCTCTGCACCTCGGAGCCTCCGTGTCAAACTGGGCTTGGGGATATCAAGCCTCTAGGCTTGTGTCTGCTGCATAAGAAGCCCTCCAAAAGCATTGCTCCACCCCTCTCTCGGGCTCTGTTCTCTCCTGGTCTATCTAAACCTCAGATGGCTACAGAAGCCCAGCACTCTGTGAGCCTGTCAGGGGAGCTGATGGCCCCAGTGATGCAGGCCTGGCAGTCTGGGGTGAGGAAGACAGCTCCAAGCCCAGTCACCTCTCCCTTCCTGTGCCTATCTGTGAACTAGAGCTTCAAGCAGCTCCAAATAAACTCGAGAGCTCCTGGCTATGCAACATTGATATCTTGGCCTCGAAGCGGGAAATCTGAGCCAACTTAATATCTTCCTTGAATAATCTGCTAATTTTGATGCCAGGAGCACTTCACCAGCTGTCGATAGCTCCAGTGAGAAATGAACCAGAAGAGACACGTTTGACCTGCTGTGGATTCAGATCCAACCACACGTGTGGGACTTGGGAGACAGGCACGTGGGTGTGCACGTTGTCAGCAGGGGCTGGCTTCAGACTGAGGCTGAACACATACAGGAGCCCAGACCAGGTGGCCTTGGCCCTTGTAGGCGATGGTGAGAATACTGATTTGTATTAAGAGGAATGAAAGATTTGGAGAGGAAGCAATTCTGATTTTCACCATCAAATGACAAGAACTGATCTTCTGCCTTTAAGTAGTTATAATTAGGTCATTGCAAAATTAACAAAATTAATAAGCTTATATCTGGGAGACCTCTTAAGACAGCAGTGTCCAGCTGGGTAATGGCACGGATTATGCCCACACAGCCTGGCCACTCTGTTGGGGGAGCAGCCCCCGCTGGAGCAGCCTAGGGAGAGGATGCAGGCCTTCCCCATCAGCTCAGCAGCTTATGGCTCAGTGGGTTTAGATGCTGGTAGTAAGCTCCTCACCCTCTTGCCCAATGTCTACAAAGGGTTGTTTTGTTCATGATGTCCAGAGGTCTAGTTGCTCATGACAGGTGGATAAGTCCAGTGACTCCACTGGGGCCTGAGGCAGAATTGTTGCGGCACCTCCTCGTTTCTCCCGTTCCCTCCCCTATCCCAGGCAGGTCCTGGCTAAAGACGTCCTTGGCCAGCTGGGTGTCAGGGGTAGGATCTTGCCCCTCAACTCCTGGCCACAGGGGGACTTTCTCCTTATCTACAGCCCAGGCCAATAGTCTCTTTCTCTGTCCTTAAGGGATTTAGGGAATAGCCGGTCCTCTCTCACCCTCGAATGGATCACATGTTATTGATCTCATGTGTCACCACCCAGGGTAGGTTTCTGTGGCCTGCATCCAACTCCAGGCAGGCGCTGCTCCTCGTCTCCCAGGCACCACAGGCATTTTCCTCCGTGTGCCCTCTCAGAGGCTGTGGTGGTGTGTGTGGAAAGAGCCTGCACCCCTTCTGTGTCAACTTCATCACCAATTAAGTAAAGCTTGGCATCCTCAGAGGAAAGATTTTATTATAAATTCTTAACATATTTAGAAATATCAGCATAATCATTATAATGCATTATTCAGTTAGTTAAATGTGCTTTAAAAAAAAACATGAAATATATCTTCATTGTACAGGCATCTGTTGTTTCTTGCAAACGATTATCTGTCACTGAATCATCAATTTTTTATTTTATTGTGTGTCTAAGGCTATTTGTTCTAATTAAGGCGCATGCATGGTGCCAAGCAGGCTTGCCTGACTGTGGAAGGGGCTCCAGTCCTGCTTTGTCTAACAGTCCTGAATGTGCTGGATGGGCAACCCCAGGAGTGACAGGAGTCAGGATTTTGGGACAGGCATGTCAGGGGTGTGTGAGCTCAATCCCACCCCTGCAGGAAGGTTTCTGCCCACCAGGACCCACAGCCCTGTATGCCTGAGTCCCACCCTCCCTTCCCCACCTGATGTGCCTCTGACACCCAAGAAAGGAGGCTGCAGAGAGGCCCCTGGCAGCTCCTGTCCTGCTCTGCCAGGCAGGCCACCCAGGGGACAGTGGCAAGCCCTGTGGTGGGCACCCTGGGTTCTGGGACTTCAGGGAGCAAGGGCTAGGAAGGAGGCAGCTCCTGGGACTGGCATTCTTCCCTGGAGATGCAGGCTCACTCTGAGCCTCCTCTCCTGGGCTCCAGGTGCAGAAGGGGAGGGGTGGTGCTGGGGAGATGGAGGTGGGGAGAAAAATGAAGTTTTATTAAGGGGTCACTATGTAATGAGAGGGATTTATAGATAATAAGGCAAAGAAAATTAAGAGTGAACATGATGATGAGCTGAGACAAGAGGCTTTATGACTTTCCCTCTGGCCACATCAAGTCTACCAAGCATAAAAGATGGGAAATAAAAACAAAAAAGGCATTGTCCCTTTCAGAGTGCTCTAAAGTTGGCACCTCTCATAGTGGGGTTTGATGTTGGCTTCACACTATAGACTCACTCTTTCCCTCTCCCTAAGCATCCCCCACCTCCCCTCCCAGCACAGGAGCCTCCAGTGAGACATCCACCCCTTCCCCCATCCAATAGCCACTTCCTTTTAGCACTCACAAATCATAATGTTGAGCTGTGTGTGTGTGTGTGCACGCATGTGTGTGTGAAAAGAGCAGAGAAAGAGAATACACTTTATCTACTGTAGGATCCGTGCTCTCAGGGATGCGGTGCTCCAAGGCACAGGATCCTGCCTGGTGCACCCCTATATGATGACAGTGACCCCCATCCAGGTGTTTTGAGGGTGAAGTGGAGGGATGAGTGCAGTGATGACTCACAGGCTGCCAGCATGTGATTTCCCTTCCCCGTTTATGCTTGGTGCTGGGGGTGGTGTTGTAGAATGAGTGTCAGCCTGGCTCCCCACCTCCTACCTGTTAATCTTCGGGAGTAGTTGTGAGCATGAGCCCTTCAAGGCATTTCTGTTCTGCCCCAGTTAGGGACATGAGGTAAACACAGGCCTTTGGTTTCTCCAGGATTGATATAACCCAGAAGTGTTGGAAAGTTAAGTTTCCATGGGCTTAAGGAACAATAAGAGATGGAGAAGGGAAAGAGAATGAACAAGATCATTCGTGTTCCTCCTGGTCCTGGCTTGCAGCAGGTCATATGGCTCCAGCGTGGCAGCATGCCCTTCATGTCTCCCTCCCCTCTCCTAATTCCATCACTCATGCCTCCCAGGAACACATATCCCAATGAGGCGTGCACATAATATTTTTGCTTTTAATTTAACTTATTATACTGAGAGAATTGTAGATTCACATGCAGTTGAGAAAAATAATACAGAGAGATCCTTGTTCCCTTTACTCAGTCTCCTCCAGTGGTAACACCTAGTAAAACTATAGAGAATATCACAACCAAGATTTTCTCCTATGCTGTTGTTAGTATTTTACAAACAGTTTTACAGCTTCTATTCTGTACTAAGTTAGTGATCCATTTGGAAGTTAATTTTTGTATAAAGTGTGAGGTTTAGATCAGTGGTATTTTTTCCCTGTGGATGTTCAACTGCTCCAGCACTGTTCGTTGATGAGATTCTCCCTCTTCCACGAAATTGCTTTGCACCTTGGTCAAAATCAATCAGGCATATTTGTGGGGTCTTTCTCTGGATTCTTTTTCTGTTCCGTTAATCTGTGTGTCTATCCCTCCACCAATACTACACAATCTTGCTTACTATAGCAATATAATATGTCTTGAAATTAGGTTAGAGTGATTTCTTCTACTTTCTTTTTATTTTTCAAAATTGTTTCAGCTACTCTAGTTCTTTTCACTTCCTATATAAATTTTAAAACAATTCAGCCTGTATTTATAAAAAAGCTTGCTGGGATTTTGATAGGAATTGCCTTAAACCTGCATACCAATTTAGGGAGATTGACATGTTTAATATGTTGAGTTTTCTAACCCACAAATATGGTATGTCTTTCCGTTTATTTAGATCTTCTATTATCTCTTTTACTAGGATTGTGTAGGATTTAGCATACATGTCCTATACATGTTTTGTCAGATCTATATTTTTCATTTCACATTGTTTTGAGTGATTATAAACGGTAATGCATGTTAAATTTTGGTGTCTTCTATGTACTAAATTGTCATCCCCCTCGAATCGATATGTGGAAACCTAACTCTCAGCGTGATGGTGTTCAGAGATGGGCCTTTGGTAGGCGATGAGGTTTAGATGAGGTCAGGAGGGTGAGGGCTTCGTGGTAGGATTAGTGCCCTTATGAGAGGAGACCCCAGAGAGCCTCCACATGCTCTCAGCAGCATGCTAGGGCATGGAGGAAAGTGCTGTCTACAAGCCAGGAACTGGCTCACAAAATAAGGTGAGCTGTGTTTCCACCTCCTCTATATTTTGGAAGACATTGTGAAGAATTGGTGTTAATTCTTCTTTATGTGTTTGGTACAATGTACCAGTGAAGCCATCTTGTCCTAACTTTTCTTTGTGGAAACTTAAAAAAAAACTACTAAGTCAGTATATTTATTTGTTTGTTTATTTATTTTTGACACAGGTTTTACTCTGTCACTTAGACTGGAGTGCAGTGGTACAACAGTAGCTCACTGCAGCCTCCAACTCCTGGGCTCAAGTGATCCTCCTGCCTCAGCCTCTTGAGTAACTGGGACTACAGGTGCACACTGCCATACTCTTCTATTTGTTTTATTTTTATTTTTTGTAAAGATGGGAGTCTCACTTTGTTGTCCAGGCTCTCCTTGAACTCCTAGCCTTAGATCTTCCTGCCTCCACCTCCTAAAGTGTTGGGATTACAGGTGTGAGCCACAGTGCCTGGCCTCTATTTACTTGTTAGAGATCTTTTCCTATTTTCTATTTCTTTCTGAGTTAGTTTGTGTAGTTTGTGTCCTTCTAAACATTTATCCATTTTCACTAGGTTATCTGATTTTTTTGGCACACAATTGTTCACTGTATTCTTTTATAGTACTTTTTATTTCTGTAAAGTTGATGCTAATGCTTTCACTTTCCTTTCTTTTTGTAATAATTCAACCCTTTTTTTGTGGTCTAGCTAAAGGTTTGTCAATTTTGTTGATATTTGTGGAGAAACAACTTTTATTTTTCTTGATTTTCTCTATTGGTTTTTATTCTTTATTTTGTTTTTCCCACCAGTCATGACTTCCTTCCTTCTAATTGCTTTGGGTTTGGTTTGCTTTTCTTCTAGTGTCTTCAGGTGAAAGATTAGGTTATAGATTTGAGATTTTTTATTATAGGTGTTTGTAGCTATAAATTTTCTTTTAAGCACTCTTTTTTGCTATATCCCATATTTTTTGGTATGTTGTGCTTTTGTTTTTCACCTCAAAAGTATTGACTAATATCTCTTCTGTTGTGTTCTTTGTTGTATCCATTGCTTGTTTAGCACTTTTTTAATTTTTATAAAGTTGAGAATTTCTCAAATTTTATTTTTTATTTCTAATTTCATTCTATTGTGGATAGAGAACATACTTTCTATGATTTAAATTGTTAAAAATGTATTAACACTTGTTTTGTGACCTACCATGTGGTCTCTGCTGGAGAGTATTCTGTGTGCACTGAAGAAGAATGTGTGGAAAGCTGCTGTGGGTGAAGTGTTCCAAAGATGTAGAGATGTCTCATGAGTTTACAGTTTTCTTATGTATTTTATTGCTCTTCTGTCCTGTTGTTTTATCCATTACTGAAAGTGGGGTATGGAAACCAACAACTATTACTGTTGAATTATCTCTTTTTCCCTTCATTTATTTTATGCTCATGTATTTTGAAGCTTTCTTGTTTAATTTGTATATATTCACGACTCTTTTACCTTCTTGATAGATTGACCCTTTTATTATTATAAAATGTCCTTTTGTGGTTTGTGATAACAGTTTTTGTGTTGAAATCTGTTTTGTCTGATATTGGTATAGATACTCCAATTGGTTTTTGGTTACTGTTTGTGTGCTATCTCATTGTTACCTTCTTACTTTTAATTTATTTTTGTCTTTAAATCTTAACAGTATCATTTGTATATAGCACATTGTTGAATTACGTTTTTAAAAGATAGCCTGCCGATCTCTTTCTTTAAATGTTAGTGTTTAATTTATTATGTTTAATGTAATAATTATTAAGGTTTATTCCTGCATTTTGGTCTTCGCTTTTTAAATATCTGACATCATTTTTGTTTCTTTTTTTATTATTACCTTATTTTGTTAAGATATCTTCTCTTACATTGTAATCACATTGTCATTTATTTTACTCATTTTTGTTATTTTTCTAATGCTTGTCCTGGAGGTTACGATTAACATTTTGACTCATGACTATGTTGTTTAGATTAATTGCAATATATTATACTTACATAACTTTAATATGATACAAAAACTTTGCTCCAGTTTGAGTAAAGTATACAATCCTTACCAAATGTTACATTCCTTTATCTACCCATGTAAAATATAATTATCTGAAATGTTTCCTTTACTTACATCTAAAAATACACTAGACAGTATTATAATATTTTCTTAGCCTTCAAACATAATTTGAAGTATTCAAGAAGAGTTCTAAAGTCTATTGCATTTACTCATCTTTTTAACTATTAGCATGTATTTTTCCTTTCCATGATTTTTTCTTTTATTATTTTCTTTCTGTTTAGAGAACTTTCTTATGCATACTTTTAAGGTAGGGTGCTGGTGACAAATTTACTTAGTTTTTCTTCATTCGAGAATGTCTTGATTTCTGTTTTATTCTTGCAGGATACTTTTTCTGGATATATAATTCTAGATTAAAAGTTCTTTTCTTCAGCACTTGAAACAGTGTGCCAATACTTTCTTGCCTTCATGATTTCAGGTGAGAAATACATTGTCATTAGGATTGTTTTTCCTATGTAAGTAAGATGCCTTCAATTTTTAGAAATTTGACTCTGATGTTTCTTGGCATGGATATCTTTGAATTTATCCTATTTGGGATTAACTTGGCTTCTTAAAACTGCAGGTGTGTGACTTCTGACAAATTTGGGAAAATTGTAGCCATTTTTTAAAAAACAGTGTTTCAGCACCAACCGTTTTCTCATCTCTTTTCAGGACTCTAGTGACACAAATATTCGATATTTTGTCTAGTTCCGTAATATTTTGCATAATCTCTTTTCATTTTTATCAGTCTGTTTTTTCTTATTGTTCAGATTGAGTAATTTCTAATGTTAAATCTCAAATTTATGAATTCTTTCCTTTGTCCTTTCCATTTGGATGTTGAGTCAATAAATTGAATTCTTAAATTTATTTTATTGTATTTTTTGTTTTTTCAATTTTAATTTTTAAATTTACATTTTGTTTTGGTTCTAAGCTTTCCATTTAGTTTTTATTATCTTCTATTTCTCTGCTGAGATTTTCTATGTTTTTATTTGTTTCAAGCATGTTTATTATTACTCATTAAAGCATTTTAACCATGACCATTAAAATCTTTGTCAAATAATTCTAACATCTTTGTTATCTCAGTGTTAGTATATAATCAATTGTCTTTTTCATTCAAGTTGACATTTCCCTATTTCTTGGCATGACAAGTGATTTTCTTCCTTCTTTTTTTTTTTTTTTTTTTCCTGAGACAGGATCTTACTCTGTTGCCCAGGCTGGAATGAACATGGCTTACTGTAGCCTTGACCTCCTTTGTTCAAGTGATTCTTCGGCCTCAGCCTCCTGGGTAGCTGGGACTGTAGGTGTGCACCACCACCTGGTTAATTTTTTAAATTATTTTTTGTAGAGATGGGATCTCGCCGAATTGCCCAGGCTGGTCTTGAACTCCTGGACTCAAGTGATTCTTCTGCCTTGGCCTCCCAAAGTGGTGGGATTACAGGCATGAGCTGCCCTGCTTGACTGGACAGATTATTTTCAATTGGAACCTGGATACTTTGGATAGTGTGGTATGAGACTCTAAATCTTATTTAAGCCTTCTGTTTTCACTGGCTCATTGCTGTCATGTGGAGGCAGAAACCCAGGCTCCCCACTTGGTCTCTATTGACACCCGGGTTGGGGAGTGCTCCCTGTTATTGCTGTGTGGAAGTGGGAGTCCTGTCTCCCCACGTCTCCACTGATACCCTGGGGGTGAACTGGTTATTCTCTCTGGGTGCTGGTGAAAGTCCTGGCTTTCCACTAGGCCTCCTCTGATGCTGCTCAGTGTGGAGCAGAAGGAGGGCCTTGTCACCGACAGGCAGAAGTGGAAGTGCCGGCCTCTGATGTGTTCTCCGTCAACACGGCTGCCCAACAGTGATAATAGTGTCTGCTCCCTCCTCCATCTCCCTTCCCACAACCCTTGAGAGTGTGAACAAGTCTGGGTGCTTCATCACGGCACTGCAAGGGCAGAAATCAAGGTTTTCCACTCAACTTCTGCTGGTCTGGGTAAGGTGGAGCCATGGTTTTTCTAGGGTGTTTGGCTGGAGTAGGGTGGGTCTTGTCTAAAGAGGCTCAGTCCTCCTGTGCTGTCCGTGTCCCTGGTCACTTGGCTAGAGACAGCAGGGTTCTGCTGGGGACTTTTCCTTGGCTGATTGGTGTTGATGGCTTCTTTGCATCCAAATCTGGGATATATAAGATTTAAAAAATTAGCATACCTCAGAGAACTCACTGTGGTATTGCTTCTCAATGCTTAGAGTTCTCCCAAGCTCCCAATTGGTCTGCCTTGCTCTTTCTACCTTTCAGTGTCTTTTTATGTTTTCAAAAACATATTGTGCAGGAATTTCAGTTGTACTTAGTAGGAAACTGTTTTTAGTTGTATCTAAAGTTGTAGGAAAAGTACTTCTGCTCCATCTTCCCAGAAGTCAAAGTCATCGATACCACATAATCTCTTGCCACAGAATCTAAAATGCCTAAACTTGACAGTGGTTATCAGGAGTGGCTCTCAAAATTAAATTATTGGAATGAGATTTTACAGCTGGATAAGCACTCATCCAAAGGTACTAGAAACCACAGCGAGTTACTGTTAATAAGCAGGGTGGTGATAACACCTGGTGTATATCATATGTACCCCATAATTAGGTAGAATATTATGTATCAGTAAAAATAAAAAATTTTTAAAAAGAAATAAAAATATTAATTGAGTAAATAAATGAATAACTTGATGACCACACACTCACTCACACACACACACACACACACACACACCCCGTTTCTGAGGCTTTTGTACTGAGATAGTTAGAAGTTGAAGCTTTGGGATGTGAATAGTGATGGTGTTCAATTTATACGTGTGCAATGATGGATACAAAAATATGGTATTGGCTGATATTTATCATGGCCTTTGAAGCCTTGCAAAAAGAAAATAACAGCCACATGGAATCTGAGTGCCTGTCACAATGAAGCTATGCCTCCTCAGTATTTATCTCCTAAGCAGGAAGGGTGAGAGGTAATAACCTATCTGCCACATAAATGACAGGATCTGGCTACCATGCACCAGTAGGAAGTTGCTGTGGCAGCATCCCAAAAGATGTTTCGGAAGATCCCTGAAGCTTGGATTTGACAGTGGTGTACAGTGAATGAGGCGGTGTTAGGCCTTCCTTGGGATAGGGTTGAGGAAGGGCTCAGAAGGCTCATGAATTTAGACATGTTACCAAAGCTGTGCTATGTGAGGCCTGAGGGTGCATCATCTGATCATGTTTCCTCAAAGGGACAGGAAAATCGTCCTCCGCTAAGACAAGAAGGCAGGCAGTGGTGAGAGGCCGTTGGTGTGTTTGAGAAGACGGGTGCGGGAGGAACTCCGAAGGCCACGTTTATGGTGAGGGATGGTATCACGTTCTCCAATATCCACGAGGATTGTGAGGTTCTGGAGTGACATGGCAGAACCTAGATCTTAAATGTCAGATAAAAGTGGACATAATCTCCATGGTGCGCAGAGGGTGAAGTTGTCTTCAGTATGGTTTGACCCAATGGCTAACAGACTGCCATGAATCTAGGGACAAATATGTAGGCAGAGGCTCAGGGTATTGCTGGATGTATGTGGCGGTGACGTCAGGCTGGCGGCTTTGATGCGGGTAGGCACGTGGGCGGTGGGAGCCCTTTGCAGTGCGAGCTCCCGGGGAAGTCTGTTTTATGCAAACCACATGACCAGCAGTAAAACAGATTCTTGCAGGCAGCGGATCCCAGCTGCACCCTTCTCTTTGTGATTTACATGAGACAGGACAGTAGGGTCTGGGACTCTGGGCTTCCCATGACCTGGCCCCAAACAGGGGCTCTCAGAAGTTTCAGAAGAAGAAATTGCTGCAGTGGTTTTCTCTCTTCCCCGCTTCCCTCCCTTCCTTTCTTCTCTTTCTTCCTTTTCTCTTTCCTCCCTCCCTCCCTCCTATCCTTCCATTCCTCCCTTTCAAGTACCTCTTCGCAAACTCCAGGACTTAACAAAGAGAATGTTCTTTTCTCTCTCTTTTTGGATCTTTGGGGTTAATTCAGCTCATTCTGTCTGCTGGTCCAAGTTAATGCTGTGTTTTAAGGCTCCTCACCTTTTCTTGATGAAAGAAATAGACGTCAGTTTCAGCAGAACAACCCGATTCATCCTTGGATGTTAATAAGCCTCCATGGGTGGAATCCTGATGCCAACCAGGGCTGGAGTGCCTGGGGGGCTGGGTCTCCTCTTCCCAGCACTGTGACGAGAGCCCAGCATCATGACCCCAGGCCTTCCAGCCAGGCCAGTGCTACCCCCAGATGATGGGGGCCTTTGGGCTCCATGCACCTGCTTCATGCCCACAATACTTCCTGAGGAGGAGGAAGAGAGAGAGAGCGTGAGAGCGAGGGTGAAAGCAGGAGAGAGAGAGAGAAGAGGATGGTGTGCATGTGGCTTCCAGCTTCCACAAGAACCTCATGAGGGAGGCATAGGAACATTATCTGAGGATTCTGCCAGGTGACGGGGCTTCCCTGGCAGGAAAGAGGGGGCGCAGGCTGCCTGGTCAGGTGCCACCGGGGCTGCTCAGTGGTCCAGCCTGCTGAGCACCAAGTCGCCTTCACCAAGCGCTTCCTGCCTGCAGAATAAGCCCAGCTGAGCAGTGCAGAGGAGCCTGAGGGAGAGGGCCCTTGCTAGAACTGCCCTGGATACATCACGCAGGTGCCTCCACTGGGACAGGCAGGCAGCCCTCAGCCAGGATGGCCGGCCTTGGGGGTGAGGGCAGCTGTCTGTTCATGGCTGTCCTGTGGGAGAGAGCAGATGCAGCCTTGTGAACAAATGAGCCTGTCACAGTTGGCATCCTTGTGAAATCAAAGTCAGCTGTACTCACTGAGTGAGCTACTTTCTTCTGTGAGTAGTTTATTACAGTTTCCTATACTGTATTATTATACTATATACAGGATAAAATATGTGTAACACTATACATTATGCTGTACTATGTTACTTATGGCAGCAGTTTCTACGGCTTTCTACTACATGGAAGGCTGTAAGCCGGGCCAACAGCGATCCTGACCCTGCAGGTTTCACAGTCACACTCACAACTCATTGTGGAACTGGGTGTGGGGTGGCCTGAGATGTATGTTGCACCAGAGAACCATGGGCTTTGGAATCTGTGTGAGGGAGTCAGGGACGCCTGTCGGAGGAGGGGAGACGTGACTGGTTGGTCATGGAAGGCTACAGTTTCGCAGATGGTGTCGGTGGAGTTTGGGGCAGGGCATTCTGAGCCTGGGAAGGTTTGGGGTGAAGGCCCGGAGGCTGGCGCGTAGGAGGCTAAAGCAGCAGGGAGGTCTGGGGAGAGTCAGGTGGGGTTGTGTCTTCCACGTTGCAGGCCGTGCTCACAGATGGTGAAAGACGTTGTGGAAAAGAGAGCTCACGAACGAAAAAGGTTGAGTCAAGTCGCTCGGCTGTGCTGTGAGTGTGGGAGGTGCCCGGCTGTGCTGTGGGTGTGAGAGGTGCCCGGCTGTGATGTGAGTGTGGGAGGTGCCCGGCTGTGCTGTGGGTGTGGGAGGTGCCCGGCTGTGCTGTGAGTGTGGGAGGTGCCCGGCTGTGCTGTGGGTGTGGGAGGTGCCCGGCTGTGATGTGAGTGTGGGAGGTGCCCGGCTGTGCTGTGGGTGTGGGAGGTGCCCGGCTGTGCTGTGGGTGTGGGAGGTGCCCGGCTGTGCTGTGGGTGTGGGAGGTGCCCGGCTGTGATGTGGGTGTGGGAGGTGCCCGGCTGTGCTGTGGGTGTGGGAGGTGCCCGGCTGTGCTGTGGGTGTGGGAGGTGCCCGGCTGTGATGTGGGTGTGGGAGGTGCCCGGCTGTGCTGTGGGTGTGGGAGGTGCCCGGCTGTGATGTGAGTGTGGGAGGTGCCCGGCTGTGCTGTGAGTGTGGGAGGTGCCCGGCTGTGCTGTGAGTGTGGGAGGTGCTCGGCTGTGCTGTGGGTGTGGGAGGTGCCCGGCTGTGCTGTGGGTGTGGGAGGTGCCCGGCTGTGCTGTGAGTGTGAGCCCGAGAGCCGCGGAGAACACGTGGAGCTCTTGCAGTGGCGAACACGTTTCTTCCTAAAGGAGACACACAGCAATTTTGCTTTCCATGTCCATTCTTGGGATTGTCTTTCGTGAATGAGTTAACGGACGCAGAGAAAGCACTGAGTCTTCCCAGAGGGCCAGTGAGGGGCCAGCTACGCAAGGCTTCCCATCCCTGGGGCGCAGCACTCCTGATACCAGGCAGAGGTGTGTCCAGCCCGGAGCTTGAGCAGCAGCAGCGCCTCCTGACCGACTCCATGGGGTTGGCCTCAGGGCCTCCCAGGACCCGCCCAGCCCGGAGACCAGCCCGCAGGCCACATTCCTTTCTTCCTGCAGCGGGGTGTGTGTGCATGTGCACGCGTGTGCAATGTGTGTGTGTGCACATGCATGTGCGTGTCTTCACAAATTCATCCTGGACCACTTCTCTCCACCTCTGCTGCCCATCTCCAGGCTGTGGGGGAGGATCCCTTCCCCTGCCCACCCTCTCACATCCACTCAGAACTGGTATTTGAGGGAGAGCCTTGGAATCCACAAATCCAATGCTTTAAAAGTCAACCTCAGAAAGGGAGGGGGCGATTCCCTTCCTCCTGGGTGTGGCAGCTGAAAACCCCTGGAAACAGATGTGCTCAGAGTCCTGAAGAAGACAGGGCGTGGCCAGGAGCCTCAGGCAGGGTCCTGGGTCAGTGTTCCATGCTGGAGGTGCTGGGGGAGGTGCTGGCTTCATGATGGCCTCATCTTCAACTCAGTGACAGGGAGGGTCACACACATGCTCCTAGCCTGCTTCCTCTCCCTTCCCTAGGACAACTCACCTCCCATGACCTGGGTGTGGGCACGAAGATCTCCCTTGGGCCTCAGACAGTGGACGCTGCCGTGTGTGTGTGTGTGTGTGCGTGTGCAGCTATCTCACCCAAGTGTGTGTGCATGTGTGTGTGTGCAGCTATCTCACCCAGGGCCAACTTCCTCCCACAAATATAGGTTATTTGTAACTCTCTCTCTTTTTTTTTTTTTTTTTTTTTGAGACTGAGTCTCATTCCCTGGCTGTAATGCAGAGGTGCTATCTCTGCTCACTGCCTCCCAGGTTCAAGTGATTCTCCTGCCTCAGCCTACTGAGGAGCTGGGATTACAGGCACCCGCCATCACGCCCGGCTAATTTTTGTATTTTTAGTAGAGACTGGGTTTCACCATGTTGGCCAGGCTTGTCTTGAACTCCTGACCCTCAGGTGATCTGCCCGCCTCGGCTTTCCAAAGTGCTGGGATTACAGGTGTGAGCTACCTGGCCCAGCCAGTTATTTGTAACTCTCTAAAACATGGTAAGCCTTGGTCAGATCTATTGCAGAGTCATTACTGACACCTCTCATCTGCCCTATACTGTTTGGCATTGAGGGCAGGAACACCACAGACCTGTGCCTGTCCTCAGGGAAGTTTTATTGTAATAGAGGAGAAAGATGAAAAGAAAATTATGATGAGAAAATGTGGCGCCTGCCTTGAAGAAAGCAGCAGGGCGCTGTAAGAGAGGATCCCAGCCCACCCCATGTGTCACCAAGCACCACTGTGATGTGGGCAGGTGCAGGAACAGGGCCCCTCTGAGCATGGATTCTGGCTGTGTGTTTCCAGGGCCTCTCTGGCTGCCTTGTGGGGGATACCCTGCAGGCTCCAGGCTGGAAGCAGGGAGCCCACTGAGGTGAGGCTGAGATTCACAGAGCTTGGCCAGGAAATTGTGAGGGGAGGGTGTGCACTTTCTCATCTCCACACGCTTCTCACCTCCTGTCTTGGACCCCAGGCTTTGAGTGGAGGATGGGGACTCCCTTGTGGTCCTCCATTGTGAGATGGAAGGACTGGAAGCAGGAGCTGAGCTCAGGGCCTTGAATTCACAGAGGTGGACGGTGCAGGGTGGAGAAGGGGCCTGACTTCATGGCAGAATGCCTGGGACATTGGCTAATGGGTTAGCCTCTCTTCATTCCAGATTTCTCTGCAGTGAAGAAAAAAAAAGGCAGGATCCTAACATCTGTTTTCTTCAACAGGTTTTTTTGTAGAGCAAATGATATAAATGCAAAGTGCTTCAGACATTTTAAGAGCAGTACAAATCTAAATGTAAATGTAAATCCAAGTTTTTCTTATTTTAGTCCTAGCTCTATCTTCCAGCTTTGATAAGATTGGAAACTTTCCTCTTAGATATTTCTGAAGCAAAGGAAACATTTCCCCCTTAAAATCTGATTTTTTTTTAATTTGGGAGAATAATTTTAGATGTACAGAAAAGTTGCAAAGACAGTGCGGAGATGCCCGCATGCCCTTTGCCTGATTTCCCCTGATGCGACTATTTTGTGAACCTTAGTACATTTGTCAAAACCAAGGGATTCATGTTGGTACATTACTATACACTAACCTCTAGACTTTATTTGGGTCTCATCAGTTTTCCCCCTGGTGTCTCTTTCTGGTTTACAGGTTTAATCTAGGACGGCATTGCCTGTACAACCTGCAGGTGGGGCTGGGAGAGGTGGGGCTGCAGAGCGCTGTAGGGCCAGGCAGAAGCTGATGCCTAGCTCCTGGTTTCAGACTGCACTGGGAGGAAACTTAAGGGAAAAAAAACCTCAAGTTTTAATTTCAGTAAGATATATTTAGGTTAAATAATTTTAAAATGAATCTAAATAAGGGCTGACCAAGGCTTTGGGGAGATGATCAAGGCAGCTTGTGAAGAAGTGTCTCCCTTGGAGAACATCCATAGGAGACAGAAAGGAGTTTCCTTAGAGGCTGGAGGACAGATGGCAACCTGCTGCCCACATCTGGACTGTGGCTTCCGAAAGCCGTGGGAGCAGGTGAAGAGGATACACAGAGTAATTTGGTGGATTGCAAAGCTTCCTTCAAGTGGTTTTATGGAAGGGAGGCTGCATGCGGCCTGTTTTTCATGGTTTAGATGTCTGTCTCCTCCAAGTCTCATGTTGAAATGTGATTCCCAATGTTGGAGGTGGGGCGTGGTGGGGGTGATTGGATCACGGGGGTGGATCCCTCATGAATGGCTTAGTGCCATCCCCTTGGTGATGTGAGTTCTCGCCCCAGTTCTGGTTGTTTAAGAGAGCGTAGCGCTGCCCTCTACTCTCTCTGTCTCCCTCTCTTGCAGTGTGATGCACCTGCTCCTGCTCTGCCTTCTGCCATGAGTGGAAGCTTCCTGAGGCCTCACCAGAAGCAGATGCTGCTCTCTTTTCTATACAGCCTGCACAACCATGAGCCAATTAAACCTCTTTTCTTTATAAATTATCCAAGCTCAAGTATACCTTTGTAGTAATGCAAATGGACTAATGCACTGTTCAAAAGAAATCCGGTTGAAACTGGGTTTTGCATAACTAGATCTCTGACCTCTTGTTCTTTTGGGATTGGGGAGGGCCAGCCTGCTCACTTGGGGACCTCCTCCTGACAGACTAGGTCTCAACACAGTGGAGATTTCCAGCCCAAACCTGTATTAATCCTCTCCCTCCTGTTGAATGTTTCTTTCATGGGAGCTGAGCTGCAGGATTAGAGCTCATGATAAGCCATTCCAAAGTGTTTTATGGAAACCATGAGCTCTCTGGCAGATTCCCTGCAGGCTTAGGAATGAAGGATCCTCCTCACAGTTGTTGTGTGTCTATACCTCAGATGCCTGTCACAAAACCCAAGAGGGTCCCAGTGAATGGAAGAAAGGCTTCCCGAGGTGATTTCCTTACTATAAGACAGACCCTGCACCAGGCTGGATTCTTTCTTTTTTTTGCCATGCCACAATGTCGGGAGAGGAGCTGAAGGTCATACCCTCACACAGGTAGGAGGGTCTAAGTCAAGCCTATTTTGGAAGGCAATGTGCTCACAGAAACATCATCCAACTTTGAGGTCAAGGCGAGAGGCTGGAAGAAGGTGCCAAGAATGACAGATTCTGCTCCGGTGTCAAGGACAGAAGCTGCATATTCCACTGTGAAGGCCACAGCTTTTTCATAAGAAAAGTGCAATTTACTGATGATCAAATAGTTCATTTAAGAGATTCCAGTGAGGAGTGGAAGATGAATTGAAGGAGATATTAGAGATGACATTCATGAATTGAACAGAGGAGTTACCCAGATGATCCCTGAGATATCTTATAAACCCCAGATTCTATGACTGTATGACTTTTATCTGAAATGACACGAGCTGAAGTAGGCGATTCACACTTTAGATGTTTCAGGTTCAACTCTGCTTCAGACAATACTGGGAATGAATAAAAAGAATCTGTATTATTAAACAACTCCAGGTGTCACCCAGTTCATCCCTTGGTTCCAAGGAAACAACAGACATATAACTAATTGACCCATCTTGTTAGGAACAATTCATTGTCCTCATGGTCCTATCCAGTGGTGCTCATTCTCTGCTCTGCAGTGGAATCACTTATGAGCTTTTTAAAAATACAGACACTTTTTCCCACCCCTAGAGCTACTGGGTCAGAATCTCTGAGGTTGGGTTCAAGGATGTAATTTTGTAAAATTCCTACAGGAGATCCCAGTGCACCAAGACTGGGAACCACCTCTGTCATCTGGATCCTCCTGCTACAGAGCCATGCTGTGAGGCCCCAGGGCCGCTGCCGTGATTTTCTGCAGATGGTCCTGTGTCTGCCTTCTGCAGCGGCTCCCCTCAAATGCCATAGAGCTAGAAAGTAAAGGCCAATGGCCTGGTACCCAAAAGTGATTTAGTGGAACAAGAGGTAGTTAGTCGGGCTAAATATGTGTCAGAGACAAAGGGGGCACAGCACAGCAGAGTGAGGTAAGGACAGGGAGAGTCCAGGGTCTGGGTCCGCCTTGGACCTCTGCCTTGTTTGATTGGACATATATCTGGAGAAAATGCAGGCACCAACTCAAAGCAGGCTTGCATGGAACTGCACTCTGCAAACCTGGCTCATTTGATGCTATGTTATTTTTTAAATAGGTGGAAAAGTGTGGCCCCTGTTTCAAGAAGGAAACTCCTTCCTGAGTTCAGAGACCATGGCCCAGGAGGGCCTGTGTTCTGTCTGTGGAGTTCGGAGGTGGCTGGAGGCAAATGTTTTATTTTTTGCTTAAAACCTCATGGAGCAGCATGCCAGTTTTTACTCATGAAAATGGAAATAAAAACGGAGAGAGATGTAAGGGTTAATTAAAGAAGCTGAGAAAACTGCCTGATACACTAATTCTGTTGAGTTACCGGCCACAATTAAAGGTTTCATTGAAAAGACCAGAGAAAAACTGCTTACGAAGCTTGCCCGGGTGTCAGATTATTAAAATATCAATTCTAGGTATGTTCTTAGGGGCTTCTGACTTTAAGAAGGGATCGTGTGTGAATTATGCACTTTACTGTAACAGGGACACCACATTCTGATTTTAAGAGTTCATCAGATGAGAAATTGTCTTACTCAACCTAGGATTTTGTATTTCTTTCCAGTTTGTGGTGTCTCACTTTCCTCCAAATCTTTCTACAGAAGAAATGTTACTCAGTGTGTTATTAATAGTCATTGTGGAAAGGCTGTGCTTCACACGGTTATGTTCTATTTCTGCACCCTGAAACTGTTCCTTTTCACCTGCTGGCCTCCATGCAGGCTGCAGGCTTGTCACCTGTGAGGACATTCAAAGCCCTGGGTGCATCTTCCCCATCCCCAGCACAGTGGGGGATGGCAGGCTCCAGCATCCTGGTGTAGAGGTGCAGGGGTTATCAGTGCCCAACCCCACGGTCAGGGCCACACTGTGATGCCCTCCTTCAACACCACAATGAGGCCACATCCCAGGGGCTGAGCCTGCACAACGCTCACAGCTGTGGGCATGTGCAAGGGGGCTGGGACCTTGCAGAGGCTGGCAGAAAGCAAGGAGGACCGGGGCCCACTCAGGAGACAGGGCATTGACTGAGAATAGAGTTCCGAGGAGGCAGCTTTAGATCCTGGGGATCAAGGTGTCTGGAAAGAGAGATCTGGGAACAGAAGTTTTGATAAAATCTCCCAAGACAGGTCTCCATTCCAGAGAGTAAAAGCTGCAGCCCTGGGCAGCTTCTTCTGGCCTCCCACCTTCAGGTCAGAGGCCAGGGCAGGCTTTGCAGCAGGGAGGTGGGCGCAGGGTGGTCCTTGGCAGGCAGCTGGATCTAGGTCCAGGGCAGCTTTTGAGCTGTCCCTGCAGGGCCTGAGAGGTGGGGAGGAGAGCAAGGGCCAGGCCAGCAGCCCAGGACAAGGAATTGGGGCCAGGCCTTGCCTTAGTAAATCTGTGCTGCTATAACAAAGTACTACAGACTGGGAGGCCTAAACAGCAGACACTTGTTCCTCACAGTTCCAGAAGCTGGGGAGTCTAAGGTGATGCTGCCGGCAGAGTTGGTGTCTGGAGAGGGCCTCTCTCTGGTGCATAGACGGCCCTCTTCTCCCTGTAACCTCAAATAAGGGAGGGCAATGAGAGAGCTCTGAGGTCTTCTTTAAAAAGCACAAACCTATTCATGGGGGCTCCATCCTCATGACTCCATCACCTCCCAAAGGCTACACCTTTTTAATACTACCTCATCGCAGGGAGGATTTCAGCAAATGAATTTTGGGGCGACACACATTCAGGCCATAGCAGGATTCATTGCACAGTTTGGGAAACCAAAGTCTGGAGAGACTGGGGTTTTCTCTGGCTTTGGAGGGGCCTGGAGTCCAGTCAGGTGCCTGAACCTCTCCACGACTCTGCTCCTACACAGCCTGCAGCCCTTGCAGGGCAAGCACCACACCGTTCCTCTTGTCTAGCTGGAGACCACCCATGTTCTAAGTGGGTGAATAAGTCCTGGGAACCTTTTATGTCCCTCTTCCCTAGGGGCAGAGGCCAGAAAGGCCGAATGAGTCAGCACGGGGCTCTGCTGCCCACTTCACACTGTCGTTGTTACCAGGGGCAGCTTGTAGGTGCGGTAGACATAGGGACACTGAGTTAGGAACCAGGATTCCTAGTCTGAAGGGCAGCTTGTAGGTGCGGTAGACATAGGAACACTGAGCTAGGAACCAGGATTCCTAGTCTGAGGGCCAGCTCTGCCACTTACAAAATTCTTCGGGCCTCAGTGTGCTCATCTGTAAAATGGGTATCCTAACTATGCCACTGCACTGCCCATTCATCCATTCCGTTCTTCATTCCCTGCATTGGTTAACTCCTCCTGTGTGTTAGACACCAAAGTTACAGCTTTGAGTGGGAGAGTAAGAGACTCTTGTCTTATGCCACACACATTCTGCTCACACTGCCACACACCCTCACACATGCACTCACTCCTCACATGAAGGTCACCCACACGCCGTCCACCGAGGGCAGGTCGCCCACACGCCGTCCACCGAGGGCAGGTCGCCCACTCGCCGTCCACAGAGGGCAGGTCGCCCACACGCCGTCCACCGAGGGCAGGTCGCCCACACGCCGTCCACCGAGGGCAGGTCGCCCACTCGCCGTCCACCGAGGGCAGGTCGCCCACTCGCCGTCCACCGAGGGCAGGTCGCCCACTCGCCGTCCACCGAGGGCAGGGCCTGCTTCTGCAGATCACCCACACACCATCCACCAAGGGCTGTGGAGGTCGCCAGCTGAGGCTCTGTGCAGGGGACTTGTGTTTACCTCCATGAGGTTGTGGTTTGTTTTCTGGTCACAGACACATTCAGACACGTGCACACCCCACCAGACAGTGGTGGTTTGAAAGGGGGAAAGACTTTTCTTATTTATTGACTGATTTCTACCCCAATGGCATTGGATGAGAAAAGAGCCCTGGCTGGATGGGGAGGATGAGGGCAGCAGGGGCAGCAGGGGCTCTCACTGGAGCAGAGGGGTGGTCTCCCCATCCTTCAGGCCTTCTCATTGGCGGGCAGGGCTCAGCCCTTGGGGCCACACAGGGAAAGGGTTGGAGGAGGGAGCAGCTCTAGGCGCCAGGTCTGTGCTCCCGAAGGACAAGGATGCAGTGCTCTGAGAGCTGGCTGAGCTTCCCACAGCTGCCTGAGCTGCGCCAAGTGACACAGGCCAGGCGCTGAGGGTGGGAGCTGACTGGGGCTGGGCCAGGGCAGCTCAGCTTCCTATGCATAGGGGCGCTATGAGCAACAATGACAGCCGGGGCTAGGGAAGTCTGGGGATGTCAGAGGACAGAGGCTGCTCTGCCGGAAGTGTGGAAAGGGGCTGGGGCACCAGGAAGGTGGTGGCTGGTCATCCCGGGCTACAGAATGCAGTTGAGTGTCCTGAAGAGAGACGGCAGGAAGCCGGGGCTGGAGATGAGCCCCTGATACCAGGGTACCTGTGCGTGTTCGGGTCTCCCAGCCAGGAACCACAGGAGCAGCGGCCAGGTACTGCCTGTATCCTGTTCGGTGGTGCTGGGGTGCACGGCCCTGGTCCGGGTTTGAGGGTCAGATGGTGAGCCCTCTTGCTCTGCACGGGCACTCACAGGAACTCCAGGAAACCTGGAATCAATGTTTCCTCCCCATCATCACAGCCACCTCCACCTTCACCGCCACCTCCTCCTCCCTAAGCCCAGAGACAGGCCACAAATGTAAGGGGGAAAAACAAACCTTATTGATGCCTTCTATGCAGCAGGCGTTATACAAACCAGTTACCTTCTTCAACCCTTACCAAAACCATCCTACCCATTTCACGGAGGAGAAAGCTGTGGTCTGGGGCCTTGCCCACGGTCACACAGCTAGTGAAGAGCCCCGCCGGAGTCCAGGCTCACATCCTCACCTTATCGGCGACCTCTCCTCTTTGCACTACCTTGTGACCGATGACCAATAATGCCAAGAAAGAGGACGGGGAGAGACGCCCAGTTCCAACCATCCTTCCAATCCTCTGTTCTCTATCCCCCCACCCAGGTGGACGTGCTTACATAGAAATCCCATCTTGCCCTGGAGAGGAGGACGATAATCTTAACACCTATACTTGAGGAGTATCCATTATGTGCCAGACACATTTGAGATGTTGGAATGCATTACCTCATCGTGGCATCACAGTGATTCTTTAACTAGGAGCCATTACCTTCCCTTCGCAGCAGAGGGACGCGAGCCTCACTGAGCTGGGTGTCTTACGTGGTATGAGGCATCTGCTAAGTGACTGAGGCAAGAATTTAACCCAGGACTGCTGCATTCTGAAGCCCGCTCTTGACCTCTGTGCTATGTTGTTCTTGCCTGTCATTGTATTCCCCGTCCCCTGACCAGCCAGAGGGCAGAGAAAAGATGACCATGGCTCAGTGTAGGGTCCTCATCTGCCCCTGAGACCTGGGGATCTTTGCTGCAGTGTTCAGTGACTGCCTGGGTTGAAGGCTGGCCTGGGAGGATGGGCAGTATTGAGGGCCATTGCTTCAGGGGTTGTTGGGCCAGCACTACTGCTCAGCTCTGCACACTCGGACAGCTGTCTGCAGAGCATTCAAGAGCCTCCATCCCTGGCAGTGAGGCTAAAACTGCATGTACCCATCTCCAGCAAATGCAGGTGGTGAGTAAGGACAGGAACGGATTGGAGCTCAGCATTCCAAACTAGCCTGCTAGGCTGCTTGGGGACCTCATTAGCTGTGTTTCCAGCACATGTTGAATTCTGTGAACAGCAGGTGCTCTACAGCTAGCCATGGGGAGACAACACGGCCACCTCCTCCTGTGGGGTAAGGAAAGCTTGTCTTTTATCTTGTGCAGATGGACCCACAGCTCCTCCTAATGCCAAATGAGAAGTGGGCGGGGATTGATCATCTGCCTTTGGCGCTCAGTTCTTGATAACAGGCAGCCACAGCCACACTTTGCAGGGCATCGCGGGTCTTACAGGTTATATTTCAGGCTGAGATAACAGGGAACTGAGGGAGGGGCAGCGCTGGCTTTCCCAAATCCCACTTGGGCCTGGTACTCTGGAGATAGCAGCCCAGGTGACTTGGGAAGGAAAGCAGCAATTGGGGGCTAAGCGTAGTGGCACAAGGCACTTTAATCCTTCAGTCCACTCCTCTTGTCTATGGACGCCGTGGCCTGGATGCTCGTGTCTCCCCAGATTCCTGTGTTGAAATGTTGACTTGGAATGTGATGATGCTGGGAGGTGTCACCTCTGGGAGGTGGTAAGGCTTAGATGGGATGGTGAGGGTGGGGCCCACACAAGGGGATTAGTGCCCTCGTAGGAAGAGGAGGAGACCAGGCTCCCTCTCTGCCATGTGAAGACACAGTCAGAAGGGAGCTGTCTGCAGGGCTGGAAGAAAGCCCACAGCAGACACGGACTCTGCTGGCTCGTTGATCTCGTGCTTCCTGCCCTTCAGAACTGTGAGAAAGAAATGTCTCAGGCATAAGCCACCCAGTCTGTGGTATTTTTTGATAGCATTCTGAGCTGACTGAAGCAGTCAGCAAGGATGTGAACCCTGAGAAAGGAGGGGTTTGCCCAAGGTCACACAGCAGCCTGGCGCAGGCTGGCAGGCACTGGGCTGAGTCTGGGGCTCCTGTCTTGTCCTTCCTCCCCTTCTTTCTCTTTATTTGACTTGTGCTTCTCAGTCGGCATATGCTGGGCTGGGCATTCAACACGTTTTCAGAAAGGAATATTCAATGGACGGAGTGACAAGGAGTTAAAATTAGATCCCATGACCTTGGAGGCCTAGGAACTCACTTTGCAAAGGTGCAGCCTTTGCAGTATCTCGGTACTGTGGACAGTGCCTAGGGGCGCTTGCTGGGCTCCCTCCTGCTTGGGGACTCTGAGGCTGCTGTCCAGCAGGTCCCTCACTTCCACCCCAGCCCTTTCTCGCTGGCACCGCAGGGCTGCCAGGTGTCCCCAGGCCCTCTCCCTGCACTTTTGCTGTCCACATTGTCTCAGGCAGGGCAGGTGCCCTGGGTCCACGTGCGGGACCAGGAGTGAACAGGGTCAGGGAGAAGCACAGGCCCAGGATGGTAGGGACAGCGTTTCCCTGAGGCTTTCTGACACTCCTCTGCTGTTATTTTTTTCTTTTCACTCCTTTCCCCCCATGAATGCTGGGGGTAATAAAGCATTAGAAGCCCCAGAGAGGCTGTGCTTGCTTCTTAAGCAGGAAGGAAGAAGAGAGTGTGAGGGTGCTTCCCAGGGGTCTGAGAGAGAAGCCATTGGGGGTGGAGGTCTGCTGGAAGCACGTGGGAAGCTGGCCGTGTCCGAGCACCCAGGTCTGGGGGCGCACAGAACGGGGTGGCAGGCAGGTGCACCAGCCAGAGCCCGAGCTCCATGGCTCCCGAGAGGTTCGCACTCACTCCTGGCCCGACTTCCTGTGGCTGCGTGGAGGGGTGACCATCTGTCTGGGAAGAGTATGGGCCTCCCAGGAGCCCGCAGAAGCACGGTGTGGGCAAGGCTGACCCAAGGCCTTGGGCTGGCCGTCCTGCTCCACCCCGATGGCAGCCTTCTTTTCCATAAAACAGATATTATAATCTCCACCATTTCTTCAACTAGAAGAGCACTCCAGATATCACCGTGTATGCAAATATCACCGATTCGTCATGATCACTGCTATTCCCAATAGCACGAAGGAAGGAGGAATAGGGCGAGAAACTGACATGCTCTAATTTTACCAGGATAGACATAAACACTGCTCTGTTGTTTTTTCCCCTTGAGTTTTGTTTCTCTCTTGAAGGAAGAAAAAGAAAAATCTATTGTGCTTGGTGGAACGTTTCCAAAGATGCCATGGGATGGTCGGATTTGTTTCCATTTACAGGGGGTGAGGATACACTTCAGTGCTTGCTTGTAAAATAACTCACACATGAGATTTCCTCATAGATGTCTGAACATGACCTAAGTCATGCCTTCTGTGGCACCATGTGGCCTTGGCCCCACCTGCAGACTAAGGAGCTTGGAGTCTGGGGCCAGGGGAAGTCCTGAGCCACATGGACAGTGGTTGTCAGTGAGTCCTACCATCAGGGGGATCTGATGTGCTGCCTGGGGCTGGCCTGGGTAGGGGAGTGGATGCATGGCTTGGCTGTCCGCAATATGTCCTCATCTTCACCCTGGGACACCTTGAGATCCAGGGCTCAGGGTGGGCAGGGCAGGAGTGCAGCCCATGAGGGCAAGGGAGACAGTCACAGCAGCAGTCATAGCAGTCCCTGATGGTCCGGAGTTTGTGTGACCTGTAGATGCTGGCATTCCATGCTCAAAGCCCATTGTAGTGAGCCTCACATCCCCGTGAGAATGTGCCCTGAGACACAGGCTTATTGGCCAAGACCCTCTCAACACCAGCCCTTTCTGTGGGCCCCTACCCCCCATAATGCTGGTTGTGGGAGAAGGGGATGTGTCAACTTTGACCTGGTGAAGAGCAGGTCAGGACTGGGTCTATAGAAGTGCTCCAAGTCCCACGTAATTTAGACTCTTACATATCTAACACGTGGTTTAGATTATAGGATGAGTAGGTGTATCCTGCTCTTCCATTTTTTAAATTGGAAATTGCTTCTCTACCCTGATCCTCCTGGGAGGGGAAGACCACAGGAGACAGGAGAGGAGAAGAGGAATTTTGAGCCCAACATTGGTGACTAAGATGCTAACTGTGGGTAGGGTGAGGGGTGGTTCTAGAGTAAATTGCAGGACCCAGTTCTAGAGTTTTGGAGCTATTTGTCTCTGCAGGTGAAAGCCACCCGAGGTAACTGCACCTGCCCTTCCATCTCTCTGGTTTGTCCAGCCATGCAGTCACCTACCCACCTTATGCAACAGGGCCCACCTCCTTTCTGGGACTCCCCCTTTTTCCTGTACCTCACTTGTCCCCATCTACCAGCAGCTGAGTCCACAGTGGGTAGTTGTCCAGGAAGTAGGACTTCAGATGCTGAAATGGGAAGTTGCTCTGACAGAGTGAAGAAGCAGAGGCGGAGAAATCTACTGCATCCCTCATGTACATCACCCCTGTGTGTGCACAGGGAGGGGGGAGGAGGAGGGGCAGCGGAGTTGCTGAGATTCATCAGGCTGGGGCTTCTGATGAAGGTGGAAGGAGCCCTCAGGGCACATTCAAGGAGTGTCCTGTGAACACTCTCCAGGGGACAGTGCCCAGATGAGCAGCGTAGCAACCTGCATGACTGTGGACTCCTGGGACCGAGGTGCTGGACTCAGTGGTTGCAGGGCTTGGAGTGCAGGTATGAGCCTCCCAGCTTCCCCTCAGTGGTTAACTCAAGTATGCTTTTGGTTTGATATTTCTTCGCAGTGGGAAGTAGGGATTTAGTCCTGGGATGACTACAATCTGAAGGCCCGTGCAAATCTTACCTGTAGATTTTTTGTCTAAGAATGTTTATCCCTGGATGGCTTCACAAGAAGTGAAAAAGTAACCAACTGTCAAAAGAAAGCTACAGAGCGTTGACGCAGGAAAGCGGCCTGGGGAGTTTTCAGCTCTGGGAACTTTCCACACCATGCCCTCCCTGGACTGGCTTAGAGACTGCTCTGAGCTGTGCCTTCCACCACGGGATTCCACTGCCCATGCTACCCAGGCACTGTGCCTGGCCCAGCACCTCCCTCCAAGGTGCAGGGCAATTTTTCTCCTGTGAGGTGCTCAGGTCTGTCTGCCAGCACTCCTGCAGGAGCTCACAGCTGTTCCTAGGCTGATAACATGGTGTGAGATATATGCAAGGAGCTGACAGAATTGTGTTACCCTGGAGAGTTGAATAGATCCCCTTCACGAAGAGCTTGCTGGAGATGTACTCCTGGCAGTTCCTTCGCAGCCAGTTTTCCTAAAGAATATCCTGGCTTTGAGATATCAGCACACCACAGGAGGGGAATTGCAGGGGATGAAGGAGAGGCTGAGGGTGACCTCTGTTTGCCCAGGGCTCCCTGTAAACCAGCTTGGTGGAAAGCCCAGGCACCCGAAGTCTCTGTCTGGCGAAACCTGACCTACGCTCTTGATGGAGGGGAGGGAATGGATGTGTCCTCCTCAGTCTGAGATGAGGGTGGGTGGGCTCAATGGTTTTGGAAGGTCTTCTTTCCCAGGACTGTTGCCTCTCATCCCTCTGGGACTAAAAATTCCTTTAATGGAAAGAAACCTTCATTAAGAGCTAAAGTTCAAAGTGTGTCTTTTTAGATCCGAAATTCAGTGAATGGCCTTTGCAGTGACCTGAGCGGGGGAGTACTGAGCCCAGGAAGGAGGAGGGGCAGAGAAAGCTGGGCAGGACACGTGGGATGCACTCCTCTTGAGGCTGAGAACCAGCCTGAGACACATCCATTCGGAAGGGCTCTTTTCTCCTCCCCTGGACCAGCAGTCGGGGAGCCAGTGCATTGCTTAGGATGAGCATTAGTGCCTTGAGGGGCTCAGCGGGTCGGGGATTTCCCCCGGTCCTTCTAGGCCAGCACACATTCTGGTTCTGTGGGGATGGAGATGTGCTCTATCTGCCTGTCTACTGCAGCAGCCACGGCTGCCTGACGATGCAGAGCACTCCAGAAGTAGCGCCAGGGGACTGAGGAACTAGAGTTTAAACTGTATTTAATTTTAGTTATTTTGAATGTAAATAGCAACATGTAGGTAGCAGTTACCCCATTGGACAGGGCAGCTCTTGCCTCTTCCCTGAGAAGTGTGAAGATGGAGAATCGGAGCTCTCAACCAGAGTCCTCTGTCTTCGTCCATTTGCTTTGCTATAAAGGAATGCCTGAGGCAGGTAATTTATACCAAGAAGAGGCTTATTTGCCTCACAGTTCTGCAGGCTGTACAAGAAGCATGGCACCAGTATCTGCTTCTTGTGAGGCCCTCAGAGAGCTTCCAATCTTGGCAGAAGGTGAAGGGGAGCAGGCTTCACACAGCTAGAGAGGGAGGGAGAGAGAGTGGAGGGAGCTGCTGGGCTCTTTTCAACAGCCAGCTCTCAGGGGAAACTCTTGGGGGAACTAAGAGTGAGAACTAAGTTCTTACCGTGAGGACAGCACCTGGACGTTCATGAGGGATCCTTCCCCATGCCCCAAACATTTCCCCTTAGGACCCACCTACACATGAGGGGGCATATTGGCCCTTCCTACCTTGATAAATGTTCGTGACAGTTTGAACATCTGTGTTGCCAGCAGCCAGCTGAAGAAACAGAACATGATCAGGACCTGAAAGCTCTCCTCTCACTCACTATGACAGCATCTGCCCAAGGATAAACCCATCTTGGCTGCCAAAAGGAACAATCAGTTTTGCTGGTGTTTGAACTTAACATAAGTGGATCATACAATATGGACCCTCTTGGATCTGGCTTGCTTTGTTTAGCATTATTTTGTGAGGTTTATCTAAAGTGTTATGTGTAGTTGTCGTTTACTTGTCCTCATTGGTGTTTAGTAGCCAATTCTGTGATTATATTATACGTTATTTATTCATTTTTCTGTTGATGGGCATTTGGAAGTTCCTAGCTGGGGAGTACTACGGATGTTTCCATAAACCTTTTATTTCCTGTCTTTGTGGAATATAAATTGGCTGCATACCTGGAAGGGGAATTGCTCTCAGGACAATAAATATTTTTGAGAAGGGAGGCACTAGGAGGAAATGCATATTTTCTTGTCCTCTCATAACTGATTTCAGAAGCAGTTGCTCAAGAGAATATGTATACAGTATAAAGGTAGGTCTATAACACGGAGGCATAATATAGATGTAATATACTTGCCAGTAACAGCACAAAGAAGATGAGTGGGAGAAAAGTTATACTGGATTCAGAAAACAACTGCAGATAATAAACTAGTGCTTTTAACAATGTATCGTATGGTTTGTAACATTCGTGTATATAATATTTATAATAGCAATACCACAGAAAGGGAGAAAAATTGATAGAGTTATATACAATTAACATTTCTGCAGATTACTATAATAAAACTAATGCAGACATACCACTGATTCCAATAAAATGTTACTTTAAACTTTAGAGCAACTACTAAAATTTCTCAAAATATAGTAAAAAATTATTTAGAAAATATAAATTCTACATTAGAAAGTAGTTACTTAAAAGAAAGAAGAAAAGGATAAATATAGGTAACAGGGGTGAGATAGATAGTAAACAAAAAGTGAAATAGCAGATACAAATTCACTTTTATCAACAATAATGTTAAATTTTAATTGATGTTAAATAATCCAGTCAAAAGGAGAGACTGTAAGACAGAATTTAAAAAATGATCCAACTATACTTTTTCTACAGGAGACATTTTAGATGCAAAGGTACAAATAAATTGAAAGTAAAAGGACAAAAAAGATATATTATGCAAACAGCAAACACAAGTAAGCTGGGATGCCTACACTTATATCAGAAAAATAAACTTTAAATCAAAAATATTCTTTAGCGTTAAAGAGGAACATTTACAAATAATAAAAGGATTAATACATTCAGGACAATGTAACGGTTATATGTACCTGATAACAGAGCACTAAAATGTGTGAACATTTTGGTTCATGATAGATGCATAGATAAATAAACAATTCAATAGTGATAACTGAAGGCTTCAATAACCCGCTTTCAATAATGGTTAGTTATCATTAGATAGATGTCAACAAGGAAATAAAAAAAAACTTGAACAACACTGTGACTCCACTTAGACCTAACAGACATATAGAAACCACTCCACTCAACAATAAAAACATTTACATTCTTCTGCAGTGAACATGGAGCACTCTCCAGGACAGACACTATGCTAAACCATAAAAACCTCAATAAATTATAAAGAAAATGTATAATGTAAAGTATACTCTCCAACTAAAATTGAGTGAATCTAGACATCAATGGAAGAAAATAGTTGTGAATCTCACAAATATCAGCAAACTAAACAACGCATCCCCAAATAATGAATGGGCAAAAGAACAATTGCAAGGGAAATTAGAGGGCAATTTAAAATTTTGAGATAAAGGAAATGAACACAAAATATACCAAAACTTCTGGGATGTGAAAACTTAGAATGGAAGTTGCAGCTGCAAATGTCATTAAGAAATAAAAAGATCTCAAGTCAATAACCTTCTACATTAAAAATATTGGGAAAAAAGGAAACTAAACCCAAAGCATCCATAATGAAGAAAATAACAAAGGTCAGAGTAGAAATTGATGAACTAAAAAATAGGAAAATAACAGGAAAATAAGCAATGAAACTAAAAGCTGCATCTTTGAAAAGATCAGCAAAATTGATAAATATTTATCCAGATTGACCAAAGAAGAGAGAAGACTCAAATTGCTAGAATCAGAAATGAAAGAGGAAACTACTATTGACAGATATAAAAACAGTGCTATGAATAATTGTACACTAATTAGATAACTTAGGTGAAATGAACAAAGTCCTGGAAAGACACAGATACTGAAGCTGACAACAGAAGAAATAGACAGTCTAGAGAGACCTACAACAAGTGAAAAGATTGAAGTAGTCATTAAAAAATACCCACAAAGAAAAGTCCATTCCCAGATGACTTCACTGCTGAATTCTGCCAAGCATTTAAATAAGAAGTATTACCGATTTCTCAAAACCTCTTCCAGAAAAGGGGACAGACTACTTCCCAACTCATTTATGAGGGCAGTATTACCCTGATATAGAAACCACAAAAGATATCACAAAAAAAGAAAGCCACAGACCGATATCTCTAATAAACAGGAACATAAAAATACTCAAGAAAATAGTGGCAAATTGAATTCAGTAATACATTAAAAAATGTACGTCATAGCCAAGAGGAATTTATCTGAGGAATGCAAGGTTAATGTAAAACCCCCAAATCAACATAATACATTAAATCAGTGGAATAACAAAAACAAAAAATTAAATGATTATCTCAATAGATTTGCAAAAGTAATATTTAAAAATTCAACACCCATTCATCATAAAAATAGGAATGGGAGAAAACTTCCTTAATCTGATAAAAGGCGTACACAAATTAAAACAAAACAAAACCCCACAGCTAACATCATACTTAATAGAGTAAGACAGGATAGATAAATGTAATACACAGGGTTTCTTTTTGAGGTGATAAAATATATTCTTAACTTGATAGTGGTTATCACTGCACATCTTTCTGGGCATACTGAAAAAACACTTTAAATTGTACTCTTTAAATGGGTGAATCGTATGGCATATGAAAGCTGTTAAAGAAACAAATAACACTTTAATAATCCTGGCTTTCTGGGTACTATTTTATCTCTTCCTTTTTGTGTGTGTTTTCATGTTTCTGCCTGCCATCCACCTCTTACTTTTGGTGGCTTTTCCTTGCAGTTGGCATGTGTTTCTCATAAATATCACGTGGTTGGGTCTTGTCTTTTAAAAAACTAGTCTGACATTGTGTGTTAGCTGGAGAGATTATTCCAATTACCATGAATGTAATTACTAGTATGCTTGGATTTAATTCTACATTGTCACATTTTTTTCATTTGTCTCCATAATTTTTATTTCCTTTGTTCCTCCTTTTCTACCTTTTTTTGAACTAAGATTATGATTTCAATTTGGTTCTCTTATTTTAGTTATATTTTATATCATTTTTAGCGACTACCTTTACATATTCTAATGAAACTTAGTACCTTACTCTTTTATGAACAACTCAAGAATTTTCAACAGTTGTTTCTTATTACTGCATTTATCATTTCATCTCCTCTGTTTACAATTTTGTCATATTTGTTAATTGTTCTTATGTCATGGAGTTGCTTTAAACAGTCACTATTATTTGACATTTACTCACATGTTTACCTTTCACAGAACTTTTTATTTCTTCCTGCAGTCATATGCTGCTGTATTTTCTATAGTGAGGGTAGCTGGTGAGAAATTCTCCCTGCTTCTGTTTGTCTGAGAATATCTTAATTTTACATTCTTTTTTTAAGACTATAATTTTAGAGGGGCATTTCTATTTTCAGCTCTTTAACTCCATAATCCTCTTATCTTTCGGCTTCCATAGTTTCTTTGGAAACTGTCATTCTTTCTTCAGCTGTCATTCTTATGACTTCTGAAAGTAACAGTTCTTCTGCTGGTTGCCTTTGAGATTTCATCTTTTATTTATCTTCTACCCATTTGCCAATTATTTGTGTTGATATGGTTTCCTTCATGTTTCTCCTGCTTATGTTTTGCTGAGCTTTTTGACTGTGCAGGTAAATGTCTTCCAACAGTTTTGCAATGTGCCTGACCATTGATGCTGTGAGGGTCCTTGTGAGGGTCATGGAGGGTCCGTGTGGGGGTCATATATGGGTCACTAGAGGGTCGTGTGAGGGTCGTGTGAGGGTCATGTGAGATTCTGTGTGTGGGTCTCTAGAGGGTTTTGTGAGGTTTATGTGAGGGTCTCTGTGAGATTCTGCGTGTGGGTCACTAGCAGGTTGTGTAAGGGTCACTAGAGGGTCATGTGAAGGTCCCGTGAGATTCTGTGAGTTAGCACAGAGTTACATGAGAGTCATGTGAGGGTCATATGAGGGTCATGTGAGGGCTGTGTGAGGATCTTGTGAGGGTTATGTGAGGGCTGTGTGAGGGTTGTGTGAGGGTCATGTGAGGGTCACATGAGGGTCATGTGAAGATTGTGTGAGGGTATGAGGGTCTTGGAGAGTCATGTGAGATTGTGCATAAGGGTCTCTAGGGGGTTGTGTGACTGTCATATGAGGGTCCATGGAGGGCGGGTGTGAGGGTCTTTGTGAGCATCTGGGCCCCTGGGAAGACTCGGCCAGCCCTGCCCTAAGGAGGCCCACATTTCCAGCAGAGAAGAGGACAGTGAGCAATGACCATCATGCCCTGCAGTGAGTGCGTCTGCCGGGAGCAGAGCTCAGAGCAGGGCACTCTTGACTCGCGTGGGGAGGAAGCCAGGAAGGCGCGTGGAGGAGGGCACTCTTGACTCCCGAGCTACTCAACTGAGACAGGAGGGACAGCAGCCTCCACAGAGACGCAGCTGCAGTCCAGGCTGCGTCTGGGAAGAGCGAGGCTGTGGCTGCAGTGGGGCTGCTGAGTGGCTGGAGATGAAACTGGAACCCTGGATTGGGCTCAGATTGTGACAAGGCTAAGGCCTTGTGTGGGGTTTCCAGTTTTAGTTCTTAGGAGAGGAGCTCCTGGAGGCGGCCTCGGCTGGAGCCTGGGCAGTTGTAATGCAGCCCTCAGTAGCCATGAGCTTCTGCTGGGTCTCCAAGGGCTCAGCCTAAAGGGAAAAGATGGCAGCTGATGGTCAGGGGCCAGGGTTCCAGTGTTGCAAGGTCCCTGAGATGGTCGGCCATGTGCAGATGAGGGAGGAGTTGTCCCTCTGGCCACAGGCTGGAGGCCTCTGCCTGGGCAGCTCAGACAGGGCATAAAGACGGCCTCTGAATCCTCATTGCTCACAGGAGAAGGTGCCCAGGGTGGTGGCCCAGAAGGTGAGAGGCTTCTCTGCAAAGCTGATGAACATGATTTCAGGGTAAATTTCCTCCTGTGATTTGTATTTTATTCCAGAGCCATTAGGATAATATTGCTATTCATTCCATGTCAGTGATATCGCGGCCTGATTTGCATTGTTCTGTGTGTGTCTCTGCTCTCGAGCTGAGGGTCGTCTGTGTCTGTAAGAGGGGTTTTGACAGGAATGGGCACAAAGCCGGGGTCAGGCCGCCAACCTCCTGTTCCCTCCTCTCTGTTCATCAGAGCCCTCTCTCTAGGCAGGAGGGCCTTCCTGGGGGCTGCTGTGTCCTCCCTCATGTCAGGCACCTCCGGGACTGACACTTGCAGCTGCCTCTGTGTGAGGAAGGGGTGTTCATTTTTCTAAGGTGCCATCAGATGACAGATCCATCGGTGCAGAGTGCACAGTGGTGCTCGGAGTGGCAGAACAACCACAGCTTCTCAGGCAAGCAGAGGCCTCCAGAGCGGCCCTGGTTGAGGGCCTGGGAGCCCAGAGAGGCCTTGGAAGGCACGATGGCTGCATGGAGGATCTTGACCTGGGAGTCAGGTACAGACATAACTTGCTTCATATAAGTACCACATGCTAACCGATGGCCTCACTGGAGCTTATACATAACTTGGTTGAAATATCATGCTGCCACTGTGTGTGACCCTGGGCAAGAGACTGTGAAGTCTCTGATCCTCAGTTTCTTCGTCTGAAATTTGGAGTGGACAATGCAACAAGACTGTAGGGAGGATCCAATGACGCAGATGGAAGTGAATGAACTTGCAGATATAAAGCACAGATGAGCTCATTAAGAGGCAGTGTAGCGTCGCGGTTCTAAGCACAGCCTTTGAAGCCACACTGTTTGGATTCAATCCCAACTTTTCCACTAATTATTCGTGTGCTCTTTGATGAGTTATTTGTGCCTCCATCACCTGCCCTGGAAAATGGGATGAGTTGCCCAGGTCTCCCTCCAGGGAAGACTTACTGGGCCATGGGGAGTGAGGGCAGCATGCAACCTCTAGCCCCAGGGTTGGCCTGACTGCAGGAGTTCCCTTGACTGAGGCCACAGCTTTGCCTGTGAAGTCCAGGAAAGCCTGGAGGTTTGGAGGCCTGCCCATCTCGGCTGGTGTGGGACAACTTTGATGGGCAATGCCCACCCCAGAGCTCCCTGTTGGATTGTTCAAGCCTTGGCTGGGCCTGCCTTGTGGCCAGAGCTCCTCCTCTGCCCAGTCCCACTCCTGTCACAGGTGCTGATCCCTAATCAGCAGTTTGCACCCAAACTCAGTCCCAGTGTCTGCTTCTAGAGAGCTCAGCAGGTTCCCAGCAAATAAATATAAGGCAAAGCAAAAGGGTATTATGATCGTCAGATAAGTTCATAGATTCTAAGGATGCTGAACAGTGTCTGGGACGTGGTGCTATTATTAGTATTAATCATTGCTAATGATTTATCACTGTGTCCTGAACAGAGGGATTCTCATGTGCTCCCATCCTCTGCAGGCTTCCAGGCTTCAGGCAAACACAGAGGTGGGGTTCTGACTTCTCACTGGAGTCACTGGCCATGGGTCTTTGTGTGCAGCTCCTGTCACCAAGCACCCACCCACTCCATGCTGGGCTCTGTCACATCAGTCCCTTGGCCTCATCTGTAATCCTCACAGTCACTCCGTAAGGTAAGTATTATTATCCCCACTTTACACAGCCCACTTCCAACTTCCAGTAGGAGGCAGAGCTGGGACCCAAAGCCTTCATCACGGGCCTTGCAGCCTTCTCCTTACACACATGGGAGCTTGTCCCCAGGGAGGTGACCACAGGCCGGCACTCAAGATGCCCATCAGCTCAGCTGGCCTTGCTGCTCCACATGCTCCTCAGGCTCTGGGCTGTCTCCATGCTTACTCATAAACAGAAATGCGAGGTCAAAAACTCATCTTCGTTTGGGCACAGTAGCTCATGCCTGTAATCCCAGCACTTTGGGAGGCTGATGTGGCTAGATCACTTGAGGCCAGGAGTTCCAGACCAGCCTGGCCAACATGGTGAAACCTCGTCTCTACTAAAAATACAAAAATTAGCCAGGCGTGGTGGTGCATGCCTATGGTCCCAGCTACTTGGGTGGCTGAGGCATGAGAATCACTTGAACCCGGGAGGCAGAGGTTGCAGTGAGCTGAGGTCACACAACTGTACTCCAACTTGAATGACAGCATGAGACCCTATCTCAAAAAAGCAAAAACAAAAAAACAGACTATTTCTCTTCTCCTTACGGTTCCCAACTGCTCTCCTGAGGTGTGCTTGGATTGTTTGTAATGTATCACTACCTCTCAAATGCCCTTGCTTGTTTTTGGGAAGCAGATCCCTCCCTTTCTGGGGTGGGGTTGATGCAGAACTGAGTGGAGGAGTCAGGAGGAGGAGGGCTGTGGCTGACTTCACCTTGGTCTTGCACCTTCAGGCTCCAAGAAGCACATTGAAAATGTTAGGAGAGTGAGCCTGCGGGGGATGAGGGGTTTGAGTTCCTGGTCCTCCAGACAGTGAAGATCTTGATCATGCAGCCTCCAGGGAGCGAAAGCCCTGCCTTTCTCCAGGCTCTGTTTGGAAGGGAATAGTGGGCAGATGGGCCTTGCCTGGGAAAACTGACTTCTCTTGGTTCAGGTGAGCATAGCCATTCATCTACTTTTGGCCTTGATAGATGTGCCTTAACTGGACATGTAACATCAGTGGAATCAACACAGCATGGATTTCTGTGTCTGCTCCTTTCATCCAGCCTAATATTTTTGAGGTTAAACCATGTGTGACATGCATTGGTACTTTGATTCTTTTCATTAACAAATAATATTCCTGGGGCCAATTGCATGCGTTTTGTATTTTCTAAAGAAGCATTTAGTTTTAGTTTTACTTAATATCTTATGATTGCCTAATTGCCTAAGTGACCTTTCTAGTTTGTATACATTAGGTGCTATGAAGTTCTATGGGTTTTGACAAATGCCCAGTGTCATGTATCCACCATTTCAGTATCAGAATAGTTCACTGCTCCAGGGTCCCCAGTGCTTCAGGCATTCAGCTCTCCCTTCTCTGAACCCCAGCAGCCACTGCTGTTTGCTGACTTACCTCTGTAGTTTTGACTTTCCCAGAATGTCATATAGTTAGAATCATTCAGGATGTAGCCTTTTCAGACAGATTGCTTTCACTTAGCAATATGTCTTGATAGCTCATTCCTATTTATCCCTGAATACTGTTCTACTGTATGGATGGGCTCCGGATTTTTAATCCATGCACCCACTGAAGGACATTGTGGTTGCTTTCCATTTGGGGCAATTATGAAAATATATGCTATAAACATTCATGTGCAAGTTTTTGAGTGAATATAAGTTTTCAAATCAATAGACTAAATGCCTAAGAATGTGATTGCTGGATCTTATGGTAAGACTATGCGTAGTTATAAAAAACTGTCAACTGTCTTCCAAAGTGGTTGTAACATTTTGCATTCTCACCAGCAACAAATGACAGTTCTGTTGCTCCACATTCTTGCCAGAAATTGGTATTTTCAGCTTCTTGTTAGTTTGCCATTCTGTTTGTAGCGTTATTGCATTGTTGCTTAATTTGCAATTACCCAGTCACAAATGATGTTGAACATCCATATATATATACATGTATTTTTCCATATGTATGTATTCTTTGGTGAAGTGTTTATTTAGATATATTGCCCTTTTTAAAATTAGATTCTTTTCTTATAATTTAGTTTGAAAAGTTTTTTGTATATTTTGGATACAAGTCCTTTGTCAGACATGTGTTCTGCAAATGTCATCTCCCAGTTTGTGTTTTGTCTTTTCATTCTTTTAACAGTATCTTTCACAGACTGTAAGTTTTTAAGTTTAATAAAGTCCAACTTATGATTTTTTTCTTTCATAAATCATACTTTTGGTGTTATTTCTAAGCCCTCACTGCCAAATCCAAGTTTATGTAGATTTTCACGTGTATATTCTAAAAGTTTTATAATTTTGCATTTTATGTTATGCTCTACGACCCATTTTGAGTTAATTTTTGTGTAAAATGTAAGGTCTGTGACTAGGTTCCTTCTTTTAAGAATTTTAGAATACCTATTATGGTAAAACATGCATAACACGAAATTTAACATCTTAACCATCTCGAAGTGTATAGTTCAGTAGGTTCACGTATATCCAATTTTTTCAGCACCATTTGTTTAAAAGACTCTTCTTTTTTCACGAATTACCTTTACGCCTTTGTCAAAACTCACTTGACTTTATTTGTGTGGGTCTATTTCTGGGCTCTTTATTCTGTTCCATAGGTCTGTGTTTCCATACTTTCACCAGTATTATTTTGTTTTGATTATTACAACCATCTTGAATTTCTCTGCATCATTTTAATGAGCTTAGACTTTATTGTCTGGGTATAGGGACCTAATGGGATAAGCAATGTACTAATGGTAAGAGTTGAGTTTCGGTTAGATACACTTGAGAAAGTGTGGTAGGGCATATTGGATGAGAACAAGACTGGGTATGGAAAGACCACACACTCCAAGTGCCAGACAACTGAGGTGGTGGCATTGGGATTGGAGAGGAGCCAGAAGGCAGGTAGGGCAGGCTTTCTTTCTTCTGGAAGCCCCAGCAGGCAGGCATTTGTGTCCAGATAAGGTGGGCTGGCCGGACCCTCCAGTCTTTCTCTGGCAGAGCTTCAACCCCTTGTAAAATTTCACTTCATGACACATTTTGATGTCTATGGATGGACAGCCAACTCAACTGAGTAACCATCACCTGCTTCCAACTGCCCTCTTCCTTGTCACCTCACACTATAGAGATTGGGAAGCCAAAAATCAACTTTCCCAAACTTCTCTGTAGCCAGGGTGTCTGTACGACCCATTCTACCCAATGAAACAGAAAGAGCTATCTTCAGGGAAATGTTTGCTTCTTGACGAAAAGGGACATGTATAGTTGCAACTGCAGCCACCCTGGTCAGGCCTCAATACCCCTATTTTCATCTGCCTGTGGATATGGGCCAATGCAGTGGGGGGTGACCCTGGGAGAACGGCTTTCCTGCAGGGTCCTGGAAGGGACTGATAGCTAAAAGCTGTTGCCAAAATCACTCCCAACAGTTGAAACAACAATTTTTCATGGAGGAAGGATCAGGGTCGTGTATCACTGTGTCTACCATGTAAGACGTGTTTGTCGTCACCTTAAAAATCAAAACGGTAAATTAAAAGAGGTTAAGTGATTGTGCGAGGTCATATAATAATAGAAATAATAATAATAAATAATTACTGTATGCCAGGACCTTTTCTAAGCACATCATTTACTTCCTCCAGCCTTGGCATTTATTTTGTAACTGGGGCCACAGAAGCAAACTTAAGTCAAGAGGGAGAGGCGAAGAGAATCCCAAGAATCCAGCCTTTACAGCATAAATTTACGAAAGCAATGCCAGGAGGCAACCACCCTAGACGCGGAACCGTATGAGGAAAACAGTTCCGTATCTGCGTGGTCCCCAACTGGCCAGGTGCTCTGTTCTTTGCTGCTGAAGGCGTTCCTGACAGAGGTGCGTGCCTCGCTCATCACTGCCATCATCACTGCTGGTTGAAGATGGAGATACACTGTGGCCATCGCTCCCTGTGCCATCAGCCTTGGGACCAGTGAGGATCTTACAGAACAAATCAGAGAATCTTCCTCCTTCTATGTGATGCTAACTTGGAGGGGAGGGTTGTCAGGTGGGGATACGTGTGGACTGAAATGTCATAGACTTTAGGGACATACCCCCTCCTGTCCCCTCACAGTCATCTTTCTGCCTGTGCACACACCCTGTCAGGGTGTCAGGGTCATGCCACGTAACTAAATAACATCCTTCGCTGGAAGCCGTTGTTCCTCTCCAAACCTCAGGCTGTGTTCCTCAGTCTGGCCAAGTTCCTTCCTCTCTTATGGGACAGACATTCTCTCTGTAGCTTGGCTTCCATCACAGTAACCCTAGACATATATAGAGAGTTATGTCTGTGTTTGTCCAAGTTTCTTTTGTGATATGCATCAAGTATTAATTTACTAAGAATCAACTCATGTCCTTGTTCATCAGTGGATAAGCACAATTATCTGGGGGCATTTCTGACCTTTACTGTCCAGACATGTCTGAGGCTCAGCTCTGCCCCACCAGGAAATTCCACACGTGTTGATCTGCTTGTGTGTCTGTCGCCCATTGCAGTCTGTGGGCTCCTGGAGCTCAGGGCTCCCTCAGTTCAGTTATCAGATGCCTGACATATATTTTGGTTGAATGAAGCAAAGAAGGAAGAAACAGGGCCACTTCAGACCTGATGAGAGGCTTCTGCACTCTCCAGGAAAGACAAGAAGCTTGTGTGGTGAGAGCAGCAGCTTCCCGCAGGACGCGGAGAACGTAGAGGCTATCATTTCTGGGCCAAGACACTGATTTGTGGGGGATGAGGGGGCGAGTGGGCACTTATGAACAGTGTCTGAAATCCCCAGAAATGTAGACGTTTTCACAGAAGACAGGGGAGGTCATCAGAACGCTGACAGCTGCTGACAGGATCCTATTCAAAGAAGTATGAGGAGCTGCCAGACAGGTGCTGGGTTAGAGAAGCCAGGCCCACACCGCATGACCAACATGAAGGCCAACAGCCTGCAGCCCCTATTGCTGTGTCCTCCAGTGGGGGCATATATAGAACTCGGCCCAGACGTGCCCCCTGTGTCGGGACACTGGGGAGGCTGGAACCTTGGCTGCATTTGTGGAGAGCTCTGGAAAATGGGAGAGCCTTAGACCCATGGCCCACACAGGACTCTTCCGACCTCTAGGTGCTGAACCGAGAAAACCTGACCTCAGAAGTACTCTGCTTTGCTTTCTGTTTTGAGAAGAGTTTTAGCTCATTCTTTCTCTATCCCCAGTGCCTTCACATAGTCACAGTCCTGAAGATGCAGCTTAGCATGGAGGGTCATGGCTTCACTGTCAGGAAGCTTTGGGTTCAAACCCCGCAGCAGCCATATGAGGCAGTGGTTACAGCATGGCCTCTGAAGTTGTATGTGCTTGGGTTCAAGCCTAGGTCCACCCCTTTTTAGCTGTGATATCTTCAGCAAGTTACTTACGTTTACTCTGCCTCCGTTTATTTATTTGTTAAAACAGGAATTACAATAATACCTATCAAATAAGTTTGTTGTGAGACTTAAACAAAGATCCATGTGATGTGCTTAGAAAAGGTCCTGGCATACAGCACCTACTTATTATTATTATTACTATTATTATATGACCTTGAACAATCACTTAACCTCTCTCAGTTTATCTTTTTGATTTTTAAGGTGATGACAAACACACCTTACATGGTGGATGCAGTGATACATGACCCAGATTCTTCCTCAATGAAAAATTGTTGTTTCAACTGTTGGGAGTGATTTTGGCAACAGCTTTTAGCTATCAGTCCCTTCCAGGACCCTGCAGGAAAGCCGTTCTCCCAGGGTCAGCCCCCGCCTCCTTGGCCCATATCCACTGGCAGATGGACATGGGGGTATCGTGGCCTGACCAATTAGTTCAACTGGGAAAACTCTGGAGGACACGATCTCCCCAGGGGCCCTCTTGGTGCCAGTGGAGGCTCCTGTTGGGCCTGCATCACAGCTCAAATACCCCTCTGTCTGCTCTTCCTTCTCTCCCTTCCTACAACAGGGCTTGATCCCAAAGTCAATCTTCAATAATGTCAGCCTGAAAAAACCAAAAGGATCAAAATCCAATTTTAGTCAAGCATAAAGTTTGAAGACAGCCACTCAGAAACACACACTCCAAAATAATGGGGTCAGTGCCTCCCTAGTGAGGAAATTAAGGTTTTATTAATATAGGCAGAAACAAAGAGGTTTGGCAGGATCACACATTTCCATACATGGCCAGTACACAGTTGCAGGGATGTGATTGCTCACAGTTTGCTACATTCTAAGGAACAGTGCTCCAGCGCTTTCTGAGGAGGGGTGACAATCTGAGGGGGTCTGCTCTCTGGTGCCACAAGGCCTTTTCTTATCATTTACAGGAAGGAACAGAAGCTGTAGCTGCATGCTACATGACTCAGGTCTCACAATTCACATTCCCTTAGAGGCTCAAAATACTTTAAAGTTCCAACAGCTTTAATTTGAATTATTTATCTTCACAATAAGCATTCTGCTTTCCGAACTCCATCTCAGAGTAAGCTTCCAAGGGAATGCAATCTCTGCATCTAACTTTGCAGAATTGTTGCCAGAATTAGGAGAACTAAATATACATTACAATTGTTGGACAATATAGCCCCTCACTCCCCCTTTCTTACAATATCATAGGCTAAGTCTCTAACCCCAATGTACCCTATGCTTCCACCTGAAATATAGCTTCCACAACTAACCCGAATCAAAACATACTTTCTTACACCAGTCTAAGCCCACTATGTTGCATTTCAGGGTAGAGTTTGACATTCGGCCTCAGATGATAAAAGTTCAGCTGGTTTAATGAAATCTTCTTACTACCGTCCCAAACACAAGGTCACAGGTTAAAGGGAAGATCACATACGTCAAGGTAAGGCCTGGTCCATCCATCCGTGAGAGAGTTTCTGCTTCTTTATCCCAGTCTCCTTATCCCCCAGACTGAGTGGACAAGTTTATCCAGGATTCCAGTTGCTGCTCTCCCAGGAACCATGCATAATGACATTAGACAAGTGCTAATTTGCATAGAGACTGCCAAGACCCTTTGCAAAGCAAAGAAATGCACATTGTTAAACTGTTACTATAACACTGACTGCAACCATGAAAACAATTTCACAGCAGATTAAACACACTTAGTGAAAGAAGCCCAGTGCAAAAGCAATCTCAACACCAAATTAGAGTTTAGTCAGCAGCTAGCAGGGAGCTGAGGAGACAATGGCCAGATGCAGCATCCTGATGACCTTACCAGGTGATTTTCCCTAGGTGAGCGGGAGCAAACTCCAGTTTGGCAAGATTTCCTGCCGGAGATGAGCGATCCAATTACAGTGAGGGAAGGAAGGAGGAAAGCTAAGCCGCAGAAGGAGCTGGAAGATGAATAGAGGCATCAAATCTGTATGAACCGCAGGGAAACTTGTGTCAGACAAGCAGAGAAAGGCAGACATCAGGAAAGCAGAGAAGGATTGCTTTTATGATGAGTGATAACAAGTCTGAAAATAAAGGATTCCTATTTAGACATGAAAATCTCTGTTAAGATAGTAAGGAAAGAAAAAATAATCAGAATTTCCAATACAAAATAAATTTTCCAGTTTCATCTTGATCCCTCTCTTTCTCCAGCCAGGTTTGTTTTCGTCCATCTCCTGCCTCCAACATGAGAGCTCTGCCCTTCTAGATGACCAGACCTCTCCTGACTCCCCAGCCCTGAACCCTCAGGCCTGAGACTCGCTGTCCAGTGCTGAAAACGTCTGTCTCCCTAACACTGACAATCGAGCTCTTTTCATGTGTTGCCCGGGGAAATCTCAGGCAATGAATCTTATTCTTAATTTCACACTTGCTTTTCTTTATGGCAAGAAGCCAGGGACATCTGGGCACCTATAAATAATAAACATAAATGACATTGGAAGGAGGCAAGGCCATCAACATCATTTAAAATCTCCCCATTCTGGGCTGACAACTACTCACTGGGCCTGGACTAGACAAGTGAATCTTGAAAAAGAGACAAAGGCAGAGATTATGCTGGGACTTCATCACCATAGGCATCAAACAGATAAGTAGGTGTTTGCTTGAGTGATGGCCCCTCTGGCCAGGTGAGGCTCTCGATATTTCCAGATCACATGCCCTTGTATGTCTCAGGTTTTACTCACATCTGCCAGAATGCCTGGAGTTTTCAGGATTAAATAATCTCCAATTCAAAGGCAAATACTTTTGGGGAAAAATTATAATTCTGTTCAACTTAAACCTAAAAGCTTAGGGAAGACAGGGGTAAGACAAAACCGTGGCATCTAGCTAAAAGCAAGGTTCCTCTTGATTGAGGTATAATGCTGAAGTATTAAAAAGAAGCGACAGGATCATTTATAAAGGCACCTACCAGAAGCTGCAGAGAGGCACAGAGCAGTTTCTTCCCTGGTGTCTTCCCAGGGAGCGTGGTACTGCCAGCACCTGGATTTCAAACTTTTGATCTCCATAGCTATAAGACAATAAACTCCTGCTGTCTTAAGGCACACAGTTTATGGTACTTTTTTACAGTGGTCCTAGCAAACTGATACGGAGGGTTCTAAAAAAGTTTATTGTTATGTTCTGAGAACAAATGTCACTTAATTTTTTATTCTGCCTTGAGATTTACAAAGCCAGTTTCTCTGTCATCATTGTAGCCAGCATAGTAGGTAGTACAAACTTTATATTGGGATCCTTTCAGGGAATAATAATATTGGGATCCTTTCATCCTCATTTTGCACTGAGGATGGTAGAAAAGTTTCAGAAGAGAAGGAGACGGAGGAAGTGGGTTGGGAGGGATTGATGGAGGTGGTTGTTTTGAAGGTGGAGCGAGAGGCAGCACTGAAGGAGGGTGAAGATGAGGACCTTTGATGTTTTCTGTGTGTCAGCCATATGTGTTAGGCCATCACTGATCTCTTTCACCAGCTCAGGGAGGTTAATAGCATGCCCAACTGCAAATTAGTAAGGGGCTGTAAAAGTTAGAAGTGCATTCACCTGATTAAGAATAAACAAACAAAAACCACTTGCCCACAGTAACTTAAAACAAGTAAGGTTTATTTTTCCCCGAAAGTTAAAAAAATCTGGAGGAAGGAAGATATTGGTAGTGATCCAGCCCTTAGGTGCTATTGAGACTGATATCCCTGTTATTCTATTGGATTTTTCTTCATGCATGAGGTCTCATGGTCATGATATGGCCTCTGTAGCTCCAGACATTACGTCTGAAATCAAGGCAGGAAGAAGAGGGAGTGGTAGCATGAGTCTTAGCTGTTTCTTTTGTCAGAAAAGGCAAATCCTTTCCAGAAGTCCCTAAAATAACATACATTTTACTGATCTGAACTGTATTGCATAGCCACACCTAGTGATCAGTTTTTTGGGTAAATAGGTATCGAGCTTTCCAGGTGCCACAGTGGGCAAATGAGAGAAAATAGAATTGGTTATGCAACTTGTGTTAGCCAACAAATAGCATAAGACAGAGCGCCAGAGTGAGAAGGCAAACCTGCATCTCTGGCCATGAATGCAGGACTCTCTTTGTTCATAAAATCTTATGGTGAGACTGCCAGCCTGCTTCCCACAGATATGACTTCTGTTCTATAGAGGCAGCCCCTTTGAATAGGTCTTTCTTGCAGGGCTGCTCCAGTATTTGGATCTAATTTCTTTGCATGGGGATAATATGGTATAATAGGTACTATACTACTTCAGAAGACAATTGGCCCAGGTTTTAATTCCACTATTATCATAAATTTCCACGTATTTTTTCCTGTATACCTTGGAGCAAAATGGAAGCAATTAAACCTAATGTCTTCTATTTCCCTTAGTTTTATGATGCACTTGAAAACAGTTTGGGAGTTTCCATATGAATTTTTGGTTGGATTAGTACTTATAATATCACACGTTATCACTACCAATATTTTCCAAGTGCTTTCTAGTTTAAAATTACTTTCAAAATATATATTATCTTATTCAAGCCTCATAAGCAGCATTATCAAGTGGGCAAAGTATGGCGTCATCTACGAGTACAAGCTCCACAAGTAACCATATTTCTCCTGTCCTCAGATTCTTACCACAATTCCATTAGGGATCTTCCTATATTCTAAGGCCATTTTCCATGTGCATTTTAAACTCACAGCATATCTCATACGTTACCCCCATACAAAGGTTCCAGATCTATTTATAACTTCTCCCTTTCTGTGACTCTCTCTTAACCTCTAGCCACAATTGTCAAGGTTGCAATTGGCTTGATACTGCCTCCTTGGCTCCTTATCTAACTCCAACCAATTGACTCAGTTCGGAGGACTATGTCTTCAAGCTGACAGGTTAAAACACAGTGAGCCAAGGAGACCCAGTGCTCCGACCTGTGAAGCAGACTGAGCAGGGCGATGAGCTTATGAGCATTTCAGCGACCAGTTCTAGCGGTTTCTTATTAGGTTATTATTTCATTTGGCTTTGGTGATAAACATCAGAAGTCAGGGGTCCCAGGCAGAGTTCTCTTTGGTAAAAATGACCATTCTAAATGTGGATACTAGACTGAAACTCAGTAAAAGTCCTGATACACATTCTCCAGGGAAATAGTTTCTGTTTTGTTTGTGGAAAGAGATGACCTTTTCACTGAGAGGGTGAGCTTCCCACAGTGTTGGGCAGGATGGGAAGGCTGAGGGTGCTGAGGGAAGGGGAGACGGCAAACTCCTCATCTTCTCAGGTTCTTTCCAAGTCGCTGTGCCCAGAGAGATGCTCATTTAGAAGGTGGTGGTGCAAAACCGAGGAACTCTGGGCCTCACGGCATGACCCCTGGAAAATTGCTGCAGTAGACTGCTCCATTTTGGTTATTGCCAACATGGCCCTGAAATTGACCAATTCTCTTTTTATCTTGGACCTGTCCAGCTGCCCAAGAACCAGTCTTAGATACAGTAAATCAGGCCTCTGAGAACCAACTTCCAAAAGCCTTCCTCCCAGGAGCTCTGCCCTGAAAAACAAGATCAGCTGGCACTGTGCACTCATTAAGAGGGAACATTCTGATGAGGACCTCAATGTCTCGTGGGGAGAAGTGGAGAGAGAATAGGCCTGAGGAATTGAGAGGATCTGTTCAGCAGAGCTACCTGAAAGCCCTGAAGCCATTTACCCCCTCAGGTATTCAGTGCCAGTAAGCAGGTGAGGAGAGAGGAAAGCAGCTGGACCTACAATGCCCATCTTTCTGCTCACTGTGCATGTACCCAGCACACCCAGATCCCCTCTCTGTGGCCAGGGGTGGCACGGAGGAGAGGTTCCTTGTGGAGGGTGGTTATGCCTGAAATCATCTTTGATGGGAACAGGGAAAGTCATCTCCCTGGAACCTGAACTTCATTTTCCCCCAAATCCCTTCCATAGCTTGTCCTTTGGTTTTCTCTTCTGAGTTTTCCAAGAGCCAGGACGACAGCTGCCTGAGTCCACACGAGGCTGTGTAAGGCCAAGAAGAGCGGTTCCTTCTTCAAGACAAGTTTGTCCAGGCACCCTCAGAAGTGCTAACTCTAGGGCTTGGGGCTGGAGTATAACTGGAGACAACACAGCGTGGCTCAGGCATGTGCAGCTGCCGTCAGTCATGTCACCTTCCCAGGCACTGAGAGATGGGAAAGGGAGAGCGCATAATACTGCTGCGGCATAGGTTATTTTGCATCATGAAATGTTTCAAAAAAGGTCAGTAATAAATTCTTTTGGGCAAATACGTCTTTTATAAAACATTCCAAAAATCAGTTGAAAACTAAAATGGGCAAGAAGACAGTCTCCCTGTTCGTAATAAACTTATATCTGCAAGAAATGAAATTCTAAGGAACTAACATGAAACAGATGCTCCCTGATGCCAGAACAAAGCTTCTGTGTAGACAAATAGGTATTCTAGACTCTGGGAGCAGTAAAAACATATAAAATGTGCCTCAAATAAAAATGTTGATAATGGGTCTCAGAGAAATGTATAATCCTGGTAGGAGCTGCCTTGCTGTAAAACAAGGAGGTGGTGTTTATAGCATGGGGAAGCTGCCCATCACACTCACACTGGGGACATGAGACGTCTCTGTTATAATCTAATTCATGACACTGCCTGGTACAGAAACCTCGTTTGAAAATACTAATTTGCACCAAGGTCTGAGATGTTTCTTTTTATCAGAAATAAATAACTAGATTTAGTGTTCTCCAGCCTATGCCCTAAATTTCTCTGTGTGTTTGTAGGTAATTAACAAATTCATTAAGTTCTTGTGACATATATATATATATATATATATATATATATATATATATATATATTTCACCATATATACATATATACATGTTGCTACCTATGTATATATGTATATACCTACACACATATATAGCTTGAGAGCTTCCCAATGTCAGATGTTGCTGTAATTTATCTGCTTCAAGTCATGCAATGTATGTCAACTTTCTCTCTTCTCTTCCTTGTTAGTCTCCTCTGCCTGCCCCCTTTTCCGTTTCCTCTTCATTCTTTCTCGCTTTCCCCCTCTCCTCCCGTGTCTCCCCTCCTCTCCCTTCCTCTCCATCCTCCTCACTGCCATGCTCCTCCCTCATTTCTACTCCTGGGCCACAGCTCTGTTTCAGCCTAACGAGGAGAGCTGCGGAGTCTGAAATACTTCAAGGGGAAGAAAAGGTTAGAAGCAAAATTCAAGAGGTTGATTCTGTCAAGACATTCATCTGGGATTCTCCGCTCTGGCAGATTCATTATTTTGTGAAATGATAACTGATTGCATCTGAAGGAGCATGAGAGAGTGATTGAGATCACTTCCAGCCCCTGTCAGCAAACAGTATCTCAGGCAGCATCAGAAAACGAGACAGCGTAGCTGTGCAGCCGGGAACCCTCTAGAGCGTCCCGTTTCACCCTGGTCAGAAAGGGCTTAGCGGCCAACACTAGACGATGTTTCTGATTTAACACCAACTGTTCATTTGTTAAGGTCATGATTTATCTTAACTGTTTATTTAGATGAATTTTGATGATTGTATTTATTCATAAAACTACTGCAAAAATGTGGTACAGATTATTTCCATCACTGCAGCACGTTTGTTTGTACTGCCTTATAGAACCGTTCGCCTCCCAACAAGAACCAGTATTCTGAATTCTATCACCATAGAATAAGTTTGGTTGTTCTTCAACTTCATGAGTGGAATCATAGAGAATGCACTCTTTTGTGTCTGGCTTATTTTACTCAGAATGTTTTGACGTTCGATCATGTCGTTCTGTGTATTAGTAGTTTATTCTTTTTTATCGCTGAGTCATAGTGTGTTACGTGACTGTACCACAATTTGATTATTCATTTGTCAGTAGATGAATATTTCGGGTGTTTTCAGTGTTCTGCTGTTATGAATAAGGCTACTGTAATCTTTTCCCACAATTCCTTTTGTAAACACATGTTTTAAATTTTCTTTGGTAAAAAGCCAGGAGGAGAATTGTTTGGTCATAGGTATGCTGGAGTTTATAAGAAACTGTCAAGGAGTTTAACAAAGTGAATGTTTCACTTTATGCTCCTTCATCCATGTATGAAGCTCTAGTTACTTCACATTTTTAACAGTGCTTGGTATTGTCAGAGTTTTTCTAATCAGTTGGAATTGGCATCTCACTGTGGTTTTAATTTGCATTACTGGGATAGACGATGATGCTGAGCATGAGTTTATTTGCTTATTAGTATTCTTGTGATTTTTTTTGTTTATTGTTTGTTTACATTTCCTGGCCATTTTCCATTGGGTTCTATGGGGTTCTTCACCTATTTATCATTGAATTGTATACAAAGATTGAGTCTCTGCAGACTTAAACGTCCCTGTCTGACAGCTTGGAAGACAGCAGTGGTTCTCCCAGTACGCAGCTTGAGATCTGAGAACGGACAGACTGCCTCCTCAAGTGGGTCCCTGACCGCCGAGTAGCCTAACTGGGAGGCACCCCCCAGTAGGGGCGGACTGACACCTCACATGGCTGGGCAACCCTCTGAGACAAAACTTCCAGAGGAACAATCAGGCAGCAACATTTGCTGTTCAGCAATATTCGCTGTTCTGCAGCCTCCGCTGCTGATACCCAGGCAAACAGGGTCTGGAGTGGACCTCCAGCTAACTCCAACAGACCTGCAGCTGAGGGTCCTGACTGTTAGAAGGAAAATTAATAAACAGAAAGGACATCCACACCAAAACCCCATCAGTACGTCACCATCATCAAAGACCAAAGGTGGATAAAACCACAAAGATGGGGAAAAACAGAGCAGAAAAACTCAAAATTCTAAAAATAAGAGCACCTCTCCTCCTCCAAAGGAATGCAGCTCCTCACCAGTAGTGGAACAAAGCTGGACGGAGAATGACTTTGATGAGTTGAGAGAAGAAGGCTTCAGACGATCAAACTTCCCCGAGCTAAAGGAGAAAGTTTGAACCCATGGCAAAGAAGTTAAGAACCTTGAAAAAAGATTAGACAAATGGCTAACTAGAATAACCAATGCAGAGAAGTCCTTAAAGGACCTGATGGAGCTGAAAACCATGGCATGAGAACTACGTGATGAATGCACAAGCTTTAGTAGCTGATTCAATCAACTGGAAGAAAGGGTATCAGTGATGGAAGATCAAATGAATGAAATGAAGCGAGAAGAGAAGTTTAGAGAAAAAAGAGTAAAAAGAAACAAACACAACCTCCAAGAAATATGGGACTATGTGAAAAGACCAAATCTACGTCTGATTGGTGTACCTGAAAGTGACAGGGAGAATGGAACCAAGTTGGAAAACACTCTGCAGGATATTATCCAGGAGAACTTCCCCAACCTAGCAAGGCAGGCCAACATTCAAATTCAGGAAATACTTGTAAATGTACTTAAATTAGTTGTAAATGTATATTGCAAGTGATAGGGTGATCATTAAAGATATTTAAAAAGAAGTATAATGGTATGCTAAAAGATGAGAGAAAATGGAATCATAGAATGCTCAATTAAAATGACAGGAGGCAGAAAAGATGGAAAGATAAAAAAGAAACACAAAAGAGAAACAAAAGAAAACAGTTATAATGTGGTAGATATTAATCTGACTATAACAATTATCACTTTAAATGTGAATAATCCAAAATGACAATTAAAAGACAGAGGCTGACAAGGTAGATGAAAAAATAAGACTCAGCTACATGTAGTCTGTAAGAAACCCAACTTCAATATTAAAGTACAGACAGATTAAAAGTAAAAGGATGGCGAAAGATATTCCATGACAGTAGAAATTTTAGAAAACTTAAGTAATTATATTAATTTTGGACAAAACTGATAATAGAATAAGAGACCTTATCAGGGATAAAGAAGGGCAATAAAGGGTAAGGAGACCGGCTCTCCAAGAAAACTTGATTGTCCTTAACGTGTGTGTGTGTGTGACTAACAGCAGAGCATTAAAAGAGGTGAGACAGAAACAGATAGAGCTGCAAAGAAATATAGGCATAGTCACTATTATGATTAGAAACTTCAACATCCTTCTATCAATAATTGACAAATCCTGGCCGGGTGCAGTGGCTCAAGCCTGTAATCCCAGCACTTTGGGAGGCCAAGACGGGTGGATCACCTGAGGTCGGGAGTTCGAGACCAGTCTGGCCAATATGGTGAAACCCCATCTCTACTAAAAATACAAAAAATTAGCTGGGTGTGGTTGTGGGCACCCGTAGTCTCAGGTACTTGGGAGGCTGAGGCAGGAGAATCGCTTGAACCCAGGAGGTGGAGGTGGCAGTGAGCCAAGATTGTGCCACTGCACTCCAGCCTGGGCAGGACAGAGCAAGACTCCACCTCAAAAAAATAAAATAAAAATAAAAATAAAATAAATAATAATAATAATTGACAGATCCAACAGGCAGAAAATCAGTAAGGATGTAACTGAATTGAATATCTGTGTCAACAAACGAGATCTAGTCGATCATTATAGGGTACTTTCTTCAATGAGAGCAGAGTAACATTCTTCATGGAAAACACACCTTAACAAATTTTAAAAACAGATATCACACAGCATATGTTGTGAGAACACCATAAAATTAATGCAGAAACGAATAACAGAAAGGTAACTGGAAAATGCCAAACTAATTGAACATTAAGCACCACAGTTCAAAATGGCACACAAATCAACGTTAAAAAACTTTGAACTGAACGAAAATAAAAATAAAACATCAAAATTTGTGGGATGCAGTAAAAGCAGTGCTTAGAGGGAAATTTATAACATTAAATGCATATAATAGAAAGGAAGAAAGGCCTAAAATTAATAATCTAAGCATCCTTTTTAGGAATCTAGAGAAAAAAAGAGCAATATAAGCCTAAAGGATGTTAAGAAAATAAATGATAAAAATTAGAGAAGAAATAAAACAGAAAACAAGAATGCACTAGAGAAAATAAATAAAACCAAACAGTGGTTTGCTGAAAATATCAATTGAAATAATAAATAGCTAGTCAGAGTAACTAAGAAAAAAAAGAAGACACAAATTGTGAATATCAGAAATGAAAGAGGCTATCACTACTGGTCCCATGAACATTAAAGAAATAATAAAGGAATATTATGAAAAGCTGTATGCCCACAAATTTGATAACCTAGATGAAATGGACCAATTCCTTGAAACACACAATCTATCAGAACTCCCAAAGGAAAACTGATCATCGGAATAGGCCTATATCTATTAAAGAAATTGAGTCAATAATTAATATCTTTCCCAAACAGAAAGCATCAGACCCAGATGATTTTCCTAGTGAATTCCGCAATGATTTAAGGAAGAAATTGTTCTAGTTCTCTACAATCTTGTCCAGAAATATAAGCAGAGGGAATACTTTCTAAGTCATTCTATGAGCCCAACATTTTCCAAATATCAAAACCAGACAAACACATTATTAGGAATGACAACTATAGACACATCCATGCAAAATCCTTAACAAAATATTGGCAAATTGAATCCAACAATGTATTAAAAATTATACACTAGGATCAAATGGGATTCATTTTAGGCATGCAAGTCTGGTTCAACATTTAAAGATCAATCAATGTAATCCCTGTATCAACAGGCAAAAGAAGAAACGCCATACCATCATATCAGTAGAGGCAGAAAAAGTATTTGACAAAATCCAACACACTTATTCATGATGCAAACTCTCAGCAAACTAGGAATGGAGGAAAATGGAATATTTTATAAAAATATCTCTGAATATATAGAATATTTTATAAAAATCTAAGCTAATACTGTACTTACTGGTGAGAATCCAAGTGCTTTACACCTATGATCAGGAATAAGAGAAGGATGTCGCCTCTCATGAGTTAATTCAACATTGTGCAGTGAGTCTTACCTAATGCAATAAAACAAAAAAGGAAGTAAAAGGTATACAGATTGGGAAGGAAGAAACGAAACTGCATTTGCTCACAGATGACATGATTGGCTATGTAGAAAATTCCAAAGAATCAACAACTGTGCAGAGAGATGTTTCAGGAGGAAACATGGGGAAAGAATTAAGACTCTAGCTTGCGAGTCACGTCATTCGCGGCACCTATTTTTCTTTTGCTCACTCTGAGCTGTTAGTAAAGTACTGTTTAAATATTCCAGCCAGGTTTCAGGGATCTAAGCTAGATTAATAAGATTAAATGGTGTGCAGCATCCCCTAAAACAAGAGTAGGATGAGGAGCAACAGTTAGTGAGAAATCCTTGGGATATGTGGCTCACAGGAGAGAAGAGGAGGCTCCTCCAGCCACGTCCATGAGGAGATTCTCCCTCCACAGCTGACCCAAGAAGGAGAGCGGGAGACAGAGGTTGGACACGAGGCAGGCTTGCTGCCCTGGGTGGCATGAAGGACTGCAGTGCTGGGGTGCATGCTAACAGCTGTTTTAAGAGCATCTTGGCAGCCTCTTCCCCCATCCATGTATTCTAAAGTACCTCAGGCCAACCTGCTTTGAGCAGCAGTTCCAAGGAAAAGCAAGAATCTCTGTCGCCAGCTATCTGTCCTAACCAAGAGACTTTCTGAACTCAGGAGCCAAGCTTCTCAGATCTCCTTTGGAGTTGATGTTGATATTAAGAATTTCAACTCACCACCTACGGACTAGAATCTCAATAGCAACTTAGATAGGCAAGCAGTAGACATCACATACATTTTTCCTGGAGAGTTGCTGTGTGCATTATCCCCTCTCAGTTTTGCAAAATATAGCAATGAAACATTTAGGAAGGCATGACAAGGAAAAATTAAAGGCACACAGTGAGTTGTAATAAGCAAGTCACATATTTTGCATCCCACTAAGTATTCAGTAGCAAAGCAATTTTAATAGACCCAGAAATGCAATCTGATATTTGAATGGAGAGAGAAAAATTAGCAAGGTGAGCTGGAGGAGGAGCCAAGGGCTGAATTAATTAGTCTAGGGCTTTTAAACCGTGTTCTGCAACCCTGCAGCTTTACAGAATACATTTCTCTTGTGAAACTGTTTTAATATAAACACCATAAAAATGGAAATAAGTATATTATAAATTCACAACCACTAGCCTGAACTTTAATACCCTAGTACATATTTTGCTACTTCAGACTTCCTCTGTGATCATTTGCTATATAAATTTTGTTACAGTACCTGTTGTCATGCAGACAGTATTAAAGTTTAGATTCTTCCTTAAGTCTTAAAATCAGTTTTGTTGAAGGATAATTAATGTAAAATATAATGCACCCATTTATTATTATTATTATTTTTGAAACAGAGTCTTGCTCTGTCACCCAGGCTGGAGTGCAGTGGCACAATCTTGGCTCACTGCAACCTCTACCTCCTAGGTTCAAGTGATTCTCCTGCCTCAGCCTCCTGAGTAGCTGGGATTACAGTGAGTGCCACCACACCCAGCTAATTTTTGTATTTTTAGTAGAGATGGGGTTTCACCATGTTGGTTAGGCTGGTCTCAAACTCCTGACCTCGTGATCTGTCAGCCTTGGCATCCCAAAGTGCTGAGATTACAGGCATGAACCACTGCATCGGGCCAATGCACCCACTTAAATCATATGGTTTGATGGGCTTTGCCAATGTGTACATCTGTGTAACCACCCTCAAGGTCCATAGAAAAAATATTTTCATTATCCCAGAGTTCCCTGTTCTGCCTCAGTGCCAGGTGCCACCATCCCAACCCCATGAAGACTAGCCTCCTTCCTGCCACCCTGGGTTAGAGAAATGGAACCGTGACCATTTGTGAACCATTACTTTCATGCAACATGATGATTCTGGGATTTGTCCATGTTGGTGCAGTTATCAGTGGCTCATCCCTTTTCATTGCTGAATAATATTACCCCATATGGATGTACTAAAATGCATTCATCCTTTCATGCAGTGTTACATTAAAGATGTTCTGAACATTGGGGCTCAAGTGTGTGTGTGGAAATATTTTATTCTCATAGGTGAAGACCTGAGAATAGAATTATGCAATACTATTATATGTGCATGTTTAAACACTGTGGGACAGTTCTCCAAAGTAGTGCTCCATTTTGCAGCACCATCAGCAGTGGCTGGGTTCCAGCTGCCTCACCTCCTCACAGATGTTTGTCAGGTCAGGCTTTGGATTACAGCCACGCTAGTGGTTGTGTGGTGGTATTTCATCATGGCACTAATTTGAGTTTCTTTGGTTACAAATAATGCTGAACATCATTTTATGTTACTACTATTTGTAAGCCTTTTCTTGTGAAGGGCTGTTCAAATAGTTCACCCATAAAAGTTCATTCCATATTCTAGATATAACTCCTATTTCAGATATACATATTGCACACATTTTCTCACAGTCTGTGAATTGTCTTTTCTTTCTCTTAAGTGTCTTGCTAATACTAATAGTTTTTAAGTTTTGAGGAGGCTTAATTTATTAATTCTTTTATGGTTTCTGCCTCTTATGCCCTAGCTAAGAAATTGTTATTATCCTAAGGTGCAATGCTTTTCTATTTTCTTTGAAAAGTGTTATAGTTTTAGATTTTACATTTCTAATAATGTATTTTGGATTAACATTCAGGACTGAGCAGCAGCAGTAAGCAGCAAATAACAAGTAGGATACAAGCAAAGACCACCATGTGCACGCCTCTGTGGCTTCAGTGCCCCTCCCTCAGTGCAGGCTTACAGCTTGGTGGTGGAATCTTGTATAAGTAGGTGAAGGAGCAAAATGACATACCTTTGCTTCACGGGCAGGTTGGTTTGATATACGGTGTGTGCACAAAATGGATGGCAGCTGCACGATGCCTTGGAAGGCAGTGGCAAGGGACAGCTTCACCATGAGGGAGCTTCAGGTGATGGCCCCGTGACTCATGCTGTGTGGAAAGAGAAGAGGCCTGGCTTTAGTGTCTATATAGGTACACGTACATACATGTGTGATCAGGAGCCATGGAAAGTGGCCTATCCTGTTGACCTTGGGCCTGGAAAGAAAAAATATTAGAAGATCAGGGACAAGAATATATAGGGTAAAAGGGATAGAGGCACGTACATGGACATACTGGAGTGGACAAGAAGTGGGCTCGCTCTGCACTGTGTATGAAGGCCCATAGAGAGTAGCTACCATGGAAGAGACACTAAGTCAGCAACTAGACAAAATGGTGGCCAGTTGATGTCAGCCAGCCTCTGTCATCAACCACCCAGTGGCAATGGGCACATCAGTGAAAGGACCTCACAGGCAGAGATGAGGGTACTGCAAAGGCCCCACTGAATGGCCTCTGCCTACCAGCGCTGGATCCACCGCCAGTGTCCAACGTCCTCAGCCTGTGACAGAGATGGATGGCGAACCCCAGTGTGGCACCATTCCTGGAGAAAATCAATCACTAACGGCTGCAAAGTGATTATACTAGGCCCCCGCTACCCTCAAAGGGCATTTCCATCAACCTAGAGAAACCTCCCTAAAGCTCTTCCTGATCCCCCACCTGGGAATTTATTGGGTGGCTGCATGAATGATACAAGAAACGTCAACAGCAAGAGACCAAAGTCCATCAATACTCAGTCCAATGGGGACTCCCAGAGGAGAAGGGGCTTCCCCAGCCAGAGGTTGATGGTGGCGAAAAAAATCGGAGGATAGAAGGACTGGAGAAACCAAAGCATTTATGTGCTAACTAGGGAGAGGTACATTTCCTGTGAGTTATTACCCTGTTGGCTGAATTTGAATCCTAAGGGACCCCTACAGGTATCACTAAAAATGAACTTGTTTTGTAAATTTATCACAGCCTTCCCTAAGGGGCACTTCTCACCCCAGCACACCTAGGATAGCTGGGGTGTCAGTTAAGAAGGGAGGTACATTGGAAAAGCAAGCAGGAAGACCTCGCTGGGGCAAAGGGGACTTCTGTCAAGTCGTATGACTCAGATATCACAAATTGGTGGCCCCATGTCATTACAAAGGGCCAGTGGTTTGTTCTTACAGGAATAGACACTATTTCACACATGGGATCAGGTTTCCTCTCAGCAGGGGAGCTCCACTGTCTGTGGACTCATGAGGTATTCGGTCTACAGGCCTGAGGTCTCCTTAAGGCGTGTCAGTTCCATGGGTCCACTTTAGAGCCCAGGGGCCACTGGTTGTATCTCACACTTGATAGACGGTCAAAATCACCTTCTACAAGTATACCAGAGATGCCAGCTTAGAGCCCATGCCCTGTGATGACTGGATGACACCCTCCAGGTTGCAGCATGTGTGTGGAATCAGACCTTCCTATGGCACCCTGTTCCTGGAGGAGAAGACACTGATATGGGAACAGATGGCTGGAAACAAAGTGGCTCCACTTACCCTGATTCTATCACTCACGGAGGACGTGCTTCCCTTTCCTGCTGGGCTCTGCAGGTTTAGAGGTCCTGGTCTTCAAGACAGCGTGTTTTCTCCTGGGGACACAGCAAGATTTTCAGTAAATTATGAGCTACTGCTGCTCCCTGGGAGGGTGGGTCATTGTGTCCAGGGACCAGCAGACAAGATGTGGAGTCCCTGTGTTGGCAGGGGTGACAGACCCTGATCGTCAGGAGGTGGCCGGTCTGATGCTGCACAACATGGGCAGGGAGAGGTACTCTTGGATACCAGGTGACCAACGTGGGGGCCCCTTGGTGATCTCTGGACAATTATGACTGTGAATGGATAGGGAAGACAGCCTGGACCTGGGAAGAGGAAGGCTGGACAGGAGCTCAGGTCCCTTGGAAGGGAGGCTCCAGACCATGCCCTGGCCACTGAGGGCAGTCGCGGTGGCCACTGAGAGTGACAGGAACCTAGTTTGGATGGTGGAGGGAGGGCAAGAGGAACATCACCTGCAGCCCCAAGGCCCACAGCAGTGGAGGGGCTGCAGCTCTCCCATAGCCCTTCTCATGTAAGTTTTCCCTCTGGAAGAGAGGCCCGTGAGAATCCTGGAGGAGCTGCTCCCCAAGCACGTGTGAGCCTGAGCAGTGCAGACGTGTGTTATGGCCTGAGTGTCTGTGTCCCCTAAAACTCATATCCGGAAATCCTAACCTCCAAGGTGCTGGTGTTAGGAGGTGGGCCTTTGGGAGTAATTCATGAGGGCGGAGCACCCATGAACAGCATTAGGGCCTTTATAAATAGACACATGAGAGCTTGCCTTTTTCTCTCTGCTGTCTGCCATGTGAGGATACGATGAAGGGACAGCAGGCTACAACCAGGGAGTGACCTTCACAGACACTGAATCTGCCGGCTCCTTCGCGTCCAGCCTTCAGAGCACTGATCAATCAATGCTTGCTGTTGAGCCACCCAGTTTAGGGTCATTTGTTGCGGCAGCCCAGGTGGACTAAGGCAGGTGTGGACTATGCTAGAAACAAAGATGGGTTGTGTAGTTGCGGCGTGTGGTCTGCAGCCGCCTCCGGTGGTCAGCTGCTGCAGAGTCTCCTCATCTCACTCAGGGTCATGCTATGCCCGGGCGGTCCACACCCAGTGCCGGGGCCCCGAGGCAGCAGAATGGGAGAACCCTGGGGGGAATGACTCACTCCAGAGCCTTCCCCTGGGTCCTGGCGGCCCCGAGAGGGAGGACAAAGCTGGAGCACCTGCAGCAGCCAGAGAAAGCGTGCCCGGCAATGCTTCAAGTGCCAGAATCAGTCAGCACAGGTGGACACTTCAGCCGGAGGGGCTGCGGTTCCCAAACATCCCGAGTTATGTGACGCTAAGAGGAACAGGCACTCAGTGTCCCTGGGTGAAGAGAGGCTGGCCTTCCCACGTGCACGTGGCAGGTTCTCCTCTGCGGGAGCTGTCCATGAACCAGGGAAGGAAGCCCAGGAGGGACACAGGCAGGGACACACGTTCTCCTCAGGCCCCAGCTTCTCTCTGCAGAAAGCAATTTCCTCCCATTTGCTAGAGTGTCTTAATTTGCAGATGCCTACGTTTTGTAAAAATAAAACTATTTCTCAGTGTGTTGATATTTTTTCCTAATCATCTACAGAATTTCAACAGGAGTATGGGATTGTTTCCAACAGGACTGGCAGAATTTAGAAAACACTTTCAATACATCTTATTCTTTTATTAGCTTCAAATGAAACAATTGGTCAAGTTCTTGTTTTCTTTTTTTTCCTTTCAGACACTTAAAACATGCAACAAATGGATAATAATAATGACAGCATCAATGAGGATATTGATGTAAAATTATAACAATTATATTTATTGATTATATTATTATAATATATAATAGTTAGTATGGCGATACAATAAGGATACTATGATATAAACAAACATTGGCTAAACCAGTTCTGAAAATAGTTGCCCAAGTCCACAGGCTCCTCACTGATCCAGTGAATGAAAAATGCAGGCAATTTGCCAGGACATTGACTGAAAATATCCAGATAAACTGAGGCAAAAGAGAGTTTTAAGCACTAATTACTCAGGTGATTGTCCTCAATTTCTACTTTCCTTTGTTGGTGTGGAGTAAAATGCATGATATTCTTGGGTGAGGCATTACATTCTTTTAAGTCTTTCATTTTTCAGCTACTAAACAATACCTCTCCTGCAAAATGCTAACACTAAATACTAAATGGTACTAAACAATACTTGCCATGCCAAGCACCAGCCCTGCCTTCGGAACTGACAGAGCTGGGTAGAGGATGAAAGGCAGTCTCTGGACTCTTATGAGAAGCCCTCCCTTCACCAAGGCTCCCATGCCTGACATGCCCCTGTGGCACCTGCCCTACTCTCAGGGTCAACGGAGCTATCGCCCAGGCTCAGGCTGCTGAGGAAGGATGCGGACTGCCCAGGGAGGCAGGTGGAGGCTGAGGGGGGCACAGAGTCTTTGGTCTTCGGGGCTGTGAGAGGTTCTGCAGCCCTGCCTGGGTGAAGGGCTCTGGGTGGTGTCCTGGAGGAAAAGTGTCTTTCCCTTCCACCCATCTCAGTTTCATTGGCTGGGGCCTCTGTAACAAAAGACAGATTCACCAAAGAAAAGCATGCCAATTTATTGAATGTAAGTTTTATACATGACACAGGAAACTTCATAAAGAAAGACTGAAAAAAGTGGTTCAATCTGAGTGCTTTTGTGGCAGTTTTATGCTGAGTAAAATGTCGTGGAACAATTTGACCGGAAGAGGAGCAGGAGCAGAGTGTGCTCACCCAGGACACCCAGCAAGGACACTGTGCTCAGATTCCTCCTGGCAGCCCTGTGCCTGTGAGATAAGGGCGCTCTTTTCTTCTGGCACAGGAAGGGCATCTCTCACAGAAGCATCCTATGACTTGCTTCAGTGAAAGGTCAGGGAGTCTTTCTTGCACCTGCCATTTCTCAAATTCCTTCTGCTTAAAATCTGTGCTATGCCAAGGTGCCATATTCTGGAGTAGTTTGTTCAGAAACCCATCACATGTTTCATGGCTGAAATCAGAGGAGAACATGAGGGTGGGGATGGGAGGAGAAAGAGAAACAACCTAAGCTTTACTGGTTCTTTTCCAATGGCTGTGAGGTCTCATGGCCCTGGGAGTTTTCATGCACTGTGATGGGGTTTCTGGAGACCCGGGGGGCCTGGGTTAGGCGCAGACCTGTATTTCATTAGGGACTTTGGGCATGATTTTCTTGACTACCTTATAAACTTGATGGAGAAAGACAGGAAGGATGATGGTATAAAAGGTGGATTGAAATGCACGTGAGCATGTGAGCTGCTGTTGCCCTGCTCCCTGATAGACGTGGGTCAACATTTTCATGAGACTTTGAGTGACGGCTTAGAAGGCACTTTGTCCAGCACAGTCTTGGCTCTTTGTCCCAGCCCTGACTCAAGTTCCAAGCACCTGAAACCCTACTTGACCACATTTGAATCTGAATTTGTGGCTCTTTTGCCTCTGGGACCACAGCCTTGGGCTTAGAATCCTGATGCCACCCCGTAACCTGGGTCCCCAGAGACTTGCAGTTCCTCCTCACCTCTCTAGGGGTTTCTTGGTGCCTGGTTCTCTGGCACCATTTTGGGATAAGCCACCATCCAGCCTTGGTATCCACCACTGTCTTTGGAGGGCTTCCCTGTTTTATTCTCAGGCCTTTTTAACTCTCCCCCAAATTTGCCCCCTTGGTTGGTGCCCCACCTGCACACTAAGGAAGGACACGAGTGAAACTTTTCAAACTTGCCAGTGACAATCCAGGAAGCAGAGGAGAAGAGGACCTGATGGCATTTAGAATACTCACGAATACACACACACAGATACAGGTGTATGAAATGAACGGCATTTAGAACACTCACGCATACACACACAGACACAGGTGTATGAAACGAATGGCATTTAGAACACTCACGCATACACACACACAGACACAGGTGTATGAAACGAATGGCATTTAGAACACTCACGCATACACACACACAGACACAGGTGTATGAAACGAACGGCATTTAGAACACTCACACACACACACACAGACACAGGTGTATGAAATGAACGGCATTTAGAACACTCACGCACACACACACAGACACAGGTGTATGAAATGAATGGCATTTAGAACACTCACGCACACACACAGACACAGGTGTATGAAATGAATGGCATTTAGAACACTCACGCACACACACAGACACAGGTGTATGAAATGAATGGCATTTAGAACACTCACGCATACACACACACAGACACAGGTGCATGAAATGAACTTAGAATAGAAAACTTTTCCCTCGGGTAGAAGCGGCACCTGTGCAATGTGGAAAACTTCATATACAAATGAACTTCAGAAAAGACTTGGGAATTAAACTGAACGCAGGTTAATATCAGAGGGTCATCAGCTAGCACTTAAATACCTCTTATTATGTGCCAGGCACTGCTGTAAGCACTTTATGTGTATTGATGACATAATCCTCACACTAAGCATTTGAGGTAGCTAATATTATTATGAACCTTTTACAGCTGTGGAAACTGAGGGATAATTAAAGTAAAATCACTTAAGATCCTTATTGACCTGGTAAGTCACAGCAAGAATTTGAGCCAGGCAATCTGTCACTGTAGCTTATGCTTCACACCGCCATGCTTAACTGTGTAGGGTTCCCAACTCTAGCAAATAAAAATATAGCATTCTCAGTTAAACTTAATTTCAGATAAGCAATAAATACTATTTTAGTACATATATGTACCATGAAATATTTGAGATGCAATCATATTTTAAAAGTCCTCTTCTATCTGAAATTGTTACTTAACTGGGCATCCGTGTTTTACCTGGGTAGTGGAGGGACGAGAGTCTTGGTTATGTTATGAGTGAAACTCAGAAATGCATAAATTTGGGCGGGCTAATCATTTCTAAGCTCTGAGTAACAATATTAATGACTGAAGTGGCCAAGTAACATTGAATGCAGAGCTTGATAAAGATGATGTTACACCCTGCCTTTCAGGCTCAAGGCCTAAGTGGGGTCCAGTAATGAACTACTCCTTCTAGTCTAAATCTAGGTCTTCTAACTGTTCTGAAAGACAGATGGGGAAAACCGCACAGTCAACCCGACCTCCCACTCAGCTCCAAGCAGAGTGAAGAAAAAAAATTCTACAGGGGGTGACTTACTCTCTTCCCTTGCAGTTGCAAAGCAGGGGTCAGAGGAGCATAATCATATGACTGAATAAATGAATGAGCAAATTGGTACCAAGTTCTGGTAAGACATTTTCAGATTGAATAAAAATGTGGTGAATGGGACCCTGCCCCTGAGAGTCCCATCCCAGTGTCAGCAGCAAACATCCCTCTGTGAAGAGGAGCCCTTTCTCTCCTTTAAGAGTTGAGAGCAGCCTGCTTGGCAGGCTCTGAGTACATCAAGGGGGCTGCCTCCCAGCGGGGCTGATCCAAGGAAAAAAACCTCACAATGGGAAAGAAGACACACAGTTATTACCAGTATCCTACGGAAGGATGTGGAAGGAAAAAGCCCCTCACGCTTTCCTACAACACCTGACCAGGGAGAATAGGCATCCCTGAATTATAAAACAAGGTTTTATATTTCTCAAGTTTCCCTAGAAATAAAATGCAGCAGTTAAGGATGTATCATTTGTTTTGCCAGATCCTTGAAATGATTTGAGTGATCACAGTGACCAAGGGATATACCAGGAAAAACTGAAGCCAAGCTCTCAAATAATAGTGAGATTCCTACTGGTAGTAAGTTCAGGGTAACAAATCCAGACACTGATGTACTAACAACTCCTTGAAGAACTTTATCTATTTATTTATTTGTTTTTGAGATGGAGTCTCCCTCTGTTGCCCAGGCTGGAGTGCAGTGGCACAATCTGGGCTCAGTACAACCACCGCCTCCTGGGTTCAAGCAATTCTCCTGCCGCAGCCTCCCATGTAGCTGGGACTGCAGGCACCTGTCACCACGCCCAGCTGATTTTTGTGTTTTTAGTAGACAAGGTTTCACCATGTTGGCCAGGCTGGTCTCAAACTCCTGACCTCAAGTGATCCACCCCCCTCAGCCTCCCAAGTCCTGGGATTACAGGCATGGGCCACTATGCCCAGCCAGAGAACTTTAATGAGAGAAAAAATACTAAGTCAATGCAGTTATCCTTAATTATTCACTCAGATATTATGTATCTTTCATTAGAAACAAAGCAGAAATTTGTATTGGGCATCATTAAAAATGTATAAGTAAACTTCCTCATTGACCAGTTTTCTTTCAGAATTCTCTGCAAGAATTATGCCATCTTGCAGAAAGGCATAATGGAAACATGGCAAACTGGTTGAAAATTTTTTTTTTTCACAGTTCTCTAGCAGTGTTCTCTCTAGAAATAGCAGGTGCTCTGTTGGATCACAGAAGTCTGGAAAAGTCAGCAGCATCAATCATTATTTTTGCTAATAATAAATTATAATTTTTATCAATTATTACATACACATTCTGGGCTGCAGTAGGTGTAGGGGTAAAAAGGGAATGCTTTCCTCTTCACCCTCTGAGGGTTTGCTGAAAATGAACTGACAAAAGCCTGATTAATAAGAGAAAAAGACATATAAAATTATTTTAACGTGCAGAGCATGGAGAAATCACAAGGGAATAATTACCCAATAATCATGCATTCCAGATGCTTATGTACCCTTCTTCATAGGAGAAGGGGAGGTGGGGGTGTAGGAGTAAACGTTTTTTAGGGAGAATGAATGGACTCCATTTTCAGACAATGGTGAGTAAATAATTGTCCTTGGGAGCTGAATGAAAGCAGAGAACAAACAATGGTTTGGGACAACCGAACCATTCCAATTTCATCTGGGCTGTAGGTGTGATGTTCAATTTTTAGACTCTACCTCTGTGATATGAATTTTAATCTTCTCTGGTTAATGAAATTTCAGAGAAGGGATAGAAGGGATTGTGTTCCTCTTTGGGGGTCCAGTTTCTGGGTGTATAAGGACATTTTGGGGAACAGGTTTATCTTGTACTTTGGAAGAGACAGAAGACTGAGAGACAAAAGTAGGGAGAAGGTGAGAGGGATCTTGAGCCTGCTTCTCTAGTTTAGCAGGTCAAAGCACCGTATCTTGGGGTATTGGTTTCTGAGCCCCAACATAGGCATCTTGAAAAGGTCTAGATCATACAAAGTTTGCAGAAAATAATAGCTGAAAGCAAATATGGCAAGAAGGGTGCACCAATACTCAATTTACATGAGCACATGCCACACAAAATGTGGCATGGGCCAGGAGATATAGAAGGATGGGTGCCAGATAAGAGCCCTTCCTTTGGGTACAGGAGCTGGCCTTTCTCTCTGTTCTCTCCAGCCTGCCTTTCTACCAACTTCCTTAGAACCATTGCTGTGGTTTTACCTCAGCCTTTCTCAAAAACTTCAAAATAAATAAATGAAAAATGAACAGATCTAAAAGAAAACTAAATAAATCCATGACCATGGCTGGAGATTTTAGCAACCCCCTTTTAATAATTGACAGAACAATCAGACAAAATTAAAAATAGTCCACCTGGACAACATTATCAACCAATGTGACATAACTGATCTTTTCAAAACACTCCACTCCACAATTAAGGAGTAAATGTGATTTTAAAGGGCACATTGGAAAATCATATACATTGCCCCTATATTGGGCCATGAAATAAGTATTAATACATTTCAAATTAAAATATTATAAAATATGCTTTGACTATAACTAAATTAACTATTGATAATATTATATCCAACAATTTCTAACTTCCATGTGAAACAAAGATCAAATTTTTATTATTATTATTTTTATTTCAGTATCTTTAAGGGTACAAGTGGTTTTTGGTTACATGGATGAATTGTATGATGATAAAGCCTGGGATTTTAGTGTTTCTGTCACCCGAGTAGTGGACCTTATACCCAATAAATAGTTTTTCATCCCTCATCCCCCTCTCAACCTTCCCCTTCTGAGTCTCCAATGTCCATTATACCCCAGCCTGTATGCCTTTGTGTACCCATAGCTTAGCTCGCACTTATAAAGGAGACCATTTGGTATTTGTTTTTCTATTCCTGAGTTACTTCACATAGCACAATGGCCTCCAGTTCCACCCAAGTTGACATTATTTCATTCTTTTTTTATGCCTGAGTGATATTCACATATATATATTCATATATATCTGTGATGTGTGTATGTGCCTCTCTCTCTCTATATATATATAGGAACTATCTCTTGAACATTAGTTATTAAATTTTATATATATATATATATTATATATATATAGACACATACACACACACACATCTCATTTTTTTTACCCACTCTTTGGTTGATGGGCATTTAGGTTGGTTCCATATCTTTGCAATTCTGAATTGTGCTGTGATAAACATTCATGTGCATATGTCTTTTTTGATATAATGACTTTGGTTTGGGTAGATACCCAGAAGTGGGATTGCTGGATTGAATGGTAGATCTACTTTTTGTTCCTTGAGAAATTTCCATGCTGTTTTCCATAGAGGTTGTACTAATTTACAATCCCACCAGCAATGTATAAGCATTCCTCTTTCACCACATCCATGCCAACATTTATTATTTTTTGAATTTCTAATAATGGTCATTCTGGCTGGGGTAAGACAGTATCTCATTGTGGTTTTAATTTAAATTTCCCTGATGATTAGTGATGTTGAATATTTTTTCATATGTTTGTTGGATGCAAGCATCATGGAGTGTATGTCCACAAACCCAGATGGCACAGTCTACTACACACTGAGGCTATATTCCATCCCAGCCATGCAGCCTAGAATAACATCTGGCACATAAAAAGCACTCAATAAATATTTTTTAAAATAAAGGAATGATGAAAAGATGATCAAAAGGGCTTATGGGTACAGTTGGAGTCGAGTTGTGCTTTGAAGTATTGGTAGAATTTGAACAGGTAGAGGGGAGAGGGAAAAGAACAGCATCAACGAAGACACATAGTAAAGTGCTGCATGACCGACCACATATATGACGGTGGTCCCATGAAATTTTAATGGCACTGAAAAGTTCATGTTATAGCTGTCATAACACTGCACTAACATGTCATAACAATGCACTACTCACATGTTTGTGCCCAGGCTGTTGTAGACAAACTCACTGCACTGCTAGTCCCATAAAAGTATCACAATACAATTATGTACAGTACATACTTGATGATAATAATAAACAACTATATTACTGGTTTGTGTACTTACTATACTCTATTTTTATCATTATTTTAGAGTGTACTTACATTTTTTTAAAAAAAGGTAAACTATAAAACAGCCTCAGGCAAGTCCTTCAGGAGGAATTACAGAAGAAGGCATTGCTATCCTAGGAGATGACAGCCCCATGCGTGTTATTGCCCCAAAGACCTTCGTGTGGGATGAGGGGGGAGGTAGAAGACAGTGGATATTGATGATCCTGACCCTGTAGGCCTAGGCTTGTGTGTGTTTGTGGCTCAGTTTTTAATAAAAATGTATAAAAAGTAAAAAATAAAAAAATAGAAAAGAGCTTATAGAATAAGGTTGTAAAGAAAAAGTATTTTTGTACAGTTGTACAAAAGTTTTACAAACTATCGTTGTACAATTATGTTTGTGTTTCAAGCTCAGTGTTATCACAAAACAATCAAAAGTTAACAAAATTTAAAAGTTTATGAAGTAAAAAAGTTACAGTAAGCTGAGATTAATTCGTTATTAAATAAAGTAAAGAAATTTAGTGCAGCTTAAGTCTACAGTGTTTGTAGAGTCTACCGTTGTGCACAGCAATGTTGTAGGCCTTCACATTCACTCACCACTCACTCACTGACTCACCCAATTTCCAGTCCTGTAAACCTAATTTTATAATAAGTGCTCTAAACAAGTGTACTGTTTTTAATCTTTTATCCTTCTTTTAAACTGTGTATTTTCTATCTTTAAACATTCTTAGCTACACAAATATCATTGTGTTACAATTGCCCATAGTGTTCAGTACAGCAACATGCTTTACAGGTTCATAGCCAAGGAGCAATGCTACACCACATAGTCTTAGTGTGTAGCTGGCTGTACCAATTTCGTAAGTGCACTCTGTGATGTTTGCACCACTATGGAATCTCCTAAAGACACATTTCTCAAAATGTATCTCTGATGCTAAGCCATGTATGCTGCAGTTAGCAATGCAGGGCTGGATGTGCAGACTGGCATTCTGCTGGGCATAGTTCCTTATTTACTGCCTTCAAACAGGCTACAAAAAAAAACGTTTATCAGGCTTGGTCCTGTTAATTGTTAATAGTTAACAATTAACTATTATAGAGATCAACCAAAGTGCAATCAGTGCTTTCACCTGGGTTGTTGTTGGGGCAAGATTACTGTGATTTAGTAAGTCAGGTGTCCCTGCCATCGGCTCATCACTAAGAAACAAAGATAAGACCCTGCCTCTCCTTCTGCACCAGGAAATCAGAGCCACAGACCTAAGTGGGACTGTCACCAGGCAGACAAGCTAAGAAACATCCCTGGTGGGGTCACATGCCTCCGCATCTCAACACTTCTTGCACACTCACTTTTGCATTCGAATGCTGCATTTGCAACCAGAGGCCTAAGTTCAATCCTAAGTTGCATCATTTCTAGGCTCAGATCACCTTAGTTCAATTCTGGCTCTGCCAACTTTTACTAGCTATGTGCTTTGAACAAATTGACATTTTTTTTTTGCTTCATTTTCCTGATCTCTAAATGGGGACCATTATAATATCTATGTCAGAGAGTTGGTGGCAGGGTTAAAAATGGAGATTGATGCATCTATTTAAATAGATAGATGTAGATACCTTTATCTGTATCAGTCGTTACTTATGATATATATTTATATGTATACGTTTATACATCTATAAAGACATTCATATGTATAATATGTAAAGTCCTTACACAATGCCTGCACATAAAATTTTCAACAAATTGTAAATATCATTATTCCTATTCCCCAGACATTTGAGATAAGAAGGATAAACCGTAAGCTACTATTTCAGCTATTCTTTCTTCACCTCTGGGAACCTGCAGTATACTGCCTTTGTAAAAGGTAGGATCTGTGCCGGGATGTCTGCCAAATGAAGTTCTTTATCTCCAGCCTAAACACAATAGACCACATTCAGTGCACTGGGCTTCAAAATGCAAGCAAGCGAAATGCTCTCCTGCCAGGGCAGCCACACTGTGATGGCTTCGATAATCAGATTCTGGGTTTCTCAAAACCTTCTCCTTAAGAAAACGCTTCCTTTGGTTGATGCCCGTATCAGGGCTCAAGTCACGTTTCGGTCACAAAAGACCCAGGATCTTTAAACTATCACAGCAGCTCTCTGCTACTCTAAGAGGGATTTTAAGCAGACAGTATCTGATCCTTTGATAATTGGAAGTTTGCTTTCAAACAATCAATAAGAAATGTCACAAAGCTCAAATCAGTGCAGCAAATGAATTGGTGATACATAATTTAATAACTAATGTTCAAGAGACAGTTCCCTTTTTACCTTGTAAGGACGTTTAGGCAATTAATCCCAAATGGGAAAAGTATATTTCTAAAATGAGATGGCAACCTGGCCACATTTACAATTTATTGTTTGAGAGGGTTTCCTGAAGTTATCACCAAACGAGTATTAAGCTCAATAAACATGAAGTACAAAAGAGGCTGTACAGGGAAAGCAGAGGCTGGGTACGACTATGGCTGCCTTTAGTGAGATACCACGCACGCACGCACGCACGCACGCACGCACGCACGCACGCACGCACGCTCTTACGCTGTTGCGGACAGCAGCGCCCTGCCTACTGGCCCATCAGGGGGTTGCGTGCGCAGCCTCCTCTGTTTCCGCCCTGAGAGCGGGCTCTTCTGAGTCGGGGAGAATTGGGCATCGTCACGTGCTCTGTCTGCGCCCCGAGTGGCCTCTTCTCCTCCTCCACAGACACCTCGGGGAGGGGTCATCCTTCAGACACGCTGAGCCTAGGCTGCCCGCCCTTCCGCAGCCCCGCCCTGGCCGGCTCCTCGCGGCCCACTAGGCCGGTTCTTCCCCACGTCAGGACCCCGCCACCCCACTCTGCCCCTCCACCCGAGGCTGCCTTATCCTTTTGCTTTCTCTCTTAAATCTGCTGCCCGTTACTGCTATTCTACCCTTTGGTAGGTGTCAACAGATGTTCACACTTTCCTTTCTTTCTGATGGTGGTCAGGAAACCTAGCACTCCACCTAAGGCGAAGAAGCCGGGCGTTTGTCTGTTGTGAGTGAGTGACAAGGGCGGAGGAGGCGTGCCAGGCTGGCTGCAGTACCATTCCCTGAGTCTGGCACTGCCTGAAGGGAGCCCTGCCGGTCACATCAGACGTTCCTAAGGGGCCTGGAGTGAAAGGTGCTTGCAGGGAGCAAGTGAAAGTGGCGCCCCCACCCAGTCTGCCCATTCCACCTCTCTTTATACTGATGAGAGAAGCCAAAGGGAGGCAACAAGGAAAAGAAGAGAAACTGGAAGCTGGGATGATTGACAGACTAGAATGACAGGCTGCTGAAACTGAATGAAACCCCAGAAGTTATCAATTCATCCTTCACTTTTTGAGTTTTTATTGAAGTATGTTATAATTATAGAAAAGTGCACACATTAGACACACAGTTTGGTAAACTTTCATAAACCAACCACAGCCATAGCATCAGCACTCAAATGGAGAAACCAAAAGCGGCAGCACCCTGGGAGCTCCCGGAGCGCTTCTGCTGTCGGACTCCTCCCCGGTAACACATACAGTGTGTCTAACATATATTGGTTTTGCCAGCTTTGTACATTAGCTAAATTGAGTGTCACAGTATGTGTTTATATCTGGTTTCTTTCCTTCAACGTCATGTTTGTGAAATTTATTCACACGGTTGTGTGCAGCTATGTTGTTCCTGCTCACAGCAGTTTTGTGCCCTTGGGTGAAAACACCACATTTTCTATTGGAGGCTGCATAGCTGTCTGAAGTTGCACGTGAGTGTGGGACCCAGCACAGGAGGCCCAACTGGACTCCTGCCCAGTGCTCATGTCACTACCTCACACTACCCACCTTCAACATTAAGTTCTACATGCTATGCTGTGCATACCTGTCACATTCCCTTGAATTAGGACGGAAGCTGGATTCACCCCATGTGCAGAGTGGGGTTAATAAAAGCAAGTTTTGGCAATATACTCCTTCCATGGCACATAAACTTCAAGTCACAAATCTGGATGTGCATAAAGGTGTTAACACCAAGAGTTGGGGTAATATTTCATCTGCTCTGAATGCAATCTCTATTTCTGGATGTATTCATTTGGCAGGGAGTTCTGCCACTTAAGAGCTAGAGTCGATTCTCCAGGGAGGCAAGGGGATTTTTTTCCTGGAGAGCCATCTTGAGACTGAGAATACATCAACGAACTCTGCTCTTAGCAGTACAGGTCAAGTGTTGGAGGCAGTGGAGGTCAATGTCTTGCTGAGCCAATGTGAGCCTTCTGTGGGGCCTGGCAAAGCTAGACATTCCCTCTCTGCAGCTCTGCAACCTTTCTTCCCCCATAACGTGCCTCTCACATCCCGTCCCCAAGGAGCCACTTATTCCCATGACAGGTTTATGGTCTAGTTGAACCAGCTGCCCCTCTGGCCATGTGCACAGTTAGAGAGGCAGGGGCCTCTAGTCATTCTCTCTCCCTCTGCCCTGGCGTCAGCCACAAATTCCAGCAGGCTCATTAAAGTGTCCACCTGTCTGAGCACCTCATCAGAAGGATTCAATGGCTGCAGAACCTCGCTGCTCCCTCCACCTGGAGCGGGGCTGACCCTGCAGTGGCGCGTTTGGCCTGAGCCCCTTTCGTTTTTACCCTCAGGAAGCTTGGGGGCTGCGCAGGCCAGGGCTCTGCCTGGGCTCTGAATGCTGGAGAGAAGGAGGAGAGAGGAAGTGGGAGAGGATGTAGTAGTTTCCCCTGTCTACTTTCTCTACCTTCTTTTCTCCTCTACCCTCCCTTTCCAAGCTCAACTTCCTTGACAGTATTAAGGAAATACCTTTTTTAGTTACCAAAATAAGTTGCTCTGTGGAGAATTTCTGATGATCTCATGGTGATTTTCCTGCACCCGGAAGACACTTTGCTTTGCTTTGGGACCATGGATATTCCTTGGGGCAGCCACCAAGGATGAATAAGGTGGGATTCTTACCATGTCCTCCAGCTCTTCTGAAACTTATCAACAGGGTAGTGTATTTGTTTTACCTCCTTGACAAGTTTGTTTTAAGAATAAAGTAAAATAATATTTCTGAGAGTGATTGAAAGTCCATATTTAGGAGAATGATTTTGTTTACTCTGAGTACAAGAGACATCAAGGAACAAAAAGATTTCCTTACTACCTAGAGAAATTGTTAGCATTGTCACTCTCCTATTGGTTTGCTTTGACTGTGTGGGAGTCAGATCAGCAGAATGGAGAGGGCAGCTGGAGTCAGAATCATGGGCAGGGAAGCCAGCTGGCAGCTCCCATCGTGCCAGGGGACATTCTGGCTTGCTTTATGTCCTCAACAGCTTCCATCCCTTACTGTTCACAGGTGAATGCTTAATAAAGCTTATGGAGGCCCAGTGGGGAATAACTATTAATTAATAAGTACTAATAATTGTGAGCAGCAACAGTTACAAAATGCTCAGGCTAGATCTGGCATTATTCTAAGTGCTTTTTGGTCATTATCTCATTTGATACTCCAAAAACTCTTTGAGATAGGCACATTATTTATTTTATAAACAAGGAAGTTTACGGAAAATAACATATATTGGCTCTAGCCATGGCTGCGGGGGTGAACTTTCTGAAACATTAATTAGCTCTTCTCTATCCCTTGCTCCAAACTTAGAACAGATCTCATTGCCTTCTATAGAAACTTCTGAGAATCAGGATTTGACCATGAGCAATTTGATCCTAGAACCTCTGCTACTAAATTTCATAATATTGTGTTTTATAAAAGTTAAAGAGTGCAGTGAATTGTGGAACATTCATGGTGATTTGATTGCCCTAAAATCAAATCAACTGGGGAAAAGTTGATTTCTAAGGAAAGTACTCCCAGCTCATTTTTTGACCTGATGTCTTCCAGGTTTGAATGGGGAGGCACTGGCCTCGGAGCTCCTTGCTGCTGACATCAGTTGTGCCCTTGTAGGAGACGTCCTGGTCCTGTCTGCCTCAGAGGCTTCCATCTGCGGATTTCCTGAGGTCGTCCCCTTACTCCTCTGCTGCAGTCTCTCTCAACATTTCAACTGTCTGCTCCAGAAAGTTACTCTGTCACTAAGTAAAATAAATACAAACAAAATAAGCAATAATCTACCCCCTTCCTTTCTCCTCTGGTCCCCTCTCTGTCTGCCTGTCACCCCCTCCTCAATGAGAACGTGGATCCCTCGTGGCATTTCTCTGGAGGGATGGCCCAGGCTTTCCCAGCCCATGCACTCTCAGCCAGATCATTTGCCTGCGGTCCCATGGCCGTCTCCAAAATGTGCTCTCCTCCAAAGACTAGTTTTGCTGATTGTCTTTGTTGCAAACTGTTTTTCTCCACACTACGCAATTGGCATTGCCTTTTTCAAAGTATATATTTGTTTTTATTTGCCAAATCCACTTGAATATACTCAGCTTTACTATGGAGTTTGAAGCCTGTGACTGTATCCAATTTATGAAATGTTGTCTCTCTTCCCCGTCCTGTGTGATGTTGCTTTCTCCGTAATTTCCAGTGCTTTTTCCCGATGCATCCCCCCAGGTCTCTTTTGTTCCATTCTGCATTCTCCGTGAGTGTTCTCCTCCAAAACCTCAGGTGCAGTCACCACCAATGCCCCACTATCTCCTGAATCATAATCTATAGCCTCAAAGCTTTTTGTAAACTCCAGTAGCCTGCTGCTCATCTCCAGATGGATGCTCTGCAGAAAACCTAAATGCAAGTTATCTGAGATGGGATTATTGTTCCTCTCGGTTTCCAACTGTAAGCACATTATGCCCCGTCTCCAGCATATGCCCCCACCTTGGCCCTGTGTCTCACCTCCCATCTCCCATCTTCTCTTCTTTCTCTAGTCCCTCTCTTTTCCCCCAGAAAGTAACCTGGGGTTAGTTCTGGAAGCTCCCTTCTCATGACTGCACACCAACTCCTGCCAGCTGGGCTTTATCAGTGCCTCTGCCCTGTCGCTGTCTGAGTCAAACCCTCTGAGAGTCCTGCTTGTGCAGCTGTCACGGCTTCAGCTCTTGCTGTGTCTGCTGGGGTGAGCTTTTTCAAACATTCTTCAGCTCTTCTCTACCTTCTGCTCAAAACCTTAGAACGGGTTTCTGTTGTCTTTAATATAAAATCCTGAGTATGGAAAGCAGAGTCCCATTGACCTTTCCTGTACCATCCCCTGCCAACCTTCCCCAGATGCCACAGGCTCCAGTGAAGGATCATGGTCCATTTGACACCTCCAAGGAGAAGATGCTCGCTGGCACCTCTCTGCCACTGTGTGTGCTGTTCCCTCTTTACAAACTGTTCCTCTCCCACCCTGCACCCTTTTATCCCCCATCATCCTTCAAGGCTCAGATCATGTGGCTCTCTAGGAAACATGTCCTCACTCCTTTACCTTCCCCTACTGGGGTTAAATCCCCACAAACAACACTGGCGACTCTGCTCTGTAATTTTTCACTTCCTTCTCTGTGAAGGAAGGATGTGCCTAGGCTGCCACACAGTACTTAGAATTATAGAGAGAACTAAAATTTGCTTGTGGAAGAAATGATAAAAAGAAACATACCTGGGCTGTGGTCCTCATTTTCCACATTGGATACCTGCCACTGTCCAGAGACGGTGCTCAAAGCTGTGAAGGAAACAGACACGATTAGGACAACAGTGATTCTTTTGAAGACGCTACTTTCCAGTAATGGAACACAGGTAGGAACAGGTATATTATGAGGCAGGATGAAATTAGTTTGCAGACATGTAGTGCACACGTAAGCCTTGTGTTCTGAGTTTCCCCGGCTGTGTAACAAACTACCCCAAAATGTAGTGGCTTAAAACAACCAATTTATTATAGTTCATAATTTTGTGGGTTAGGAATTCATGCAGGGTTCAGCTGGGTGATTCTTCTATTCCTTGTAGTGCTAACTGAGGTCATTTGCTGGTTCTTAGGGGCCAGAGAGGCCAGTCTGGAGGGTCTGAGGTGGCTTCACTTATGTCTGGCACTGCAATAACAATGGTTAGATATCATTACCTAAAATGTAGGATATCACTATCCTAATCCAGAAATCATTATCTAAATCAGGTTCAGGAGCAGGTGAGGCTCCTGGATGTACTTCCTCATATGATGTTGCTCTCACTCTGAAGACTCATGTCCTAAAGAGACACATTTTCTGCCCCCTTCACACCCAGCAGACAGTGGTGGGGCAGATACAGTAAATCTGCAGTTGTTCTCTGTAAATCTACAATAGACACTCCAGTTCAAAAAGCAGGAGAAGGCAGGGATCACAGCAGTTCTGAAATCCAGTCAGGCCCATTCTGCCCATTCCTTAGTGAGGGTTCAGTTATGCTGCCTGGGAATGAGCGTGGCTCCTGGCTCTGCTTCCTGCCTCTGATCATCCTTCCCTTTGTGAGAAATGACCTGTGTCTGCAGCTGGGCAGTTTTCTTAGCTTTTGTTCTGTCCAGAAAAGGCTGTGTACCTGGAGGACTCTTCATCTCAAACAGTCTCTCTTTGTTTATTTTAGTTCAAGTGGATGGTGCATCTACCAGTACAATTATCTTGAAAACTTTGTGGGATTCTATGTTATTTTATATAAATATCTTGCTTTCTATTAGCAAAGGCACACAAATTTCCTCAAGAACTTTTCTGGCTTGGACTGAGAGATAGCTTTCTATAGGCAGACACCCTTGATACTCTTAGAAGCATTTTTCTCTGGTTGAGAACAACTATGAGTGATATATATATGCATGCATTGGAGCCTCCTATTCCTATTGCAGAGCTGTCTATTCCTCCCATTAATGATGCCAGTGTGTGCTTTACATGACTAGGAACTCTGATGTTCGGTACAGGAATATTTGTAAGTGTTTATCTTCTTGGCGAATTGATCATCTGGGCATATGATGCCTCTTATCCTTCGTGTTTTGTATCCGTTTTTGACTCGAAGTTTATTTTGCCTGACATGAGTATTGATACCCCTGCTCTCTTTTGGTTATTATTCGTATAAACTATCCTTTTTTATACTTTCACTTTCAACTTATGTGTCTTTAAATCAAAAGTGTCTCATGATTTCCAGAGCTCCCATAAAGTTCTTTTAGCCCATCTCCAGTGGTTTATTTGGTGTTTCTGTGAAAGCTCAAGGACCTGGAGCTTCCTAGTCCGCCATCTTGCTGACGCCTGTCTCCATTTGTTTGTTGTTAGTGGTCCTCAGGGCTGCTGCCCTTTGGATCATGTTTTGCCTTTTCTTATTTTTTCCTTTTTACCCCATCGCTCATGTTGCTGAGGGTACGTCTGGTTCATCAGCTCTGACGATGGGGTAGTTTTCCTAAATGTGTATCCACCACATTTGATTTATATATTTCCATGGTTGTGCTGAATTCCTGACAGCAGACAACGTTGCAACCATACCCTGATTTCAGCCAGACTTCAGAAAGAGCAACAGTAGGGTTGTACAACCTACCATAGTAGGGTTACTATATACTAGAAGTAATTCTGGAGTGAAGTTATGTGTCTGTCCTTCCTGGAGCTCTGTAGGACATGGGCAGACACTCTGAGGTGACTGGGTAAACTTTGATGAAAGTTAACAGAGTGTTACCCCTCCTCCTGATCTTGACCACAGCATACTATGATTCCAGCCTAGTGTCCTAGATTCCTTGCTATGGAAATCACAATGCTGTAGCTTTGTTTCAAAGCAAATGCCCGCTGGTATGTCTGTGCCATTTGTGTCCTGGTGATGCCCGTTTCTTGCCAGGCATTAGGTAGATCTGAAGGGCTGCTTATGCTACACCTCAACCCACCTCACATTGCCTCCCCACCCTCCTGCGAGCCCAGGCACAGCTCTCCTCACACCGTGGTTTCCCCGTCTATCCAGCTCAGCACAGAGGGCAAGAGGCATGGAGCCAGCACATCTGGATGGAAAAGAGGCAACCTGCCTGATGCCTTTAGATTCTGGTAAGGGAAGATAACCAAAACAGAGTCCAGGTGCTCCAGAAGGGTACAGGCTGGGCTGGCTCACTTATGCAAGGTGCTTCCATCAGGATTAAATAAGCAGATATAAACCTTGCACTAAGGTAACAAGAAACTCAACATTTTTTTTTAATCACCTGAACTTTTGCGATTAGTTCCATTCTACTGGGCTGGCTGAAATTCCAACCTCATTCATTTTCATGGCTCTTCTCAATGAGGTAAAGTTCCCACGGGGTATGTCTTGCCAAAGCCCTGGGGGGCCTTCCAGCCACTGGTTATCTGTTGGTACTGGTCTCTGCAGAAATAGCCCACATCTCAGTCCTTGCAGCCGTTCAGTGCTGAGGGCTTTGGGTGTCTTTATTTATTTATTTTTATTTTATTTATTTATTTATTTATTTATTTATTTATTTATTTATTATACTTTAAGTTCTAGGGTACATGTACACAATGTGCAGGTTTGTTACATATGTATACATGTGCCATGTTGGTGTGTTGCACCCATTAACACATCATTTACATTAGGTATATCTCCTAATGCTATCCCTCCCCCCTCCCCCAACCACAAGAAAGGCCCCGGTGTGTGATGTTCCCCTTCCTGTGTCCAAGTGTTCTCATTGTTCAATTCCCACCTGTGAGTGAGAACATGCGGTGTTTGGTTTTTTGTCCTTGTGATAGTTTGCTGAGAATGATGGTTTCCAGCTTCATCCATGTCCCTACAAAGGACATGAACTCATCCTTTTTTATGGCTGCATAGTATTCCATGCTGCATATATGCCACATTTTCTTAATCCAGTCTATCATTGATGGACATTTGGGTTGGTTGCAAGTCTTTGCTATTGTGAATAGTGCAGCAATGAACATACATATGCATGTGTCTTTATAGCAGCATGATTTATAATCCTTTGGGTATATACCCAGTAATGGGATGGCTGGGTCAAATGGTATTTCTAGTTCTAGATCCTTGAGGAATTGCCACACTGTCTTCCACAATGGTTGAACTAGTTTACAGTCCCACCAACAGTGTAAAAGTGTTCCTATTTCTCCACATCCTTTCCAGCAGCTGTTGTTTCTTGACTTTTTAACAACTGCCATTCTAACTGGTGTGAGATGGTATCTCATTGCGGTTTGATTTGCATTTCTCTGATTGCCAGTAATGATGAGCATTTTCTCATGTGTGTTTTGGCTGCATAAATGTCTTCTTTTGAGAAGTGTCTGTTCATATCCTTTGCCCCCTTTTTGATGGGATTGTTTTTTTCTTGTAAATTTGTTTGAGTTCTTTGTAGATTCTGGATATTCGCCCTTTGTCAGATGAGTAGATTGCAAAAATTTTCTCCCACTCTGTAGGTTGCCTGTTCACTCCGATGGTAGTTTCTTTTGCTGTGCAGAAGCTCCTTAGTTTAATTAGATCCCATTTGTCAATTTTGGCTTTTGTTGCCATTGCTTTTGGTGTTTTAGACATGAAGTCCTTGCCCATGCCTATGTCCTGAATGGTATTGCCTAGGTTTTCTTCTAGAGTTTTTATGGTTTTAGGTCTAACATTTAAGTCTTTAAACGATCTTGGATTAATTTTTGTATAAGGTGTAAGGAAGGGATCCAGTTTCAGCTTTCTACATATGGCTAGCCAGTTTTCCCAGCACCATTTATTAAATAAGGAATCTTTTCCCCATTTCTTGGTTTTGTCAGGTTTCTCAAAGATCAGATGGTTGTAGATGTGTGGTATTATTTCTGAGAGTTCCGTTCTGTTCCATTGGTCTATATCTCTGTTTTGGTACCAGTACCATGCTGTTTTGGTTACTGTAGCCTTGTAGTATAGTTTGAAGCAAGGTAGCATGATGCCTCCAGCTTTGTTCTTTTGGCTTAGGATTGACTTGGCAATGCAGGCTCTTTTTTGGTTCCATATGAACTTTAAAGTAGTTTTTTCCAATTCTGTGAAGAAAGTCATTGGTAGCTTGATGGGGATGGCATTGAATCTATACATTACCTTGGACAGTATGGCCATTTTCATGATATTGATTCTTCCTATCCATGAGCATGGAATGTTCTTCTATTTGTTTGTGTCCTCTTTTATTTCATTGAGCAGTGGTTTGTAGTTCTTCTTGAAGAGGTCCTTCGCATCCCTTGTAAGTTGGATTCCTAGGTATTTTATTCTCTTTGAAGCAATTGTGAATGGGAGTTCACTCATGATTTGGCTCTCTGTTTGTCTGTTATTTGTGTATAAGAATGCTTGTGATTTTTGCAATTGATTTTGTATCCTGAGACTTTGCTGAAGTTGCTTATCAGCTTAAGGAGATTTTGGGCTGAGACGATGGGGTTTTCTAAATATACAATCATGTCATCTGCAAACAGGGACAATTTGACTTCCTCTTTTCCTAATTGAATACCCTTTATTTCTTTCTCCTGCCTGATTGCCCTGGCCAGAACTTCCAACACTATGTTGAATAGGAGTGGTGAGAGAGGCATCCCTGTCTTCTGCCAGTTTTCAAAGGGAATGCTTCCAGTTTTTGCCCATTCAGTATGATATTGGCTGTGGGTTTGTCATGGATAGCTCTTATTATTTTGAGATACATCCCATCAATACCTAATTTATTGAGAGTTTTTAGCATGAAGGGCTGTTGAATTTTGTCAAAGGCCTTTTCTGTATCTTTTGAGATAATCATGTGGTTTTTGTCTTTGGTTCTGTTTATATGCTGGATTATGTTTATTGATTTGCATATGTTGAACCATCCTTTCATCCGAGGGATGAAGCCCACTTGATCATGGTGGATAAGCTTTTTGATGTGCTGCTGGATTCGGTTTGCCAGTATTTTATTGAGGATTTTTGCATCGATGTTCATCAGGGATATTAGTCTAAAATTCTCTTTTTTTGTTGTGTCTCTGCCCAGCTTTGGTATCAGGATGATGCTGGCCTCATAAAATGAGTTAGGGAGGAGTCCCTCTTTTTCTATTGATTGGAATAGTTTCAGAAGGAATGGTACCAGCTCCTCCTTGTACCTCTGGTAGAATTTGGCTGTGAATCTGTCTGGTCCTGGACTTTTTTGGTTGGTAGGCTATTAATTATTGCCCCAATTTCAGAGCCTGTTATTGGTCTATTCAGAGATTCAGCTTCTTCCTGGTTTAGTCTTGGGAGGGTGTATGTGTCCAGGAATTTATCCATTTCTTCTAGATTTTCTAGTTTATTTGCGTAGAGGTGTTTACAGTATTCTCTGGTGGTAGTTTGTATTTCTGTGGGATCGGTGGTGATATCCCCTTTTATCATGTTTATTTCGTCTATTTGATTCTTCTCTCTGTTCTTCTTTATTACTCTTGGTAGCGGTCTATCAATTTTGTTGATCTTTTCAAAAAACCAGCTCCTGGATTCATTGATTTTTTGAAGGGTTTTTTGTGTCTCTATCTCCTTCCGTTCTGCTCTGATCTTAGTTATTTCCTGCCTTCTGCTACCTTTTGAATGTGTTTGCTCTTGCTTCTCTAGTTCTTTTAATTGTGATGTTAGGGTGTCAATTTTAGACCTTTCCTGCTTTCTCTTGTGGGCATTTAGTGCTATAAATTTCCCTCTGCACACTGCTTTAAATGTGTTCCAGAGATTCTGGTATGTTATGTTGTGTCTTTGTTCTCACTGGTTTCAAAGAACATCTTTATTTCTGCCTTCATTTCGTTATGTACCCAGTAGTCATTCAGGAGCAGGTTGTTCAGTTTCCATGTAGTTGAACGGTTTTGAGTGAATTTCTTAATCCTGAGTTCTAGTTTGATTGCACTGTGGTCTGAGAGACAGTTTGTTATAATTTCTGTTCTTTTACATTTGCTGAGGAGTGCTTTACTTCCAACTATGTGGTCAATTTTGGAATAAGTGCGGTGTGGTGCTGAGAAGAATGTATATTCTGTTGATTTGGGGAGGAGAGTTCTGTAGATGACTATTAGGTCTGCTTGGTGCAGAGCTGAGTTCAATTCCTGGATATCCTTGTTAACTTTCTGTCTCATTGATCTGTCTAATGTTGACAGTGGGGTGTTAAAGTCTCCCATTATTATTGTGGATGCCTTTATAGAACTGATGCTGTAGGCAGCATGCCTCTGCTCTCCACCCATCTTCCTTAGACATCTCCCCCGGGTTGAGACCGGCTGTTCCAGCTGCATGCCTCCATGTCTCTCCTCCCAATCTGTCTTCTCAGCCACCACCTGTTCTCCACATCTCCCCCTCTTTCTCCCTGACCTAGGTACTTAGCAGCATTTTTTAAATTGGTGGCATCTTTTACAATGGACAGGAATAGTAATTAATGACAGCCTTCTTTTGCTTTTTATCTTGAGAAAAAAACCAGCCATTGAATGGTAGCTAGAAAAGGGCCTGACTCTGCCTGAATAGGTGAGTGGGATGGGGAGGAAAAAAAGTTAGAATACAGCACAAATTACTATTTTAAGATATGATTGTGTCTCATTGATAAATCACAAAGTGAGCCAAGGTGTGGAGAGGAAACGCTCTGCCTTTTAGAGAGAACCGAGTTCCATTCACAGCCCTGCTTCCCACTAGCTGAGAGACTGCGTAAGTTCCCTCACACCGGGAGTCTGCATTTCCCTATGTAGCATAAGGGTGTGTTAGGTGGTTATGAGGATTTGGTGAGACATTTTGTGGCACGGTGACGCACACTGACTGCTTCCTCCAGCTTCACTAGATACACGGTCCTGGCATAAGTCAAATGTGAGCAGATCATCAAATCCTTGCTGTTGATTTACAAGTGTTCAGCAAGGCTAGGAAGAAAGTCAGCCTCCGCAGCTGCACAGGGGATGGGTTTTCTGGTGGGAGGCAGCAGCGGTCTCGCTACCTTGTGGTGGTGAACAGCACTGTCACCTGGCAGCAGTCTCTGGCTTTGCTTCACTGGGACACCGGTCCTGGCAGATAAGACAATGTGATTGAAGCAGGTCTGGGCTGAGGCTAGGAGGTATTACTTTTTACAGAGATTCTATCGTTTTTTTTGAATCAGTGGCAACTGCACTGTGGCCACACTCCTGAGTCTGGGCCCTGCCTCTGCTGGGGGCCCTGCAGGTGCTTCCTGTGATCCTGCCTATCTGGAGGGGATGCTTTGCTCACCCCAGGCATTGATAGGGGCCCCTGGAATCCTCTTCCAGATCAGCCCTGAGAGTCAGAGTGGGTGCCAGAGCAGACAGGAAGGCACCTCGTGGCTAAGATGGCATGACTAAGTGTGGCCCGAGCGGAGACGGGGCGTTAACCCTCGTGCTTTCTGCATCCCTCACAGGTAAATACACAAATAGGAATGTACTCAGGGATGTTGCTTTGCTTCCGTGCTGGCTGGAATGATTAGATTATAAACTCCGAGCCTCAGAGCTGACTTCTGAGATTGGACCGGGGAGATTTGAGAGCTGAGAACAGCATTGTCTGTTGGATGCCAGGCTTTCAGATCCCAGGGAGGCCATGTGGGGCCATGAGAGCTGGAGGAGGGCCTGAGGCCATGACTTGGAGGCTCAACGTTTTCCCTATTGCCCCTGATGTGCCCGTCCTTCTTGGCCTCCTGCCCCCGTCCTTCCTTCCCACATGACCATACCCAACCCCGGATGGGGGCTGCCAAAGCCCCCGCAGGCCGGTGCTGGTGCTGCTGTCCACACAGGCAAGCTCCTGTGTGAGCCCCGAGGGACCAAGCTGCCTCGTGTGAGCTGTGATCCTGCAGGCGGGAGACAGATGCAGATGGACTGAGAGTGGGGGAGATGGGGGTTACACATGGTTGGACCATTGGCCGGCTGGGCACGGGCATTTATTGGGCGTCAACAGGGCCTGCACAGGCTGGGTGCCACCTGGAGTGTGGGGTAGGGTGATGAAAAGCAAATGGAGAAAAGCAATCTCTGCACCTGGGGAGAGGCCGCGCTGTCTGTGAGACAGGATGAGCACAGAGGCAGGACATGAGGATAAGTGTGGGCCTGAATCCAGTTTGTTGGCACTTTGGCCTCAGGGGGCCTGAGGAGCATGACTGGCTGACTGCTCAGTCAGCTCAGAGCAGGGGGTTTAGGGGCAACTTATAAAGTCTCCCCCGAGATGGGAACGTGGCGTCCAGATCTCATGCTGGATGCAAACTTACAAATCACCAGTCCCTTCTGAGGCTGAAGTCTCTTTAAGGATTTTGGTATTTTCAGTGTAAACCCTGGATGTATTTCAAACAGATGGGTTTTGGAAGGCTCTGTGGCATTTTGTGAGTGTAGCTATGGGAACACACGTTAAGTATATCTCTGTGCGGGAGGGTAGAGTGTTGCTCCACCCTTCTCTCTGCTCCCAGGCTTCGGCAGCTCACACAAGGTGGGAGTAGGGTCCTCCCGTGTGTCCCAAGCTCCCCGCCAGCCTTGCGTCTCGACAGCTCCGCAGTGCGGAAAACTCACCTGTCCAGCTCTGCGTCTGTCACTGTCAGGCTCCTGAGAAGGGGCCCCCTGCTGGATGGAAGAAGGGCAAGGCATGACCGGCAGATCCGCTGTACACGTCTCGCCCTAGTTTTCCCACGAGCAAACCTTTTTCAGGATTCAGGGCAGGTGTGGGATTATCATCTCCAATGTAACTCCCAATGCTGGCATTCTGTGGTCATATCATGCCAACTACTATACCCAGGTGCTGCTCTGTGACCAGGGAGGCTCAGGAATTGGGCACAAGCAATCTCGGGAAATACCTTTTGAGGATTAAATTGCAGTCGGACAGGTGGCAGAAACGTAGACATTCCATTTGTGATCACAAAAAAGATGAGGTTGGCAACACACCCAGAGAGAGGCTCATGGGACAGAAGAGAAGCAGCTCCTCACCTGACCTCAGCTGAGGTCACCAGGTGTGCTGTGGAAGCTCCCTCACCTGGGTCATTCAAAAGAGAAGAAAGTCCTTTGCATATGCTCTCTCTGTCTCTGTCTCTCTCTGTCTCTGTCTCACACACACACACACACACACACACACACACCAGCACCACACCACATAAAGAGTCAATTAGAGCTGACACCACTGAGTCCAAGCAGCCAGTGCAGAAGCACCTGGGGAGAAGTTACTGCTGCTGTCTGGCCTGAGGTCTCCCTCACCATCATCCAGCCAGAGTCTGCGGATCCCTGAGGGCCAGGGCAGCTGCATTGAAACTTTGCTGAGCACTAGCAGGCACAAGAGGGACTGATACACTGGACGCACTAAGATGAAAAATTGGAAGCTACTTTTGCTTTGAAAAAGAAAAGAAGAAAACCAAACCCTTGAACATGAACACACCAAAATGCTCCTGCAGCTGCATTCCCTGCGAACAACACATTTGCCCTCGGTTACTACCCTCAGTTAAATCTGTTAGTTGTTGTTTAAAGCTGGATTTTTTAAAAAAGCATGAAGATAAACTCTCTCTATTGTAACTGTGGGTGGATATTTACTTGAAGAACAGATCAATAGCTCGACTCTTCCTTTTCATAGACAGGTCTTGTTAAATCCTACCTCCGTGATGTGGTGTTCTCCGCTGTTGTTCAAGACCCAGGAAGCCCCCGGTGGCGTGGGTTCTGCTTCTGGAGTTGCACATTGGCCACACATCCGGTCTCCATCCCCCTTGGCTCTTTGACCACTGGCCACGCAGTTAACACCCCTAAGACTCAGTTTCCTCCTCTGTAAAATGGGAAGAATAACTCCTTTCTTTCAGTGTGAGAGTGAGTGTTAGCAAACGAATCTCTGTCACGTGGCTAGTGCTCGATAATTGTGGCCGTAATGATAACAAAACCACAATTCCGTCAGGCTCCCTCCAAGGGGAGGCTGTGGCAAGACGACTTCTGCTCCCTGGCGGTGAGTGAAGCTCAGACGCTTAGATGGGATTTCAGTGGAGAGCTAGTCTCCTCAGGAAACCTGTGAGCTCCCTCACCACAGGAAAAGAGATTAAAATGTGCCCTATATGGGCATACAGAGCTTAAAATGTGCCCGATATGGGTATAAACTGAATTAGACCGGGGCCTACTGTGGGCCTGCTGGAGCCCAAGGCAACCCCTGCCCAAGCTTCTCCCACTCCATGCAGGACCTGGGGGAAGGGTCGCTGGCAGCATGTTCCCAGCTGTGCCTTCGGGCTCTGGCAGCAGAAGGGGAGGCCAGGTCTCTCCGAGAGCCCCCAGGTGCTGCTTCAGGAGCAGATGGGAAACAGTGAATCCTGAGTCCTACCCTGGAGGGACTGGCCACCTCCCATTTGACAGCCTGCTTTGTCCCCAGGCTTTGTTGTCTGCCCATGGCTAATTCTTAATCTACTTCTTTTCTCTGGACATATTGAATAAAAAAACCCCAGTGATCCTTTCAGTATTTAAGTGCTGCACAACCCAGGGGGGCAGGTCCCAGGAGGAGGCAAGTTGCTTATTTCAAAGCCACAACCTCCTGGAGTCTCCAGGACCTCGATTCCTCTCCTCCCTGCCATGCAGGCAACTGAGGGGTGACTTCAGATGGAAGACATGTGTCCCTCCTCCCGTGGTGGCTGGGGCAGCAGGGGTGACTCCCGCCCTGGGCCTGGTGGAGATCAGTCCTGCAGGACTCAGGGTCCTCAGCACAGCGGTGCCCACCGCAGGCTCTTCTGAGGAGCCATGCTGCATTCTCCCCGTTGTGTGTCTCTGGGGCCGATTGACCTTTTGCTCCAGCCCAGTCGTGGCTGTGGGACCAATGCTGCAAGCACTCAGGTCAACCTCAGGAGGCCTGAGTTCACAGCACCTCACATCCGTGCTGGCCCTGGGAGTCTAGGTAAGAAAGAGGGTGAAATGCCCTGAGACCAGAGTGGAGCCCACCGGGGCCATCTGGAAGTGTGAGGGAAGTATGTGCCCTGGGTAAGATGCCAGCTTGAGGGAGACAGAAGGGGGATACAGTCTCACCTTTTCCCAGCTGAGACATGGTCTTGAGGTGACGTTTGTATGGCGTGTCAGGGATGGTCCCGGGTACACTTAAGTCATAACATCCACCGGTCAGCTCCATGACACGTGTGTGTGGCCCTGCTCCTGCCCACTTCACTTCCCTCATCTGAAGACTGTGCTCCTTAGTAAGGCAACAGCGTGTAAGCCCTGGCCTCGGACTCTGCTTTTTGGGAAATATGAGCTGAAGCATCGTCTTCATCTAAATGGGTTGGTCTCCTGCAAGCTACTCCAGATCACGGTTCCTGATAAACTCCCAGGCCTCTCAGTGTCCCCTGCCTGGCCTGAGGGGCCCGTGGCCTTGGCCAGCCGTGGGTCACATTGCATGACCCGGTGCTCTGTGAGCTGCCTGTGTGGGCAGGGACAACGGCACTCTGGGCTTCCACGCACCGGGCTCTCCTGTTACGCAGCGCCCCCGCCCCCACCCCGCCCAGGACTTCTCCTCTTTATTTTGAGATATTTTTCTTTGGTTCTGATTCCCAGGCTGCTTTCTGGCTACACAACTCTGTCTCCTCCAGACCAGAATTCTGGTTCCCGTGCTGGGTCTCGGGGACCATGGTGAACGCTGCCTGTCATGGAAACTTCAGAGGGCTTCCCACTCATCGTGTGACTGTCTTAAAGCAAGTGACAGCAAGTGCTGGGCGGAGCCTCAGATTACCTGGTGTAGCAAGACCCACTTTCTGATATGGAGAAAACAAGAAAATTTAGGTGCAGAGGACTGAGGAGCAGGTGCAGGGGCCATGCACAGTGGGCCTGGAACCTCCTGTGATCCGCCAGCACCTGCAGGAGATGGGCCACACTCCATCACACGGTTGGTACTGAGCCCAAAGATATGAGAAGCAGGCCATGGTGACCAAGAGGAGGTGAGGCCTGCCTGTGTGCGGTGAGGCACAGGGAGTGCTGAATGGAAGCAAAACACACAGGGACCTCCTGCCGGGAGTGGGCAGGAAGGAGAGGCAGATTCACCCACACCGAATGATGTCGCTGAGGCTCTCTCTGGGGTTATGCTAAAGGGCCTCATAGAACCAAACAGCAATGATTTCCTGGGTCTCTCATCCTGGAACCCCAATAAATTAGTGGCCTCTAATATCTGAATGTGCATACCCCATTAAAATTATAAGTGGCTTCTCCTGCTCTAGGGAGCTTACAGGCAGATGGAGGGGCAGGCGAGGCTGTCTCAGGAGAGGCGAAGCTCTAGGCTGGACATGCACACTGGGACTAGAATTCAGTGACGGATGAACTCTGGGATGTTGAGGCACATGTAGGGTGCAGAGGAGGCCAGGGCTCTGCAGTAGGACCATACCCTTGATTCTGGAGAGGGCCTCCATCAGCAGCTGGATGTCACTGGCTAAGAACCTTTGTTGGGGCTCTGCCACCCACATTTGTCTTGACCTTGAATGAGCCACTCCTCTCCAGGGTGTGTGCATTTGGGCTATGCCTCCTTCAGAGGTGGCCGCAGGTGGACTGGCCCTTTGAACACAGGTTCATGGTTGAACACAGGTTCATGGAAAAGGAAGAATCCTTCATTTTCATCCCCTATTCAGCCATCAGCAGGGCCCAGAGCCCTTCTCCATGTTGCTTGTGCAAACACAGTGTTTCCAGCTCATAAGGCAGGGCGGTTCCTGGATTTGCAGCCCCAGGACTCTCCACCAGCTCAAGCACACCTTGGTTTCGTAGGTGTCAGCTGCCTTCATTGCATCATAATTCATGCTTGCTGATCTTTACTTGATAGGCATTTTAACAGTCTTGGAGCCGTGTGACTTGCAAAAGGCCCAGTTAAAAGGGACTCAGATGAGGCCTTGGAGCCTGCAGCTTCACCCAGGAGCACCTGTGAGTGGTGCGAGAGGGGCAGACAGTGAGAACAGAGGGCTGGGGCCTGGGGAAGTTCTTGGGAGCCCCCGTCGCCCCTTCGTGCTTTCTCTCCCCTTGGTGCTTTCACAACCTCTTTCCAGGTGTGCTGGGTGCCCAGGGGCTTTCGCTTTCCCAGGGTCTGGATTTCCGGGTTGTGCCCCTGTTTTATCTTTACTGGGTTTCTCCCAACGGTAAGGTATGTTTCCTTCATTTTCCATTCCAGCAGGATACTGCTTTTGGCTTGCTGTCCAATGCTGGGGAAAATGAAAGCATTAACTCACAAGGCAAGTTCCAAAGGTGCAGGGCGGCTTCTGGAATATATGGCCCTGAGGGTAGCAGACACATGGGAGGGAAGGTATGAAATCCAAATATGGATTCTTATGAGGAATTTCAGGTATTCTGGCAGGCTGACAGCTGAAATATTTAATTGAAAAAATATTTCCCAGCTTCCTCAATTCACAGCACAGAGTTCTGCCCTCTCAGCCTAAACAAGAGGCAGGCCCTCCTGGTGGCTGCCCCTCTCCTGAATGCCTCACAGGAGCCTGTCTCAGTCTGGGGCTGTGCTGAGCTACCTCTTAGCAGTTTCTTTAGTCATTTTAAGGTAGGGTTTCCTGGGTCAGCCAGAGACGTGCATATCTAAAAGTCTCTTATGTCTGCATGGCTAAAGGCTCATGATTTGTAAGGCTAATGAGGTTTATAGAACATTTAACAGAGTTTTTTGAAAATTTGGAAACAATGCAGCCGTTATCTTTGAGAGCATCCTTGCCCTTGAGTTTCCCAGCTGAGATCTCCTCCCTGGGGTCTGGCTTCTCTCATCTCTTTGAATTGCACACAGGCTTCCAGTGGACAGCACCTGCTGCTCTGCCAGCCCCAGCCAAACCTCTCCTTGCTCAGTTTTATCCTGTTCCTAGGAGGAAACTGGTCTTTCCTTGGCCTTAATAAAAGCCCAAATCCATGCACTTCACAAGACCAGTCCCCAGCTGGCCCTTTTCCATGGTTTAGAATCTTTGGCCAAAAGTTGACTGTGTTTGTCATCTCCTGCTGGACTGTCGGCTCTGGGGCTAGAAAAGCCTGGAGAGATGGGTAAGAGCCAGGACAAAGAAACAGAAGACTTTTCTTGCAAAGAATAAAAGGTATGTATTCATTTATTTAATAACCATTGATGATGTGCCTGCATGGTGCTGCACATACCTTGGGGAGGAGGGGCAGAGGCTTTGCGCCTAGACGACTCAGCATGTAGCTTAACAAAGAAATAACCTGGAGAACAATAGCCCACAGTGTGGGGCTCCGGCATGCTGAGCACTGGAGCTAAAGGAGCCTGGCAGGCTTCAGAAGCCGAGCTCTGAGTGCCTCTGCCTCAGACCCGTTCCCTGCTGACGTGAGTCACAGAAGCCAGAATCCTCTTCCCCATGGCAGCCATGGAAGCAAGGACCTCCTCTCCCACAAAGCGAGCCCTGAAACCTAGTGAGAAAGAAAATAAAGTTTCAATCTGAGGAACATGAGAAATTATCAGGCCTTGGGAGGTGTTAAAATGAGAGAGGAGTCATGCCGCAGGCACCTTGAGGTAAGTAATCATTTCAAAGCCACCTGGTGTGTGGACTCAGGACTGAGTGTTGCCACCAGTAGCTATAAATTAATCTAACAAGAATGGCCATCCTACACTGGACACCATAACTCACATCCTGTCATTCAACAATATATAACCAATAACTAATCAATGTCATTTCTGCAAGCCAATTAGAATTCCTGACCAACAACTTGTGTAATCACCCCCTTTCCTGATTCATCCTTTTTTCTTTAAAAATTTGAGCCTCTCCTTTGTTCCCTGAGCACTTCACAGTGTGTCCCGGACTGTGAAGTGCTCAACCTTGGCCCAAATAAACTCTCTGCATTAAATTTGCCACAGTTTCCTTCTTTACGTAGACAATAGACAAGTGTAAACCAAAAGGTATCTGAGACAGGTCCGCATCCACTTAGAGGTTTGTTTTGTCCAACCACCTCGGGTACACATGCCATGGGCCATGACACAGCCTCAGAAGAACGTGTGCCCAAGGTGGTCTGGTGATAGCTTGGTTTTCTACATTTTGGGGAGACAGAAGTTCCAGGCCAAGATATAAATCAATACTTGTATGATGTACATTGGCAAGCCCAGAGAGGCAGGACAGCTCGAAGAAGGGGGCTTCCAGGTCAAGGGGGGTTCAAAGATGTGCTGATTGGTAGCTGTTTGAAAGAGTTAAGTCCTGCTTGGAGAGTGAAACTCAGCATAAAGAAATGCTTAAGTTTACATAAGGGGGTTGTGGAAGACAAGGTTCTTGTCTTATAGTTGAAGCCTCCAGGTAGCAGGCTTCAGAGAGAATAGATGTGGAAGGTCTCTTATCACACCTCAAAAGGTGTCAGACTCTCTGGAAAGACCTAGTAAGGGAAGGAGACTCTCTATAGAATGTAGATTTACCCCACAAGAGACAGCTTTGCAGAACCGCTTCAACATCTTCGACATATGTCAAATAAATGTATTTTGGGATAAAATACTTTGACTTCTTCCAGGGCCTGCTATGTGTCATATGATGCTATACCAGAGTCAGGCTAGAATTTGGAATCTCATGGCTACAAAGAGTCTGCTTGTCTGTCTTCAGATCTCTGTTTTTGTGTTAGTGCCGATCAGTTGTGTCTAAACTCCAAAGGGAAGAGGGGATAGCGAGGCGTGTCTGATCCCCTCTTCTGGTTACATCCTGAACTAGCTTTTCAGGTTTCTTGGAGGTCCGCTAAGCCAAGAGGAGGGTCTATACAGTCGGTGGGGTCTCAGAATTTTATTTTTGGTTACAAAGTTCACTCTCTCCCTTCTCCCTTGAGAGCCCTCATTCCAGAGGGGTCCTGCCCATACCCAGGAGGCCGAAATGCTATGCAGAAAAGCCAAGAAGAAGCCACACAGACAGGCCTTGGAGGCCTCCGTGTAGCACCACAGACCATCCCCCTTTGTCCAAGCACATTTCTCCACAGTGTCCATTCTTCATGGAACCTAAGGATACAAACAGATGGTTCCCCTGCAGCTTCAGATCTTCATTTCTCAAGGCACCTGTATTATATGAAACTTTAAGTAAATCTGTTATGCTTTTCTCTCGTCAGCCTGTCTTCTGTTGTAGGAGTGTCAGCTGTGAGCCTTAGGATGAGTGAGTAAAGGCATCACACCCTTCTGCCACTACATCTGCATAGACACGTTTTCTTTGGATACGTCCACAACAAAACTTTTCCTTGTAAATTTCCATGTGTGAATGAGGTCAGTCGTGGGAGTGATGCTGAAGCACATCTGGCATGTCGTGGTGGCTGATTAAAGGCAGAGCCAGGCCCACTCACCTGATGCACATCACACTCCTGACACGTCCTGGTGGCTGTATTAAAGGCAGCCAACCCAGGCCCGCTCAGATGCCCGGCGGTAACCTGATGCACATCACACTCTTCTCACAGATCCCAGGAAGGAAACCAACGAGGGTCATGCATTACAGGGCATGAGAGAATTACAGACTCTGAAGTTTGTAAGGGCAACTTAAGTGGTTTTCAAGGACATTATCTATACTCCAGGAAGCACTGCAACCATCATTTTACACAGAAAAAGCAATTCTGGTCGACTACAAAAAGCCTCCACTGCCCAGAATATAATCTGATCACCTCCTGCACAAGTTCTGGTGTCAGACTCCAGAAAGTGCAGTCTGTCTGGTACATACAACCTGGGAATCAAAAGTAAAGTGGTTTCTACTTATTTGAACCATGAACTGTACACACGAAAACCCTTCTTTCACTTAGGATTAAAGTGTTTTCTTTCAAATGCCTCTTGAGTGACTTGCTATCAATTCAGAAAGCCCAGCTGTCCAGCAGACAGCAAAGAAAAACAACCTAGCTTTGTCTTGGGAAAAAAACTCATCTTCCTGTCTCCCGTTATGGTTCTGCACAGAAAGTCAAGTACCTTTCCCAGACACCACACAGAGTGTGAATGCAGGAACTAAACCCTTCTGCAAAGACATGGGATGGTTTTATTGAAAAATAACAGTGCATTTTTAATGTTTTGCTTCTATATTTTATAACAACTCCTTGGTAGCTGACGCCCGCTCCCTTTCCAATGTTCTGTGCCTTTCCTCCTTCCTCTGCTCCCTCAGATGGAACGGAGCTGGCTGCCTCTGTTCCAAGAAGCCTGCGGCTGAGTGCGGGCTTGACATGAGATATTTATCATCTCAGGATGTCTTCGCTCAGATCGCTGGCTCTCCACCCCCAGACTTCTTTATCTTATTTTGCTAAACAAGATGAGTTTCTGTCATTGCTGGAAGTAATTGCCTTGTTTTTTAATATATATCAAGGCCCAGGTTAACAACTGGACAATGCAATGCATTTGTTATTCCCTCTCTCTCCTGTTTATTCTAGTGTGAAATTGTTTTCCAGGTAGTGATTAATTCTGCCAAAGCTTCCTGCCCTTGCTGGGTAATTTGCTGTATTTGGGAAGAAGATGCTAACTGCGCGGCTCTGCCATCAGAGGTGTCGTTACTGTTTTGTCAAACACTAGCTCCTCCATTGTCTTCTGCCAATCAGCCAAGCCTGTGGTCCTTTATTCATTTCCTGTTTCTGAGTTTTCTGTGGGGAGGACTGAAGCTGAGTCTTCGGGGGAGACTGTGTCAGGAGGCTGGGGTGGGCTGGAGAGGGCCCCCCAGCGGTGGCTCCAAAGCATCTCCGCAGCGATGGAGAACTGGGGTTCGTGGGCAGAGTGGTGAGCGACGGAGAACTGGGGTTCGTGGGCAGAGTGGTGAGCGACGGAGAACTGGGGTTCGTGGGCAGAGTGGTGAGCGACGCAGAGCTGGGGTTCATGGGCAGAGTGGTGAGCGACGGAGAACTGGGGTTCGTGGGCAGAGTGGTGAGCGACGGAGAGCTGGGGTTCATGGGCAGAGTGGTGAGCGACGGAGAACTGGGGTTCGTGGGCAGAGTGGTGAGCGACGGAGAGCTGGGGTTCGTGGGCAGAGTGGTGAGCGACGCAGAGCTGGGGTTCGTGGGCAGAGTGGTGAGCGACGGAGAACTGGGGTTCGTGAGCAGAGTGGTGAGCGACGGAGAGCTGGGGTTCATGGGCAGAGTGGTGAGCGACGGAGAACTGGGGTTCGTGGGCAGAGTGGTGAGCGACGGAGAACTGGGGTTCGTGGGCAGAGTGGTGAGCGACGGAGAACTGGGGTTCGTGGGCAGAGTGGTGAGTGACGGAGAACTGGGGTTCGTGAGCAGAGTGGTGAGCGACGCAGAGCTGGGGTTCATGGGCAGAGTGGTGAGCGACGGAGAACTGGGGTTCGTGGGCAGAGTGGTGAGCGACGCAGAGCTGGGGTTCGTGGGCAGAGTGGTGAGCGACGGAGAACTGGGGTTCGTGGGCAGAGTGGTGAGCGACGCAGAGCTGGGGTTCATGGGCAGAGTGGTGAGCGACGGAGAACTGGGGTTCGTGGGCAGAGTGGTGAGCGACGGAGAACTGGGGTTCGTGGGCAGAGTGGTTGGCTGCCCCACTGTCAGCCTGTTCTGAAAGTAGGAATGACCCTCAGCTGAGCTGAGATGTTGCTGGTGGAGACTCTAAGACTGTGGATTCTGACTCCCTGGGCTCAGGAAGGACGGTGCTGGGAACAAGGTGCAGACAAGGCACGACGAAGCTGGAGTGCCTCATACCACCCCCATGAAAGCGACGAAGGACTCCCAGAACCATTCCTGGGGGCCCGTGGGAACGAGGACTTTGGGGGCACAAGGACGAGCTGAAGAAGTCTTCCTGATTGTGGTTGTCAGAGGGAGGACATGGCATCGTGGTGGGCCAGAGTATCGGCCTCAACACCACCCACTTTTCAGGCTGCAGTCTCCACCGTGGCCGCTGTGTGCATTGGAGGGCACTTGGCAGCATCCCCAGCCTCCCCACTAGAAAACCAGATGCCAGGAGCATATGCGCCCCTCCTCAAGGTGCAACCACCAGAAACGACGCCAGACATTGCCAAATGTCCCTTGAGGGTGGGGACAAATGCCCCTCATCCCCCTTGAGGACTGCAGCTGGAACTCAATGAAGAGCAGCGGTAAGTGTCTCTTGAAGGGTCTGTCCACGGCCATCCGGGTGGCTTCATGGTACACGGGAGCCCATGTGGGATCCTGAAGTCAGAGTCCAGGACTGGGCCTTGGCTCAGTTATCAGCTGCAAGGTCTTGGAGAAAATCATTAACGGAGCTGCACAGTTTTCTGGGGAGTGGAAAGGCTGTGGAAACGGCAGTGAGCCATGGAATCACAGGATAAACAAGAAAAAGGGCACTTCCCCCTCTCCCTCCCTCCCCTGTGTGGACTCCAGCAGAAGGCTCCTGGGAATGTGTCCTCTGTCCTCAGTGCTCAGTTACATGAGCGGCACCTCCACTCTCCCCAGATGGTGTCCTGTTCTGTGCTGAGCTCTGCACTGAGAGTTCTGCCCTGAGGTCATCCCTTCACATCCCAGGCTGGTGCTGGCATGGGCCTGTCCCTGGGCTCTGCCTGGCTCCTGTACCTGCCCCTCCACGAGAGGCCACTCCATCTCCTCCCCAGGCCCCTCCACCTGGCACAGACACCCTCTGCCCCTGTGAGACTTTGCCCCTCTCTGCCTGCGTCCCTGTCACCACTCCTCCATCAGCACAACCACAGCACCTGTGGGATCTCCTGGGAGGGACAGGAGGCACAGGCAGTCATCACCTGTGGGATCTCCTGGGAGGGACAGGAGGCACAGGCGGTCATCACCTGTGGGATCTCCTGGGAGGGACAGGAGGCACAGGCGGTCATCACCTGTGGGATCTCCTGGGAGGGACAGGAGGCACAGGCGGTCATCACCTGTGGGATCTCCTGGGAGGGACAGGAGGCACAGGCGGTCATCACCTGTGGGATCTCCTGGGAGGGACAGGAGGCACAGGCGGTCATCACCTGTGGGATCTCCTGGGAGGGACAGGAGGCACAGGCGGTCATCACCTGTGGGATCTCCTGGGAGGGACAGGAGGCACAGGCGGTCATCACCTGTGGGATCTCCTGGGAGGGACAGGAGGCACAGGCGGTCATCACCTGTGGGATCTCCTGGGAGGGACAGGAGGCACAGGCGGTCATCACCTGTGGGATCTCCTGGGAGGGACAGGCAAAGTCATACCGAAGCCTCAGGCTCAGCAGAGCACAGCCTTGATGGCACCGGGTCTGGCAGGGACCACGGCTCTCACAGGGTCCCTGCCCCAGGTCCCACCTTGGAGGAGGGTTCTTGGCATGACCATCCCTCGAGCACAGGTGTCCCGGAGGCCACGTGTGTGGACCCGTTGCCTGTCCTCAGGACTTGCAGGCCCAGGCACAGGGCAGATGCCTTCCCAGCCCTCCTGCTGCCCTGGGAGCCATGTGCCATGGCTGGTGCCCCCTCTTTTCTCCCCAGGCCCCTGGGATGGTGCCTGACATCCCCTAGCTGATTTGTCCCGCCCTGATCTTCCTTGAATGAGGGGCACACGTCTAGGGTCATGCTTGTGGAATGCAGGTTTCTGAAGTTCCTGGTGCTGTTCACGGCAGAACGCTGGGCTTTGAGGTGAGGCAGGAGCTGGTGGGCCTGAGCCTGAGTGAGTTTCTCAGCTCAGAGGGAGGGCAAAGCGCGTGGAAGGCTAAGCTGCTTCGTGAGGCAGCTGCACCCTCACCCCAGGCCTGGGCTCCACCCTGAGGCTTTCCCGCCTACTGTTCACATCCTGGGAGTTTGGGGAAAATCCTGAGAAATGAGGCCCAGGCTCCCTCCTCCCCACTTTCAAGCCAGAAGGGTGTAAAGAGTGTGGTCAGAATGAACATGAAGTGGCGCCTCCTGCCAGGGTCTGCCTGCCTCTTTCACAGGTCTTCCATCACCTACTCCCCAGGACGGCCTTGGAGGCACCTGGATTCCTCCCACTCACTGATGCCACAAACCTGTAAAACGACTTGTCCAGGGCCACACATCTTAAAATCTCCCACTGTCAATCACTAGACCCCATTTCTTCCAGAGGTGTGAGATTGTCCTTAGGCAGCGTGACCTGTGCCATTAGAGTGTGTGCTCTGCGGACAAAAAAAATCATCCTGAAGACATTTAGATTTGGTTTCATTCTGTATTGATCTTTATCGTCAAATTTGCCTCCTAATGGAATTATGCCTGTATCAACATTAAAATGAGCATTCCTTGAGCTCACAGCGATGGCGTGTGTGTCTGTGTGAGTCTGTGTGTCTCTCTGTGCGTGTCTGTGTGAGTCCGTGTGTCTCTCCATGAGTGTCTGTGCGAGTCTGTGTGTCTCTCCGTGCGTGTCTGTGCGAGTCCACGTGTCTCTCCGTGCGTGTCTGTGCGAGCCTGTGTGTCTCTCCGTGCGTGTCTGTGTGAGTCTGTGTGTCTCTCTGTGCGTGTCTGTGTGAGTCCGTGTGTCTCTCCGTGAGTGTCTGTGCGAGCCTGTGTGTCTCTCCGTGCATGTCTGTGTGAGTCTGTGTGTCTCTCCGTGCGTGTCTGTGTGAGTCTGTGTGTCTCTCCCTGCGTGTCTGTGTGAATCTATGTCTTTCTGTGCGTGTCTGTGTGAGTCTGTGTGTCTCTCTGTGCATGTCTGTGAATCTATGTCTTTCTCTGTGTGTCTGTGTTCATATCTGTAGGTTGTGTATGTCTGTGTGTGTGTGTGTGTCTGTATGCATATAAGTCTATACGTGTCTGTGTGTGGGCGTGCGTGTTTGTATGTCTGTGTGTGCCAGTGCTTCTATGTGTGGCAGTGTGTCTGTGTGTCCCTATGTGTCTGTGTGTGCCTGTGTGTCTGTGTTTATGTCTGTGTGTGTCTGCGTGTGGTTTGGGTTGGAGCTGGCGGAGGCAGGGTTGATAAGAGGAACTGGTTTAGGAAGCCAGAAGCAGCAAGGCCGACAGGCCGCTCCCGGAGACTGTCTCCCTCACCCCTCACCTCCATGGGTGGACTGCCTGGGTGCGGGCAGAGCCTGTGCCCTCTTTACCAAGTGCTGCGGCACAGCCTGTCTTCCTGACCTCATTCCTGCTACTTTTAAGGCACCGTATGATGTGTACTTGTGAGTATGTGTTGTGTGTGTGTAGTGTGTGTAAGGTGTGTGTATGGTGGGTGGTCTATGTATAAGTGTGTATGTGTGTAGTGTGTGTGGTGTGTTGTGTTTGGTGTGTGGCATGTGTGTGGTGTGTGGTGTTTGTGGTATGTGTTGCGTATGATGTGCAGGAGTGTGGTGTGTGTGGTGTGGTGTGTGGTGTGTTTTTGGTGTGGGTGATGTGTGTGGTGTGGGTGGGTATGGTGTGTGCAGTGTGTGTGCTGTGTGTGGTGTGTATTTGTTGTGTTTGGTGTTTATGGTGTGGATGTGTGGTTTGTGTGGTGTGTAGTGTTTGGTGCGAGAGTGGTGTGTGTGGGTTATGTTTGGTGTGTAGTGTGCATGTGGTGTGCGAGGTATGTGGTGCGTGTGGTGTGTAGTGTGTGTAGTTTGTGTGGTGTGTATTTGTTGTGTTTGATGTGTGTGGTGTGGATGTGTGGTTGTGTGGTGTGTGGTGTATTTGGTGTGTGTGTGGTGTCAATGGTGTTTATAGTATGTGTTTGGTGTGTGCGGTGTGTGTATGTGGTGTTTGTGGGTTGTGTGTGGTATGTAGTGTGTGTGGGTGTGGTGTGTGGTGTGTGGTATGTGTGATGCATGGTGCGTGTGGGTTGTGTGTGGTGTGTAGTGTGTAGCGTGTGTGATGTGGGGGGGTGTAGTGTGTGTGGTGTGTGGTATGTGTGATGCATGGTGTGTGTAGTGTGTATGGTGTATGTGGGGTGTAGTGTGTGTGGAATGTGTGACGCATGATGTGGGTGGGTTGTGTGTAGTGTGTGTGGTGTGTGTGGAGTGTAGTGTGTGTGGTGTGTGTGATGCATGGTGTGTGTGGGTTGTGTGTGGTGTGTAGTGTGTAGCGTGTGTGATGTGGGGGGTGTAGTGTGTGTGGTGTGTGTAGTGTGTGGTGTGTGTAGTGTGTAGTGTGTATGGTGTATGTGGGGTGTAGTGTGTGTGGTGTGTGTGATGCATGATGTGGGTGGGTTGTGTGTAGTGTGTAGTGTGTGTGGGTGTGGTGTGTGGTGTGTGGTATGTGTGATGCATGGTGCATGTGGGTTGTGTGTGGTGTGTGGTGTGTAGCGTGTATGATGTGGGGGGGTGTAGTGTGTGTGGTGTGTGGTATGTGTGATGCATGGTGTGTGTAGTGTGTAGTGTGTATGGTGTATGTGGGGTGTAGTGTGTGTGGTATGTGTGATGCATGATGTGGGTGGGTTGTGTGTAGTGTGTAGTGTGTGGTGTGTGTGTGGTGTGTGTGATGCATGGTGTGTGTGGGTTGTGTGTGGTGTGTAGTGTGTGTACAGTGTGTGGTATGGAGGTGCTGCCGTGTGGTGCATGTGGTGTGTCTGCTGCATGTGTGTCTGGTGTGTGTGTCTGTGTTGTGCTGTGTGTGGTGCATGTGTGGACGGCTTTTGAGCGTGGTTGTCTGTGTGAGCATGTTTGAAGACACGTATGAGGGTCATGGAAGGCACCTTTGCACCGTGGCCTTGACAGGGACTAGGACGAGGAGGACTCAGAACAATGTCAGTGGTACCTTCAGAAAATCCTTTTACCACTGACTCTTTATGGCATCAATAAAACGGTGATAAAAGTCACACGTGCCTCAAGGGTGGTGCTGGAGATTAAAGGATGTAGGATGCATAAACCCTGCCATCCTATGATGGGGAAATTGTCTTCTCTGTTGGGCCTTTTCTCCCCTGTGTTTGGAGCATTTTAGTTTCCCCCATAACTCCTTGCTTGCCTGCAGATCATCATGCTTCAGCTCCTTTCTAACATAAATGCTCTTATGAATTGTGCTGCTATAAACACGTGAGTGCAAGCGTCTTTTTTGAATATTGAGTTATTTTCCTCTGGGTAGGTACCCCGTAGTGGGATTGCTGGATCTAAGGGTAGTTCCACTTTCAATTCTTTAAGGAATCTCCACACTGTTTTCCATAGTGGCTGTTTTAGTTTACATTCCCACCAGCAGTGGAGAAGTGTTCCCTGTTCAATGCATCCACACCAGCATCTACCGTTTTTTAATGTTTTGATTATGGGCTTTCTTGCAGGAGCCGGGTGGCATCACGTTGTGGTTTTGATTTGCATTTCCCTGGGGGGAGGAGAGGAGGGGGCGAGGCATAAAAGACTACAAATATGGTGCGGCATATACTGCTTGGGTGATGAGTGCACGAAAATCTCACAAATCACCAGTAAAGAACTTACTCATGTAACCAAATACCACCTGTGCCCCTAATAACTTATGGAAAAATAAAAAAATAAATAAAATAGATGCTCTTAGAAGCACCCAGAGGAATCCTTACCTCCTGTTTGACAACCCACCCTCTCTGGCCACAGAGGAGGGACAGGTCAGGCCGGAGTAGTGTGTGCTGTACTCAACGCTGCCTGCAACCCTGAGGACTGATGTAAGTCTTCCAAATTCAACACGCAAGCTCTGCCTCCAGTTCAGATCAGCTTTTAAAAGGGGCGGACAATGTCTTATCTAGAGGGAAATTCCACAGATGCTTGTTCTATTTCCAGGTCTTGCCATACCAGGGTGGGATGAGAATATTTGTTTATTTTACTTCTGAAGAGATCATTTTTATTTAGGATATGTGATAAAAAGGCTGCTTGAAAATGCCACATCCCAGAGGCAAGAAATACCATGTGGGCCTTGGAATCAGAAAGTGCTGGATTTGACATTCCACCATCAACTAGTGGTTTGTTTGTTTTTAAAATTTGGTAAAATACACATAACAGAATATTTACCATCCTAGCCATTTTTAGGTACATAGTTCAGTAGCGTTAAGTACATTCACGTTGTTGTGTAGCCAGCAGTGAGGTTTTTAACCTCTGAGATGTTAACTCTCTGAGCTCATCACCACCATCGTCATCCTCTCCGGCAATGCTAAATATGGAGGCTCCTAGTGCCAGGAGTGAAGCTTGCTGAGATCTGGTGTCAGAAAGAAACCACTAACATCCTTGAAGCTCTAAACGCGTGCCTCCTAGGCTCACAGCCTTACCACATGCCAGTCTCATCTCAGAGGCACTGGGGTCTGTGGCTTCCAAAGGTTTATTACATATGACTTTTTAAAAACACTCAAGCATCTGTGCACAAATATGTTAAATTATTTTCGCATGACAGGTGCTGGGGAAACAGATGTATATGATATTGTTCTGTTAACCTAAAATAATCAAAAATACCAGAATCCAGTTTAAAGCTTTTATGCAAGTGAAAAGCTAGGGATGGGAGACAAAGACTCCAGAGAAATAGGGTCAGGGCTCTAAGTTAAATGTTAAGTCCTTGCTTACATAGGCAGAGAACAGAGGTTTAGCAGGATTATAACTTTTTATACAAGGCTGGTTTATGAGTCACAGTAACTTAATTAGTTTGTTTTCTTTAGGTCTTTTTTTATTTCCTTTACAACTGGTTTTCATTTCCTTTCCAATTTAAAAGTGTGTATTTAATGTTTCATCTTCGACACTGTGATAATCATGAAGTTTTGTGTGAGAAAGATAAGGGAGAAGATAATCTATGATGAAGGTCAACAGTGAAGAGGGAGGGGGTTGCCCCTTGTGCTCTTTAGTTATCTGCAACGTTTAACCAAACAGTGTATGTGAGGACTAAGGCTAATCTATAATCAGAGAAACAAAGGTTACAGCTGCCTGTCACGTGACTCAGGCCCCTTACATTCCTTTAAGTCTCAAAACAATTTAGAGTGCCAGCAGCTTAGATTTTGAATTACTTATTTTCACAATTTAGTCGGTCATCAATAATATTTACTGGATGAGTGACTGCCAGGCCCTGTGTGATGGTGCTGGGTTATCACTGGGCACAAAGTAGACAAAGCTGCTGCCTGTGGATCCTGTGCTCTTGCTGGTGGCTGGTGGCTGCTGCACGTGTCTGAGAGGAAGATCAGTAGCTGCCCTTCCCCTCCTGACTGTGTTTCTCCTCCAGACCTCAAGGGTTCCACTGGTGAGAAGCTGTCCTCACGAGGTGCCCCCCACAGCCTCCCCTTTCTGCCTCCTCATTCTGCACCACTCTCCTTGTCCTGTGCGAATCATCCTCCCTTCTTATGTTCCGCGTTCTGACTTCTCACATAAACAGGAATATGCTTGGCACAGCAAAATTAGAAATTCTGATGCCTTTTTTTCCTCCTGATTCCCTTGAGATCTGATTAAGATATTTTGGCTCAGAAGGCTGGAAGTCAGGCTCAGCTCTGCGGTGCGGCAGCAACTCCACTCCCCGGCAAGGTCCTCCAAGCAGCTGAGCCAAGTGTGTCCATAGCCCTGTCTTCTCCCCCTGTCTCCCACCATTTCCTCCCCATCCCAGGGAGAATAACACCCTTCCTCTCACCAGGGTTCTGGTCTTCTGCGGGCACAGCCTAGTGTAAGGGTATTAAATTGCTGTGAATTAAACAGTAAAGAGTAACGGATGCTGTGCCCACTGGACTCCACATGGCTTACAGAAAGCATTCAGCTTCACCCTGGATGTGATGCCATACACCGCGTTTGCAGTCTAGATCTGGGTGGAGGCCACCATTTTGTAACATCTGGTGAGCATGCTCCTTGGTTCTGTGTTAAGAAAATGGAAATCCTGAGGTAATAAATGGTAAGGCTGATGCTAGAACCTAATGTGGGTGTTTACCTTTCCACAAGACACTATGAAGTATCTTTGAATGGGAAAAGTCCTTGCTCAGTGCTTGAGGAAGATTTAAGCTCCTTTCTGAATAAAAGTGGTTTCCCTCACTCCAAGGGTAGCTTTTGGTTGTACCTTTCATCAGGAAAGCAATTACAGTGGAATTCGTGGACCTGAGGTCCTTCCTGTCATCCCTGGCCCTGGGGGCTATTTGCTGCCTCGAGCTGTTCCCAGCTAAGCACCTGCTCTCAGAGCTCACAGCTTCAGGCCTCTAGGGTGGCTTGTGCCACCCCTGTCTCCTCTCCACAGGAGCAAGGAGAGTCCACTAGGACATGTGGTGCCATTGGGACAGGTCAGCAAAGTGGTGATAGACAGTATAGGTGGGAGACAAAGGTCAGCCACGAGAAGTGAGAGCAAAGGAGAGAAGGAACAAGCTGGAGAAGTGGATGGACAGAGTGAAGATGCTTTGGAAGGAAGCAGGGAGGGCATCGGGAACTGCTGAGAGAGAGAGAGGGAGAGGGAGATAGAGGGGGTAGAGAAGAGGCAAGGGGGAAGAGAGGGAGGGAGTGAGAGAGAGAAAGAGGGAGAGGGAGATTCAGGGGGTAGAGAGAGGAGGGAAGCGGGAGGAGAAGGAGGGAATGGGAGAGAGAGACAGGGACAGGGAGAAATGTAGGATAGCCACACAAAAGAAGGATTAAGAAAAATAGCAAGAAGGGTAGCCAGAACCTCCCCCCCACCACACACACACACACACACACACACACACACACACACACACACACACACAGAAGTAGGGACAAGAAATAACCATGGCATGGAATGTGACAGTTCTTATCAAATTACCATGGTTTTCAATATGCATGGTGTGCTGTTATCACTGGCAAGAAAATCTGAGCATTATTTATTCTCTTCTCATGACTAGATAATTTCACACATAGTATGACATCGAAAATCAACTCAACAGGCCCAAATAGTCACTTTTCCCTCAGAATTATTCGAAAATACATAAATCAATAATGAAATTTATTTGCTATGGCCATCCTACTCCTCACGCATCACCTGCCCTCACTTTTCTGGTGAAATTCCCCATGCAGTTTGATTTTAAAACTTGTTTTCTTCTTGTTCTTTTCTTTTCATTTGTTTGTTTTTGGTGGGGGGAAGGCTGTTTCCTTTCTGCTTCCTCGGTTCTGCCAGGCACATCTCGGGATAAAGTGCCTGAAGAGGGCTGAGTGGAGGCTCTGGCACAGAAGATTTTGGGTAAGACAGGTCACCTCTCATCACATGCTACGTGACAGTTACCTGTAGTGTGCAGGGGGGGGAAGCAGGTCATGGGGTGTCACTGCTGATTGATTAGGACATGGACAAAGGCACCAAGAGCTCCGCAACATCCACTGGGAACAGGCTTGGCTGGGGAGCTCTTCCCTGCCTCGGCATATGGAGAGCACCATTTGCTGGCCAAGAACCCTGTTAAACCTCCCGTCCCAGAGCCCACTGTAGTTCCTTTCTGCTACACACATTCTTTCCCAGAGCATTTTCACATCTATCTCATTTCTGCATCATGACAGTTGTGTGAATCAAGGCATGCATTACTTTTCCAGTTTGGCATTGATACATAGCAGGAGTTCAGTAGACATTGACTACTTACTAACTAGGATAACTGAAACCCAAAGAGATTGAGAAGGAAAAGAAAACATCTAAAATCATGCTTAGAGTTATTGTTAGTGGAGATTGTGCCTCCACTCACAACATCACTTTACTTCCCTTGTCCACCATAAACTTGGTCCAAACCCACTCAGTTGACCTTCGGTCTTCCCTCAAATTTTTAACCATGGGACTGCATAGAATGGTGGCTTTGTACCTGCACCAATATCAGTAGAAAGGTTTGAGTACTTTCCAGCCCCAGAGTTCCCCAGCATGCTGGTGCCTAGGACCTTCAGTTGCCCTTGGGGCAGGGAGACTGGCTCATTTCTAATAGTCTTTTTCTTTAAAGCAACTGAGGCCTGGGGAGAGGGTTAGGGAGGCACTGGGGTGATAGAAAGAGAAGAAAGATCTGCACCAGCAAAAAGGGAACAACTCCTTAATTAACAGGCAATAGTGGGAAGGACTGTTTATTTCCCAGTCAATTATACAATTTAGTGAACATGTTTCCTACTGATTTCTACGGACTTCCCTTAAATCCTATTAATAGACCTTTGAGGTCCTCATAGTTTCTTTTACAGAAAGCCATGTTGTGGTCAACATCCCATCCTCTTTACTACAACTGTCAGAAACTGAAGGATCTGAGACTTTACCCTACAGGGAAGCTAACAAGGTAGCCTACCGCATTTTCAGTGATGGTGGTAGAAAACAAGAGACTCCTGGGTCAGAAACAAAGGACAGTTTATTACTCACAGCAAAAGCAGTAGATAGAATATTTTTTTGTGGCATTTTGTGCTACTTCCATGAGCTCCAATTTCCACAGGATGATGTGAAAAGGGCCAGATGACATTTTCACATGCTGTACGTTGTATTACAGGAGAAGAACTCAGAACTCTTGAGTTGAGGGAACTGGAAACTTTTATAATAGGATTAACCATGCCTGTCTTTTGTTCCAGGAGAGACATTATCTTCATTGCATTGGGCAATAAGACGCCTGCCCTTTGCTCTGAAAGATGACATTATTTTTATCATCCAAGGTTGTTTGCTGTACACACATTCTTGAAAAGATTGTCTGGAACAATGGTGATCACTGTTTTGCTTATAATACATGAAGTGTCAGAAATCCATGGAGAACTGTCTCCCAATGGACTTCCAACTCTTCACTTCCAAGAAACTTCTGCTTTCTTCCTGAGGTGTATTCTCCATGTCTGTGTAAAGTAGGAGTGTATCCTTGGTGTAAAGCTGGATACATGGTGATCGCACCCAGCGTGACGTCCTGTGCTGTAGTACTCCAGCTCCTGCCTGCTTCGCCATCCTCTTTCATGCCTTCAAACCTCTGTGTGTGTCTTTCAATGCCTTTGATTATTTTGTCAGAAGGACTAGTCTGATATGTTACTCCGCCATTGCCTGAAGCTTTAGTTTAATAGAGTCTGATTTATCAATTTTTAATTTTATTTCTTTCATGGTTAGTCTGTTTTGTGTCCTACTGAAGAAACTTTCCTATTTCAAAGTCTTAGAGATATCTACAATGTTTGCCTCTGCAATCCATCTGGGATGGATTTCTGCAAATGGGATGATGTAAGTGACACACACAGGCATTGTCTGAGTACAGATTATGAAAAACACTATCCTTTCCTGAGCTGCAGGGCAGTGTTATTTTTTGTCAGAAACTAGGTGATACTACATGTGTGTACTTTTGTCTTAATTTTATGTCTTATCCCATTGGTTCGTTTGCTCACTCTTGGGTGAAGAGCATGTTGTCTGAATTAATTTAGCCTTATAACATGGCTTGATGGCTGGTCATATTTTTAACACTCTTGGGTGAATGGCATGTTGTCTGATATAACATGGCTTGATGGCTGGTCATATTTTAAAATTTTGTTTGTTTTCTTCAGGATCATCTTGACTATTCTTAGTCCTTTGTGTTCCTATAAGAATTTTACAGACAGCTCATTGGTCTACAAAAATCATGCTGAAATTTTTCTTTGGGATACACTGAATCTAGGAAATTATTTTGGTTAAAAAAATCTGGATTTGCACTCTCAGGCCTCTCTCTCCTCTTATAAGACAGTTTGTGGAAAATGGGCTGATGTATTTGTCCCCAGTTTCATAACGAGAAGAGAGGGCTGTATTTCAGTTTCTACAGCCTCAATCGGATGAACTAGCTGAGATCTATGGGACTCTGGGCTGGCTTTTGCTGACTGCCACAAACTCTTTCAGGTCTCACATGCCTCCACATCTCTGAGTTCGTTTTTCTTCCTCTTTGCTACAGCACTGAGAAAAAGATGCTGGATCACTGTCTTACACAATAACAGCATGGCTCAACAGGTTTTCCAAAGGCATTCTGAAGCCTTCTTTGGAAGCACAGCATTTCTACCCCTTTATAAAGTGTTTAAGATAAACAGAAAACTAAAACACAGTCCCAGTATTGAGGGGGCAGGTGAGTTATTATCTTCTCCAGGAAAGGCTACAAAAGGACCCTTAACTGTCCCTCCTACCACACACATGGCAGGCTGGGCTGTATCTGCTTCATGAGTGGCTGTTTTCCTTATTTCTCTGAGGTTCCTTCTGGGCTATCTGGGCCATGGTCGTGCATGTAAGGGGCTCCTGGAACACCATGGAGTCCAAGCAGATGGGGGAGGAGGGGTGAAGTTGGAGAAGAGAAACAGTCCTTCTGCCTTACCTCCCAGGTGTTTCCATTCAGGAGTGAGTGTAATCTTGCCAGCTGCATAGACAAAACTAATTCACTGGAACAGATATTGCAGTAGAGAAAGAATCCAATTAATGCAGAGCTGGCCAAGTGAAATGACTGGAGTTTATTACTCAAATCAGCCTCCTCCAGAACTCAGAGGCTAGGGTTTTTCTGGGTAAGTTGGTGGGCAGAGGGCTAGGGAATGGGTGCTGCTGATTGGCTAGGGATGAAATCACAGGGGTGTGGAAAATGATCTTCATGAGTTGAGTCTGCCCCTGGGTGGTGCCCAGGACTAATTAATCATGAGTCATGGGTCTGGGTGGTGCCAGGATGCAAACGGTTAAAAAACATCCTGAAAGACAAATCTTAGGTTCTACAACAGAGATGCTATCTATAAGAGCACCTGGGGAAGTCACAAACCTTGTGATCTCTGGTGGAGTAAATGATTATAGAAAGGCAAGCTATGCCTGCATCTTAGCAGAATTCAGAGCTCTCCCATAATCCTAATCTTGTGCCCTTTCTTCGTTTTACAAAGACAGTTTTAGTTACCAAACAAGGAGGGGGTCAGAGTTAGGGAGGGACTATTATCATTCTTGCTTCAACATTAGATTGTAAACTAATTCCTCCCATGGTTAACTTGGCCTGTGCCCAGGAATGAGCGAGGGCAGCCCACCTGTGAGGCTAGAGCAAGGTGGACTCAGCCAGGCTACAATCCTCTCACTCTTGTAATCTTCGCTCAGGGACGTTTAAGAGGCTCCCTCCTGCAGCTCCTCCCTCATGTGTTCCTAAACAGCTGCAATTTTCTCAGTGACTACTCAGCCATGCTGCGGGTCCCTATCCACCCCCTGGCCCATCCTGGGTGTTCATCAGACAGTTCTTTCCCTCAGTAGCAGAACGTTAATTGTTCTGCAATGTGAGGTGATCTGTCTCCTGAGGCTCTGGACCCCACCAACCTCCTCAGTTTAGACACATCCCAGTAACCTGAGACAGTCCTGTTGTTTCTGTCTCAAATTCTGTTCTCCCCCTCACAAGCACATAATTAAGTGATTATAACTACTCTGGACACCTAATTCACATGCAGATAAGCTTGTCCCCAGGACCATTTGTACATTTTAACAAGTAATTAGCAATGTTAATACTGGCTCTCCCCTCAGGACCCTTGATGTGTGTGAAGGAGACTGACAGATCAGAATCAATCTCAATAGAAAGAGACTTGTTCCTTCCCCTTGCAGGCAGCTGGAGTCTTTCCAGGAACTCAGCACTCATACTTTATTTCTTACTGTGAAGTTTTTCATCTAATATATTTGACTTACCCTAGCTGGTCATTTGGTCCCCTCTGATCCAGAAAACAGTCACTCTGGGCTGGTGTAAAGGCTCTACTTTTGGGTCCTAGGAGTTATAGGAAAGCTCTGTGAAGCTAGTGGCCTGGCAAGGTGGGCCAAGGAGTCAGCACCAGGTCAGAAGGCTCTCTACTGCCATACAGTCAAGGAGGTGAGTAAGGCTCTCTACTGCCATACAGTCCAGGAGGTGAGTAAGGCTCTCTACTGCCATACAGTCCAGGAGGTGAGTAAGGCTCTCTACTGCCATACAGTCAAGGAGGTGAGGGCTAAGATGGCAGCTGGTTTGTTGGTGGTGGTGGTGTTATGGTGTTATGGCCAGCCAGGTGTGAGTCAAGGCAATGTGGTATTGGAGGTGAAAACCTGGGTTTTAGTCCTGATTTTGCCTCTCAGACCTTCAGTTCCTTCATGAGCTGGATTCGAAAATCACTGCATCTTTAGGTTATGATGAAACTTCTTGAGGAAGCTATGCTGAGTGCCCTGCATGATGTGTGACATGAGGACAGCAGTTTCTGCAGTCCCCTTGGGAGGAAGAAACTCATTCTTACCCTATTCTGCCAACAGACATCACCTGCTAGTGTCAGAGGAAGCCAACCCCTGACACCCAGATTCTCTTGGCTATTGAAATGTTACCATAATATTTTTGACAGAGAGAAACACACCCCTCTGTTTTGGCAGTGGCAGTGTGAGAAGGGCAGCTCTGCTGCTGTGGAAACAGAGTCCAGTCTTTCATTATGGCAGGTTTGGTGGGGTCCCTGATGAAGGTAGTGCAAGGGCTGGAGGTGACTTTTCCAACACATTTCTGTGAGAAAGTAAAACTTGAGATAATTACCTGGCTTTTCCCAAATAATCAACTGCTTTGCAGGATGTGGCTAAAATATCTGAGTAGTTAGCTGCCTCAATGTTGCTTCTCAGTTTTGGCTTCTGAAAGAGATGTCATGAGGCTGTGCAAGGTGAGCCTGTGTACTCAGGTCCTGTCCCCTCACCTGGAGAGCCACGATGGCAGGGGTGGGGCCTGCATGTCCTATCTCCTGGGTGAGAAGTCTGGGGTCTGAGTTTCCAATCTCACAGACCCTATGTGCCCCGGGCAATGGGGAGCAGAAACCTTCTGGACTTTTCTCCTTTCTCCTCTACCACATTTGATTTCTTCATAACTACCTGCAATGTCAGTGAAACAGGACCCAGCTGATGAACTGCTCTCCACAGAAATGCTATGGCATGCTTGGCAACAAAAGTCAATTTTGAGTAAGGAAAAGAAGGGAAATAGGAGCCTAAATCCCAAGTGGCCTGACCACTAGGCTGTCAGCAGAAGCCTATGGAAATGCAGAGTTCAACCCATGTGAGTAAGTTACCTGCTGCTAAAATCAAGTGGCACCATGTGACACATTACCTCAAAAGTTAATGACTTACAACAAGAGACATTTTATTACACGTCATGATTTTGTCAGGCATTCGAGCCGTGCTTGGTGAGGCCCTGCTTTGATCCACATGGCTTTGACAGAGGTCCCTGGAGGCATGAAGTGGAGGATGGTCTGGAATGGGGCTCAGGGCGGCTCCACTCATGTGCCTGGTGCCTGGTGAGGATAGAAGGCTGGGCCCGGGGGACTCAATCCCAGAGCCTGCCTGTGGCCTTCACGTGAGTCTTGGGCTTCTCAGAGCATTGTACTCCCAGGGAGAAAAAGAGTGATCCTGAGGAAACATTCTGAGAGCAATCACCGTAACAGCCAGAAGTGGAAGCCAAAGGAACAGCGGGAGGAATCTGACATAGGTGACTCCATCTTGCTTCTGATCTCACAAGCCACTGCCTTTGCTCATTCCTGCATGTAGACCAAGCTAATCACGGGAAGAATTTAGATTGCAGTTTAACTTTGGCACTAATGACTGTCTCTCTGTTGAAACACACCCCCGAGGACATAAAGAATCACACACACAACAGTGCTATTTTAAAGATTTACAGGAACAAGGTGGATCTGACAAGTAGTAGACCAGGAGCAAAGAGAAAAGAGTTTTGCAACCTCTTCAGGCCCCTTTTGACATCCAGAGGTCACCTGTCACCTCCGCACCTTAACCGTTCCCTGTTTGCTTGTCCTCTAACATAGAAGGAGCCTAAAAATGTATCAGCGTCAGATGGTTCTTCAGGGCATTAGTCCACCGTCTTCTCACTTTGCTGACTCCTAGAATAAAATCATCTTTCTTGCCCCAGCACTTTGCCTCTGAACTTATTGACTGTCATGCAGCAGGCGGTGTGAGCTTTGGACTTGGCTACAATAAGAGCTCCTTAAGATCTGGGCAGCAAAACAGATACACGGTCACTTCTACCATTCTCCACTGGCTGAGCTGTCTCATCGTCTGCTCAGGACAGGGCAGGGGACGCAGTCCCACCTCTCCATGGGGGGTTGTGCAACCCTTTGCAGTTATCTTTAAATTCACTTCACTGCTTTTTTGAGAGAGTAACAGAAAAATAGTCACCATGAGGAAAGAAACCATGCAGTGTGACTGAGCCATGGGCTGCTCCTTCAACTCTAAAATGTGTTGCTGTTTTCAGTCATGGATGGAGCCTGACTGGAGACGCTCTGGGATACGGTTATGTCCTTGTCCTGAAGACCCTCACACGCTAGGGAGGGAGAGGGCATCTGACCACTGGCCAAGCTTCAGGGTGGACTGCAAAGGCTGATGTGGAGCCGAACCAGGGTTTCTAATTATTTTATACTCTTAACTCCAACCAGAGATGCGAGGTTCCAAATTCTGCCTCTGGCCCACATAATACCTCAAGGACAGATTCTTTGGGAAAGGCTGCCCGTTCACCTAAGGCCATTGTTCAACACATACTCGACTTCCCTATGCCGTGGCTGTCTGTTCCTCTATAGGCCCTGGAAATGGCCTCCTGCCGTGGCCTTGTCCTCTACCTCCCTACTGGACACCTGTCTGTATGGCCACAGGGCTGGGGAACTCTCCCACTTCTCTGAGCACCTGGTCACTGTGACTGAGGATGTGCCCATCCCTGGAGCTGGGACGTCAGGGTGGGGAAGGCCACCTCCACCTTGAGCTTGTGGGCCTCTGGGCCTGGGCCATCCTGGGGGGCTCTGAGAGCTGAGTGCTGTGGAGACCAAGTGGGAAGGATTTCTACATCCTGGAGGATATTGCTTCATCTTTAAAACTCATCTTCAGCCCCGGTAATGCTGTTTTTCAAAGAAACATGCCTTTGGGAAGAAACAGAATTGAAAATGAAGACGTTCCTGCTGCAGGACTTCTAAAAGGGATCAGCAGCAGCAGAGGCCCCACGGGTGAATGGAGAGGGGACACTGCTGCAGAAACGAGCAGGGACAGGCAGGAGGGTGGCTCTCCGAGGAGCGGCAGTGTCCTCTAGGGAGGGCAACTGCGGTAAAGCCAGCATTGCGGGCCACCAAGGCATCAGTTTCAGGCCACAGTAAGCCAGAGTCTTTCCTTGAAGGTTCGTTTGCCCATAATCCTCCTCTCTTGATGGATTCTTTTAAAAGTGCCAGAGCATCTGCAATTCTCTAGTTCCTGAAACAAAAATAGTCTCCAATTCTCACTCCTCTCCTTGGAGATTTGCCCAACACCACCCAAGCCCAAGGAGGCAAAGCTTCCCAGAGGACATATGGCTTATTACCAAGGCGAGAGAAGATGGTCTTGTGATGGTTCCAAGTTATCCTCAAATCAGTCTCCCCATCGCAGAGGGCAGGTGTCTCCCCAGAGTGTCCTGGAGGTGACCTTTCTTGCCTCACAAGGAGCAGGACTTGACTTCCTCCAAATGCCTGACAAGCTTCTGCCCGGGGGACTGTCAGTTCAGTGGCCCTGAGGGTGTCAGCTTCTTTTGCTTTTGCTTTTTATTTGCCCACAATCCTTCTCCTTACCTGATAGAATCTTCTCAAAGTTGTTGTGAAACTCTCAGACAGGCACCTTTCCCACCGCTGGGCACTGGCCTCTTTGCTGCCACGGAGGAGACGAGAGCGGCTGCCGAGAGCCTCAAGCTGAGCAGCTCAGGAGGAGCTCTGCATCCTGCCAGGCAGCGCTGTGGATGGAACTCCCACTCAGCCTCCTGTCTGGGGTTGGGGGAGGGTGTCTCAAGGCACCAGGAGCTGAGTGTGGACCTCCACTCCCCAAACCTGGCCCTTTCAGCGGTCCCCTGGTAGGATGGAGGCCGTCAGTCTCATCCGTAACAGCTGCAGGAAGCCTAGGGCTTGCCCTTGACCTGTCTCTCCCTCACACTCACTTTCTCAAGCACCTCCAAGGCCGTCTCATCCCACTCCTCCCCCAAGCTCAGTCTGCACTGAGACAGCTTTCCTGCCAGTGCTGCAGCGGCCTCTGCCATCCCCTGGCCTGCATCCCCACTGGTGACAGCCCCGGCTCATGTTATCCCTACCTCAGCTTTCTATGGCACAGAGTGGCTTAACACAACACAAAGATGACAGTTCTGTCATCAGAGCTGGACGTGGGTCTCATGGGTTCCAGTCAAGGTGCCCGCAGGGCCGCATTCCTCCCTGAGGGTGCTGAGGGTCTGTTTCCTTGCTCCTTCTGCTCATTCAGGTCACTGGGGGAATTCAGTTGCTTGTTGTAGGACTAAGGGCCTCTGACACACTCTTCTACCCTCCACTTCCGCCATCATATGACCGCATCCAGTTGGCCCAACTAGGACATCCAGGAGTACCCCCATCTCCAGGGACTTAGCACCACCTGTATCTGCACAGCGCCTCACGGTCTAAAGCAGTGTCTTCACAGGTCCTGGGGATTAGGGCGGGGACATTATCCCGCCTGCTGCAGCCACCTGGCTTCCACCCACCTGGAACTGAGGATGTAGTCATCCCTGGAGCCTGGACATTGGGTGGGGAAGGTCGCGGCCAGCCTGGGTGTACGCACTGCACAATGCTTGTCTTTGTTCTGCGGACAAAGAAGCACGTCAGTGGCTTAAGAGGTCCCAGAAGATTCACTGCAATTGTACCATCCATAAGTTTCAGTACTAGCATCCCTAGGGAAGGTGACGGGCTTAGGACCTCTGTAACTTCCCGGCGTGGACCCAAAATCTGTGTTCAGGGGTGGCTGAGTCCTCCTCACTGGGGCCATCTGACCCTCTGATGAAGAAAACAGCACGGTTTTTAGATTAGGCTGCCCAGTGTGCAGCACAAGCAGTGTGTCTACAGGGACACAACCTGAATTCGGAAGCTCGCACCCCGGAAACCATGGAGCATCTGTGGGGAGTGCAGGGAGAACCGGGGGCCAGGAATGGGCCAGCCATGCATGCACACGTGTTTGTGTATGGGCTGTGTGTGTGCATGCTGGGGTGCAGGGATGCTAAGAGATGCCCTGTGCTTCGTAGGCAATGCTTCTGGCAATTCTGAAACTTTGTGAGATGAGTTCTGTGACAGCTTCTGCCTCACAGATAGAAACATGAGGCACGGGAAGTTAAATAGCGTGCTCGGAGCTGAGGGCTAGTAGACGCAGATCCAGGATCCAGACTGGCTCCTGTTCCAGAGTTTGCACCTTTAGCCCTGCTCATGCTGCATCTGGACTGGGGCAGGTCTGTGAAGACCTTGTTTAATGAGGTTGATTCTATCAGCAACAGGGAATCATGGGAGAACTTGGAACTAGGGGAGTGTGGTCAGAATAGTGCTCCAGGCAGCAGCGCATGGATGGATTGGATGGGTCTAGAGACAGGGAGACCTGTCTATTTAGAGCAGGATGCCCAGCACAGGGACAGGATGGAGTGGGGCACTGGGTGCTTCAAGCCAAGTGTCCCGTGGATGAATGACCAGGCCAAGGTTTGGGTAGAGCATGGGGACGGTTGGGTTCTGGAGCATTAGAGCTCCCCACGGCTGCTGAACGGTTCCTCTCAGAGTCAGCACACTGAGTGGGGCCTTGTGAGGAAGGCGAGGCAAGCCGTGGAGCTATGAATTTACCTGCAGTGTCTTCTTTCGTGTGTGAATTCATTTGTATCATTTAATGCAAAGAATATCACAAGGAAATCAGGTGACTGGGGAGGCGAGGCAGCAGTGTCCTAGGCAGGGCATGGCATGCCAAGGTGTCTGTGACCCACTTCCCCAGCAACAATACCCGCTGCTGATGGTCACTGGACAAACCCAGAGTTTTGGGAGTTCTCGTTGTTAAGACCATTGTAGTTAGACTGTCACAGTCAGAAAAAGACTAGGAGGACACATGTGCCACCCTCGTTATGTTGGGGGAGAATTTCACCTTATCCATCCCAGAGAGCAGAGTTTCCTCTTTTGTAAAAGTGTGTATCAAGCAGAATCCACATTTTTGCTCTGTAGTAACACATTCCTTGTGTGTGGTGTTCTGCTACAATCTAGTAACAATGTGGTGGAGAGAAAGGAGGAAAATAGGCCACACCAAAGGACTTACTAGTTATGCAATGCACTCGAATCCAGTTTAAGTTCAGCGCTCTCATCTGTAAAAGTGGGGCAAGAATTTGCCTTTTGATGTTGGGAGATCAAGTTCTTGGCTGAGGGAGGGTTTGGAAATTATAGATCACTCACAAATGTTATTGCTGTGGGCGTTGGCAGTGTTGCCTCCAGAAAGCACTGTGGTGAAAGGAAGAGTCCATTTTCTGAAGCTCCCTCTGTCTCATCAGCTAAACTACTCCAGTGCCCAGAGCTCTCTGATAGACCCCTTCTCCAAATTAGAATCTTCACTTCAGAATCAGAGCGTCATCCTGATGGCATTGCTTCCCAAGTGCTTGAGTGCAGGAACATGGCTGCTAAGGGTAACCCCAAGGAAGGGAGGCTTCTAGGGCCCTGACTGAGCAAGCAGGCACCCCTGCCTGACTCCCCTCAGCATGAAAAGCATTACATTTCCTCCACCACCACAGGAGGGATCTAAGCTCATTTCTCCATTCACAGTCACAATATTTGATCCTGTGCATTCCCATACTAAGGTTTCCATATGTGGTAGTCATCACCATTATCATTAGCAGCAGCTACTGTAAATATTTTTCAGTGCCTTAGTATACGTCCAAGAGGTCAGCCAGTGATTCTTTGTCATGCTTGCATGGCTAAAAGTACAAATCTCTATGCCACACACTTGGCCAATTGACTCAGAATAACTGTGGCTAAGTTGCAGACGTGATATTTCTTAAAAGCTCCCCGTGGTGATCCCAATAGGTAGCCAGTGCTGAAAACCACTTCACTAGACCTTCAGAGGATACAAACAGATGTAAAACACAAGAAGGAATTGCCATCCAACTGAGGGAGACAGAGCTGGTGTACGCAGGGTCATAGGCACACAGGGCAGCTGATGCCCAATATCAAAGGCTGGCATTAGTGGACAGAGTGAGGTCATGCTGGGCAAAGTGAGGTCAGAAGGTGGAACTGAGCTGAGAGCAGGAGCAGAGGCCCCCTTGACAAGGGATCCCCATGAAGGTGTGAGTTCGGAAACACAGACTTCGGTAAAGAAAGCAGCCTGACCCCGCCTGCGAGGTGGAGGAAGGGGGGCATTCCGGAGCTCAAATGTGCTTACCTGCTCTGAAGAGGTGGGTGTGTCTTGCCTCTCAAGGCTGTCATTGGCCCCACCCTGCCCTTGGTGTCTCCAGGAGTACTGAGGGGATTGATTTGTGTCACACCCTCCCAGCTCTGGAAAGGGGGGTGCAGAGAAAGAACTGGAGCATGGCAGAGCTCAGAGCGTCTGGTGGTGGCCACTGAGCAGGCCAGGGCTGGACAGAAGGGTAGGGAGTTCCTTCCACTGTCTTTGTGCCCTCTATAGTTTCTCTAGCACTTTATGCTTCACTTTGCAAGCATTTAAGGAAGGGTCTTTCTGAAAGTCTTGGTCTATTACAACTGTGCTGTAGAAAACCAAAGACAGGGCGGTTTGTTGACACCTGGGCCCTTGACATAGCCTATGATCAGCATAATCTCAGGGGTGAACAAGCTGGTGGATGCAGGAATCAACATGACAGAATTCTGGGATGGAGGGGACCTAGACAAGGCTGGCTCTGACTGTTGCAACCTTAGCACGGTGTCTTTTTGGAATTTTTCTCATGTTGGGCCTCAGAGGACATGAGGTTTTGCTTCAGTTCCAGCAGGACCTCTCAAACCTCACATGCATCAGGGTTACCTGGAAGGGTTGTTGAAACACACATTGCTGAGTCCCATGCCCAGGCTTCTGACTTAGTGACTTTGGGGCGAGGCCTGAGAATCTGCATTTCTATCAGTGTTCCCAGGTGTTGCTGACACTCATTTGAGAACTCCTTGAGAACCTCTAAGTTGCAGAGAACTTTCTGTTTCCATGTGTCAAGGTCTGAGGGTCCATCAGCATGGCAAGGGGAGGGGTAAAAGGAGAGGGAGGAAAGGCAAGAAGGGTAGGTTCACTGCACCTCAAGTCCCAGCCCTTCCCCCAGTTCCACACATCCACCTGGTTCTTTCCCTTCCAGAGCCTCTCCTTCCTCCTTCTGTGAGACAGGAGTAATAGCACGTGTCTTACCAGCTCACTGAGCTTTGTGAGTTACTGTGAGACAGCATCACGGGATGCTTTCCTGAGCTGTAAGTGTCCATGCAAAAGCAAACAGCCACCGTGAAGTCACTGCAGTTTTCTGTGCTTGCTCTCTGTCCCTGACCCTGTTCCCTTGCTAGGGACAGGTGGAGAGCACGTGTCTCTGTTGTGCCCAGTGGGCCTGGCGGCATCCTGAATCCACGGCACAGGCACAAGCCGTCTGCTCTCCAGGTTCAGCAGGGGCTTCTTTCCCATGCCTGGCCCCGGAGGGTCCCCTGGGAGTCAGAGTGCTCCACTGAAAGGTTGTGGCATCTGGAGGGTCCCCCAGCCAAGCTTCCAAGACAGCTGGTCAACAAGAGGCTGATGGAGGTGGAAGGCCAGGTATCCGGCATCACTTTCACATCAGCAGAAACATTCCCTGTTTGCAGAGCACTGCCCTCAGGGCGGCCAGCCCAAGAAAGAATCATAAGCTCCTTTAGGAAGCTCTGATGAAATCACTAGAAGAGACAGTTGCAGAGGGGTGTGTGGAAGTCATTATTCATTGATTACCTACTATGCGCCACAAACCAAGCCAGGGCCTTCCACACACATCACTCATCTGGTTCTCACTGCACCATGTAACGTTGAATGGCCACACATGACAGAGAAGAGAATGCTGGGTGCAGCCAGTTTATGCAGCTTACCCAGGACCACAAAGTGAGGAAAGACTGCAGAATTTGTGGTGACCAGCATCCAGCCCCTCCGAGCCTGACATTGCACTCTGCCTTCCCCCACTTCCCCTCCAGGCCTGAGGGTTTGGGGCAGCTGCAGGGATTTGGGGGCTAATCATGGAGAGTCTGAATAAACTCTACCTGGTTTGGGTTTGGTGGGTATATTTATGTGGTTTGCAGGCACTCAAGTGTAGAGTATAGTAAAGACATATACGTCTAATGCAAATGACAGATAAACTCTTGGATTGTGAGATCATTAGTTAGGAACCATCTGTGGGAAGAGCATAAATATCTTTCTGAGTTGACTAGATATGTTGCTATCAATAAAGATCAGATAAAACAGTAAATTACAAAACGAGGGCACCCGTGAGAAACTGGCAGGTGTGTGCCATCGACTCCAATGTGACTGAGGACTTGGCAGTGCACAGAGCTCAGCCCGTGCACAGCAGGGACCTGTGTGTGCCATCGACTCCAATGTGACTGAGGACTTGGCAGTGTGTAGAGCTCAGCCCATGCACAGCAGGGCCCCGTGTGTGCCATCGACTCCAGTGTGACTGCGGACTTGGCAGTGTGCAGAGCTCAGACCGTGCACAGCAGGGACCTGTGTGTGCCATTGACTCCAATGTGACTGAGGACTTGGCAGTGTGCAGAGCTCAGCCCGTGCACAGCAGGGCCCCGTGTGTGCCATTGACTCCAATGTGACTGCACAGAGCTCAGCCCACGCACAGCAGGGACCAGTGTGTGCCATTGACTCCAGTGTGACTGAGGACTTGGCAGTGCTCAGAGCTGAGCCCGTGCACAGCAGGGACCCATGTGTGCCATCGACTCCAGTGTGACTGAGGACCCAGCACTGCGCAGAGCTCAGCCCATGCACAGCAGGGCCCCGTGTGTGCCAACGACTCCAATGTGACTGAGGACTTGGCAGCGTGCAGAGCTCAGCCCGTGCACAGCAGGGACCTGTGTGTGCCATCGACTCCAATGTGACTGAGGACCCAGCACTGCACAGAACTCAGCCCATGCACAGCAGGGCCCCGTGTGTGCCATTGACTCCAATGTGACTGCACAGAGCTCAGCCCATGCACAGCAGGGACCAGTGTGTGCCACTGACTCCAGTGTGACTGAGGACTTGGCAGTGCTCAGAGCTGAGCCCGTGCACAGCAGGGCCCCGTGTGTGCCATCAACTCCAGTGTGACTGAGGACCCAGCACTGCGCAGAGCTCAGCCCGTGCACAGCAGGGACCAGTGTGTGCCATCGACTCCAGTGTGACTGAGGACTTGGCAGTGCGCAGAGCTCAGCCCGTGCACAGCAGGGACCTGTGTGTGCCATCGACTCCAGTGTGACTGAGGACTTGGCAGTGCGCAGAGCTCAGCCCGTGCACAGCAGGGACCTGTGTGTGCCATCGACTCCAATGTGACTGAGGACTTGTGAGCCATCGACTCCAATGTGACTGAGGACTTGGCACTGCACAGAGCGCAGCCCGTGCACAGCAGGGCCCCGTGTGAGCCATCGCCTCCAATGTGACTGAGGATTCAGCACCAGAGCTCGGCCTGTGCACAGCAGGAAGGTCATGGAGGGTTCCCCTAATTTCGCAACAATCTGAAAAATGTACATCATTTAGTAATAATGAATTTATCAAACTCCAAAAAGTAAGCAAATTAACCACGCTAGAACAAGGAGTATATTATCTTCTGTCCTGGTTGTGGAAAATTATTTTACAAAATCATTGTTGTAGGATTAAGTAATCAAAGAGTATTTAGCCAAACGAACAATCAAAAACGTTAGCAAAAGTGTCAGATATTTGATTAACTTAAGTAATGTTATTTTCTTGGTTTTATGACGTTTCTTGGCCAGTTTTCTTAAATTAGTAATTAGTTGTGATTCTCTGCACTAAATATACTTACTGTTATAAAACTAATTTTTATTTATAATGTTTCTTTCTTTTCCTTTTTGCCTGCCCTCCCTCCCTCCCTCCCTCCTTCCCTCCCTCCCTCCTTCCTTCTTTCCATCCTTCCTTTCTCCCTCCCTTCTTCTTTTCTCTTTCCTTCCCTCCTTCCTCCCTCCCTTCCTCCCTTCCTTCTTGAAGGAAAGAAAGGGGCCACAAGCCAAGGCCTCTGCCGCAGCATCTAACAGCTGGAAAAGGCAAAGATACGGGATCTCCTGGAGCCTCGAACAGGAGCCAGCTCTGCAGACACCTTGATTGCAGCCCAGCAAGGCCCATGTCAGGCCTCTGGCCTCCATAACTTGATAATAAAGTTGTGTTTTAGTTCTTTGTTACAGGAGCAATATGGAGAGGGACTAATGAACTGCCATTGTATTAAACCACTGGCAATCAGAGTTGTTTGATAAAGCAGTCAAGTCAACCTAAGTAAAACACTTAAGGACCAAGAAATAAAGTCCTCACTTGAGGATAGTGAGATCTGAGAGCAGTAAAGCCACTTCCTTCTCGTGAGACCGACCCCTCTTGCAGACCTGCCTCTGGCCTGGCCCCATGGAGTGGCAGGCCCCGGTCCTCCGCTCTTCGGGTCACAGGTGGCCCAGCAGGCTCTGCGCACAGCATTTCGGCAGCACAGCAATGCCTAACTTAATACTCACTCCGGGAACAAGCCAGCTGCAAGCTGTCAACGCTAAGTCCCCCTAATGCTTTAATTGGTACTTACTCTAGTAAGTTCATTTAAAAGTCCCCACCTCTGCCAGATGCACAGTGAAGCTGACCCGACAAGAGGGCCTGACGGTGGCAGAGCAATGTGATAATTAATGCGTCCTGCTTTCCTCTGCTTGAATTAATGTTTTCATGTCACTTAGACATCACTCCTGGAAACCTTTCTGGTTTTCAGTAATCAGCAGTTCTCCATCCCAGAACCCAGTAGATGATCAATAAGTGGTTGCCGAGTGAACGAATGGCTGAGTCAGAGATCTCGAAGGGTCAGATTTCACTTGGTTCAAACCCCAACCAGTCTCTGAGAAACTGAGCCAGGGAGGCCTCAGGAGGCCTCGAGACGCCAGGGTACGAGCTAACTGTGGCTGGGAAGGTTGTGTAAAGAGGAATACAAAGCAGCCTGGGCATCCCAAATGCTGCCACAGACGTGTCAGAGTGGCTAGGAGCCATGGCCTGCACCCAGGCAGGGGCCACTCCCCAGCTGTGGGAGCAGAAGGGGCCCAGCACAGCCGGCCGCGGAGCCCGCAGGAGCCCCGGTACTCGGGAGGAGCCGGACGCCGACTCCAGCAGCGCAGACGCCGCCGGGGAGGCCCGTTGAGGAGCGCGCAGCTGAGTCCCGGTAGAGGAGGCGCCGGCCTGGAGAGGCTGGGGGCGGATCCGCTGGACCAGGCGGGGTAGCGAAGGGTGGAGTTGCACAGAGCGGCCTCGAGTCCGGACTGGGGAAGGCTCAGACAGGGGGTGGAACAAAGGCCAGAAAGGAGGCGGGGGTCAGACCGGGGCTGGATCATGAAGGCGGCAGAGAGCTCGGAGGGAGCCCAACAAGGCCGTGCTGCGGCCCGGTTTTCCTTCCGGTGCTGAGGATGGCGGCGGCCTGGTTTTCCTTCCGGTGCTGAGGATGGCGGCGGCCTGGTTTTCCTTCCGGTGCTGAGGATGGCGGCAGCCGCGGGACGGTGCTGAGGATGGCGGCGGCCATGGAAGGTGCTCCCTGCTTCTGCGCGGATCCAGGCCTTCGGGATCTCGCCCTCTGCAGTGCGGAGAACTCACTGGACGGAGACGAGAGAGGCGGCGGCGGCTGCACAGCTGGTGCGTGGGGACTGGGGGGCGGGTGAGCGCTGTCCTTGGCTGGGGAGGAAGCGCAGCCCCCGGAAGCCCGCCTGGGGCTGCAGGGAGAAAGGAGGGCGCCCCAGAGCCAAGGCTGCCCGCTGGTCCCTGCGACCGGGGCCCGGAGAAAGTGCGGGAAGGAGAGAGAAGGCTGGTGGCCGCCTGCCTCCAGGGCGGGCCTCCGAGCAGTGCCCTGTCCCAGCCACAGCCTTGCTTCTTTTGATCCTCATCACGACCGCTCTCCGGGCCAGGCCGTGGGTGAGGCCCCCAGGCCTTCAGGGGAGAAGCCGGGGTCTCCAGAGAGAGGTAACAGAGTGAGAACGGCCGTGGGTAGCGCGCCCCTCGGCCCCGCAGCTCTCCACAGGCCTCTGGCGAGCTCAGCTGACCTGCCCCATCAGTGAGGTCTCTGCTCAGCTACCACCTGCTCTGAGAAGCCTTCTCTGCCAGGGTGACTCATTACCCTGATTTGCCAGGACTGAGTGGGTTCCTGGAGCGGCCTGGGAGCCGGCGGCGGTGGTGGCTTTCCTGAGCCCTGTTTGTCTAATGTAGGCCCGGTTCGCACTGTTCATTCACTCTGCTCCTCAGTTACTTTACGGCAATTAACACCAATCTGTTCTCAAAACGTGAGGTCCTCTTGCTCAGGGCTGTGTTCCTAGCACGCGGCCCTTGCCTGACACACGGCTGACATTCAGCGCACATTTAAACGAGTAGATCAACTGCTCCATCTTCCCCCAGAAGCTCTGTCTGTCCCTCCACAACTTGGCTCATGCCATCTCTTCCATAAGCGCCGTGTGCTCTTCTCTCTCAGAAAAAAACTATTTGTTTCTTGACAGCTCAGCTCAAATATCAGCTTCTCTCGACCCCAGGCACGAGCGTGGGTCCCGAAACCCTGGTGCCCTCCACAGTGTGTGTTCAGTAAATGACTCTACGTTTATCCCTGTAGCTGCCAGTGTTATCAACTTTGGCCTATGTTTTCTGAATTATTTTTGAATCTTTATTTTGTAATCCAATCTATTAGTGACCCATAACAGGCCGTGTCATCCACAATTAAATAAATGTGCACTCTCTATTCATCTTGTTTTTATCTATTTAAAATAGGCTGCACAAAACGGGGCTAATAAATGTCATCTGTCATGCAGTTGGAAAAGACAAATGAGATTGACCTGGGCAAAACAGACGTTCAGCGTGGGGAATTATGTTGGACAAAAGCTCCAATCTCTCCTATACTCAGAGATTTTTCCTCTCTGCCCTCATAGCCATCCCTGCTCACCACAGTCCTCATATCCTTAAAGGGACACCCTAGTGATTACTGACGCCACGACATCTGCTCTGTTCTCCGAAACCAAATCTGATCTCCTTTCATCTTAAATACTGTAGGCAGCCACTTTACTCATTCACTCAATACATACTTACTAAGCATCTTGCAATTTTGCAGACATTGTACTGGACATGGGGTTACAAAGAAGGATGAGCTGTGGGTAGGGCTTTGCTTTGTGCTATATCCATTCAGGTACGTGTCTTCATCTATACTCTGTCACTTGTGGCTTAGGCACATTATGCAGAACTTCTGAGCTTCAGTTTACCCACCTGTAAAAATTGGGATAATGTGTCCTGTTTCACGTAGTTCTGCAGGTTAGGTGATGCTAGGAAGCACCTAGCGCAGCGTTTGGTCCATGACAGAGGTCCTTCAATGCCCATTCTCCTCCTGCTACATGCCAGACTGTACAAGACGGCTTTCTCCCTTCCCTGCTGCATCCAGCAAAGGCCTTGACCCCCGAGAGGTCTGCTGGGGTTTGTTGTTCTGAATCGAGTTGGAGACGGGGTGTGATCCCCAAGAGTTGGCTTCTTGCCTCCCTAGAGCAGGACTGTGCCTGTCTCACAGTCACGGCTTGGGGGACAAACACCTGCTGTTGAGGTGGGAGGTCTGTGGTCTTTTTGGAGGTCCCTTTGGGCAGGTTCAAGGTGCAGGATCTCCCGTGGACTCAGAGCTGTGCAGGGCAGGGACTGGCTCCACATGGGCAGAGTTCCTCCAAGCTAATGGAGGGGGTGAGAGTCCCAGGCCTCCGTGGGTCCTGAGGTTGGTGTGTCCTAATGAGGTGGCCTGTGAAGACCTGAGGGGCTTGGCCACAGCCCGTCTCTGGGGACCTATTTTTTCATCCCCTTTTCCATTCTTCCCTGCCTTCTTCTGTCTATTGCTTGTTCTACCTTGTTTCTGTGCCTTCTCTGTTCTCCATCCCACTTCACCACAGCCCCTCTTCTCCTCCCTGGGTTGGGCTTCAGCTGCCCCAACTCCTGTACTTAGGTAAGTCCACCAATGCCTGACGCTGTGCAAAGCACCCTGCAGAACAAACAACAAATCTGTGTGCCCCAGTTTGGAAAAGCTTATGACAGTCCCTGCAAATTTCCACCTTTTCCCCCTTTTGAATGACCAGCTTTCAGTGTCCCTTACCTCCTGCTCCCTCCGGCGCCCTTCCCACTTCCTCCCTCCCTCTCTGTCCCTCATTACTCTGTCTCTTGAAGTGGCATTGGAATTCTAGAAAAGAAATCTATCTCACATATTACAGAGCGGCTTCTCCAATGATCTCATTGCAATGATATAAATATACTTAAGGCAAGTAAAAAGCTATTTAATGAAATAAATTAAGAAAAATGTACAGGAAAGCCTTGAATTTCATACAAATCATTCAAAATGAATACTAAATCTGTTGGCAGCATGCAGCATGCCTGCTCTCTATTCGTATAAGTTTTTAAAGCTTTGCAAAGTAAGAGACAGTGGAATATCTTGTTGTTTTTTGTACATATGAAGTTTTCTCCACCTCTGCTGTGCTCCACCAGAAACAAAAGAACACACTCAATTTTCTTTAGACAGCCAATTAATCTGTGAAGACATTGCATTAACTCTGAATGCATTCAGTTTCTTTCACTTCTAGATCACCACGGTCCTGAGATGAGAGATGGGTGAGGCCTTTTTCAGTGCTGGTCTTGGGCCAGGTGGGGAGTTGTCTGCCTTGGGCCTGAAACCTCTCTGGGAACAACTGAGCTGGGAATCCCAACGGAGGCATGGGGGAGGATGGGGTGAAATCATGAGCCAAAGAGTAAAGGGACCTGCCTACACTGTTCTGGCTAAAGCTTAGCTGAAATGGCAAATTCCTGGTGGAAGGATGAGGCTGGAGGTAAGAGACTAGCATGGTGGTGGGGTGGGTGCTTAGATAAGGGGAGGATGACAGCCCTGGGAGTGGAGTCCAACTCTTCCAATGCCCTTCAAACGCTGCCTCAAATACGACCCTTCCTCCTCGCCTCACCAAACACACACTTTTTGGCTGACTCTATTATTAGAAGTTCCTTCGCCACACTCAGGCTTTTTAATTCTCCACGCATTTGCATCTGGTGTTTTTTCCTCCCACAATGTCCTTTCCCTGTGATCTGCCGACTGCAGGTTTCTTTCTTGAAGGCTCAGCTGGAGTCACTTTCATGAAGTCCTCCTGCAGCTTTGCCTCTCTGTGCCCTCACCGAGCCCTGGAGGACAGTCTTTCACCCGAGTGTCTCATATTTTATTCTCTGCCCTCCTATCTCACACTGTATACAGAAACTAATTCAAGACAGAGCACTGACCTAAATGCCAGAGCTAAATCGTAGAGCTTTTAGAGATTTTTCAAGCTATTAGGAAATATTTTTGAGACTTGGTGGTAGTAACTACTTTTTAGAGAGGATACAGAAAAGAATATATGTTTAAATAATAAATTTACCTTGATTAAATAAAAAATGTTGCCCATCAAGGGAATATTCAGAAAATGTACAGGTAAATGACAAAAAAGGACAAAATATTCACAAAATGCAGCCTAACGAAGAACTGGTAGCCGGAATATTGAAAGAACTACAAGTCAATAATAAAAAGACAAACAACCCAGTAAAAGTGGGGAAAATATTTAAATAGATACGTCACAAACAGAATGTATTAGTGGTGAAAGAACATATGAAGTAAGTCACAAAGTGGCTTCATATTATGATATTCAAAATGTTAATTTTCAAAACTGTAGTTATGAGGCATGCGAAGAAGCAAGAAAATATGGTTAATTTACAGGAAAAGAAAACAAAATAGAAACTATCCCTGATGAAGCACAGATATTGGGCTTTCTAGATAGCTTTTGAATCAGAAGTCTTAAATGTGCTCAAAGAATTAAAGGAAACTGCAGACAAATAACTAAAGGACATGACTAGAATAACGCATGAACAAATAGCAAACATATAAAGAGACAGAAAATCAAAATGAATTGATTAGGAAAGTGGCACAACATAAAATGAAGAAAGGTGGCTGAATGGAACTCTCCAATGACCATCCTGCAGAAACATCAAATTGAACAACTATCCATGCAAGAAAGCCCCTTCATAATACTAGGTGAGAGATCACAGTATCTAGTTTTAGCATAAGATGGAAAGATGTATTGAAGTGGGTAGGAAGGCAGTTTCTCATTGTCGACACCATCCCTCCCCCAGCCCCAGGCAGTGCATCAGGGAGAAAAAATCTGTGTGCTTGGATGAGGGAGAGCAAGGTGAGGATGGGACTTTGCATTAGAACTCAGAGCTCGTTGTCACAGTGGAACAGCCCACCAGGCCAAACTCCACTGACACCCGCAGAAGGGGCATTTAGATGAGCCCCGGGCCAGAGGGGAACCCACTGCCCAGTTAGGAAG